>NC_000002.12:205368405-205671436 GCF_000001405.40 Homo sapiens | reverse complement strand
TTGTCATTCTGAGATACAACGCCCAACTGACACTGAGAAATGGCAGCTTTCAGTTAAACAAATGCAAAGCTGTATTTAGGCTCATTTGCAACATTG
Source organism: Homo sapiens (assembly GCF_000001405.40). Taxonomy (NCBI): domain Eukaryota; kingdom Metazoa; phylum Chordata; class Mammalia; order Primates; family Hominidae; genus Homo; species Homo sapiens. Next base: position 205,671,340 of record NC_000002.12, on the reverse strand, counting down.
TCATGGGAAGAAATCAAAGCCTCCTCTGCTACTATTTAAAAAATCCTCACCAGGGCGATTCCATCAGAAATACTGTTACGATGGCTTTCATATCTTGATCCTTCATTTCCAAGGGTAACATGTTAGAAGAAACCCTAGATCCAATGAAAGTGATTTTTAAAAGTCAATTTGAACAAATGCTGCTGTGGTATTTGTTAGAATTTTTTAAATTCTCAGAATCTTTCAAAAGGTGATGGTGGGAGGTTTGTTTAAAGAAGGAGGCACGCACAGCCAGTGGAAAGAGTGTCAAGTCTGGGATCCTAACTAAGTGTTTCAGACAAGACCCTTTACCTTTTGCTAATTGCAAAATAAACAGATCCCCCTGCTCTAGAGTTGTTTAGACAGTCTTTCTGCCTACGGGTACGGGGATGTCAGTTTATTTGTCACACAAAGAGTTGTTGGCTGAGCAGGAAATTAAACTCTAAACTTCTGACACCAAGTTCTGTACTCTCACCAGAGGGCTACATTCAGACTCCAAACTCCAGCTCTTCCTACCTTTCTTCCACATGGTTTATTTACTCAAGTGTCTACAAAAGAACTTAGGAATAGATTACAAAATAAATCTTGCAACATACCACAAATTAGCATCAGCTGGCCAACATGGGGTCTGTCACCAGGATGTTGATTAAAAAAATATATATATATTTATCACTGTAGTAAAAACATGTTACCCTACAACAGCATTTACTAAGAACCTAATTGCTCCTGGGGCATAGTTGAGGCCAGGCAAAGAAACAACTCCTCCTTTAGTGTATCTGTAAGCATAGACATACCTAGACACACAGACTGCCAGTGAGCACCGGCGGGATGGGCCCAGGCATGCCCTATATGGATAGTAAGAGTAACACTACTGGGTGATAACTTGTCTATTGCTGTGTCAGATCTCTTTCAGGCACAAGAAGATAGGGTGTACTTAGGTGGGGAGAACCACTGAATGTTGTTTCCACTAGTTCCACTGGGAACTAAGTTAAATAAACCAACTAACCAACTGCTATCTAAGTAAGGACAAGTTGCCATTATTTGTCATGCAACATTCTCAAAAATCAGAATATTTCAAAGATTTTCTTGTAGAGAGGAACTTTGGAAACTGTACCAATATGTGGAAATTAAACAGCATACTTCTGAATAACCATTGGGCCAAAAAAGAAATTAAGGAGGAAATTAAAAAATTTCTTAAAACAAACGAAAATCAAAACACAGCATACCAAAATCTATGGGATACAACAAAAGCAGTGCTAAGAGGAAAGTTTATAGCAGTAAACACCTGCGTCAAAAAAGTAGAAAGATTTCAACTAAACAATCTAATCGTGTACCTCAAGAAAGGCAAGAGCAAACCAAACCCAAAATTAATAGAAGGAAATAGATAGTAAAGATCAGAGCAGACCTAAACAAAATAGAAATTTACAAAATACAAAGGATCAATCAAACAAAAAACTGGCTTTTTTGAAGAGATAAACAAAATCAATAAACTAGCTAGACTAACCAAGAAAAAACAGAGAAGACCCAATAAACAAAATTAGAAACAAAAAGAGACATTGCAATTGATATCACAGAAATGAGTCTCAAAATTATTTTTCAAAATAATACATTTGATTAGATGATCATCAGAGACTATTATGAATAACTAACAAACTGGAAAACCTAGTGGAAGTGCATAAATTCCTGGACACGTACAACCTACCATGATTGAAATAGAAAATGTGAACAGGCCAGTAATGAGTAATGAGATTGAATTCATAATGAAAAGTCTCTCCCAACCAAGAAAAGCCCAGGACTGGATGGCTTCACCGCCAAACTCTACCAAACTAACACCAATTCTCCTCAAACTATTTCAAAAAATTGAAGAGGAGGGAATTCTCCCTAGCTCATTTTATGAGGCCAGCATTACCCTGATACCAAAACCAGACAAAGATGTAACAACAACAACAACAAAACTACAGACCAATATCCCTGGTGAATATGATGCAAAAACCATCAACACAATACCAGCAAATCAAATCCAACAGCATATCAAAAAGATAACATACCATGATCATGTGGGACTTATCCCAGAGATACAAAGATGGGTTAACATATGCAAATCAATAAATGTGATATATCACATCAATAGGATGAAGGCCACAAACCATATGATCATCTCAATAGATGCCCCAAAAAATGGATAAAATTTAACATCCGTCTCTGATATGGTTTGGCTTTGTGTCCTTACCCTAATCTCATCTTGAGTTGTAATCCCATAATCCCCACGTGTCATGGGAGGGACCCAGTGGGAGATAATTGGATTGGAGGGGCAGTTGCCCTCATGCTGTTCTCATGATAGTGAGTGAGTTCTCACGAGAGCTGATGCTTTTATAAGTGTCTGGCATTTCCCCTGCTTGCACTCATTCTCTCTCCTGCTGCCCTGTGAAGAGGTGCCTTCTGCCATGATTGTAAGTTTCCTGAGGTCTCCCCAGCCATGCACAACCAGGAGTCAATTAAGCCTCTTTTCTTTATAAATTACTTAGTCTTGGGTATTTCTTCACAGCAGCATGAGAAGGGACTAATACACTCCCTTCATGATAAAAACTCTCAACAAACTAGGCATAGAAGGAACATTTTCAACACAATAAAGGCCATATATGGCAAAACCACAGCTAATATCATGGGGAAAAGTCAAAAGCCTTTTATCCAAGAACTAGAACAAGAGACGAATGTCCACTTTCACCACACTTATTCAATGTAGTTCCTGAAGTCCTAGCCAGAGCAATCAGATAAGGGAAAGAAATAAAAGGTGTCCAAATTGAAAAATAAGAAGTCAAATTATCCCTCTTTGCAGATGACATGATCTTATATCTAAAGAAACTTAGAGACTCCACCAAAAAGCTCTTAGATCTGATAGATACATTCAGTAACGTTGCAGGATACAAAATCAAAATACAAAAATCAATAGCATTTCTATACATGAATAAATGAACTAACTGAGAAACAAATCAACAAGGCAATCCTATTTACAATAGCTACAAAAAATAAAATAAAATACCTAGGACTAAATTTAACCAAGGAAGTAAAAGATCTCTGCAAGGAAAACTACAAAACACTAATGAAAGAAATTAAGGGTGACACATACAAATGAAAAGACATTCCGTGTATCTCATTCCATGTTTATAGATTAGAAGAATTAATATTGTTAAAATGACCACTACAAAGCAATCTACAGATTCGATACAATCCCTTTCAAAATACCAATGTTATTTATCACAGAAATAGAAAAAATAATCCTAAAGTTTGTAAGGAACCAAAATGAAGCCCAAATAGCCAAAGCAATTCTGAACAAAAAGAGCAAAGCTGGAGGCATCACACTACCTGATACATTGCAAGGGTAGAGGAGGCAACACAGCGTGGTATTGCTATAAAAATAGTCACATACACCAATGGAACAGAATAGAGAACATAGAGATAAATCTATGCATGTACAGCAAAACGATTTTCAACAAAGATGCCAAGAACATAAACTGGGGAAAGGATATCTTCTTAAATAAATGATGCTGGGAAAATTGGATATCCATATGCAGAACAATTAAACTGGACCCCTGTCTCTACAAAAATCAACTCAAGGTGGATTAAAGACTTAAATGTAAGACCTAAAACTATAAAACTACTAGAAGAAAACATAGGGGAAACACTTCAGGACATTGATCTAGGCAAAGATTTTATGGCTAAGACTTCAAAAGCATAGCCAACAAAAACAAACATAGACACCTAGGACCACAATAAACTAAAAAGCTTCTGCACAACAAAGGAAACAAAACAGAGTAAAGAGACAACCTGTTGAATGGGAGAAAATATTTGCAAACTATTCATCTGACAAGGGACTAATATCCAGAATATACAAGGAACTCAAACAACTCAACAGTATAAAAATAAATAATCCCATTAAAAAGTGGGCAAAGGATGTGAATAGACATTTCTCAAAAAAAAAAAAAAAAAAAAAAAAAGACATAGAAAGGCTGGGCGCAGTGGCTCACGCCTGTAATCCCAGCACTTTGGGAGACCGAGGTGGGTGGATTACGAGGTCAGGAGATCAAGACCATCCTGGCTAACATGGTGAAACCCCGTCTCTACTAAAAATACAAAAAATTAGCCAGGTGTGGTGGCGGGCACCTGTAGTCCCAGCTACTTGGGAGGCTGAGGCAAGAGAATGGCATGAACCTGGGAGGTGGAGCTTGCAGTGAGCCGAGATCGCGCCACTGCACTCCAGCCTGGGTGACAGAGAGAGACTCTGTCTCAAAAAAAAAAAAAAAAAAAAAAAAAAAAAAGACATAGAAGTGGCCAAATTTGAGAGATTTTGAAGAATGCTGAGAAATGAGAAAATGTTCAACATCACTAATTATCAGGAAAATGCAAGTCAAAGCCACAGTGAGATATCATCTTACTTCAGTTAGTTAGAATGCAAATTATTAAAAAGATAAAAAGTAACAGATGAAGGATGTGGATAAAAGGGAATTCTTACACACTGTTGGTGGCAATATAAATTAGTACAGCCACTATGGAAAACAGTATGGAGAGTTCTCAAAAAACTAAAAATAGAACTATCATATAATCCAACAATCCCACTACTGGGTATTTATCCAAAGGAAAGGAAAGATATGGAATCAACCCAAGTATCCATTAATGGCTGAATGGATTAAAAATGTGGTATATATGTACAATGGAATACTATTCAGCTGTAGAAAATGAAATTCTGTCATCTGCAGCAACATGGATGGAACTGGAGGTCATTATGTTAAGTGAAATATGGCAGGCACAGAAAGACAAATATCACATGTTCTCACTCATATGTGGGAACTAAAAAAGTTGATTTCATGGAGGTGGAAAGTAGAATGATAGATATCAGATGCTAGGAAATATATATAGGTGGGCTAAGGGTTATGAAGAGAGGTTAGTTAATGGATACAAATGTATAGTTAGAAAAGTTCCAATGTTTGATAGTAGAGTAGGGTGACTATAGTTAACAACAGTGTATTGTGTATTTCAAAATAACTAGAAGAGAGGACTCGAAATGTTTCCAACACACAGAAATGATAAATACAGGTGCTGGATACCCTAAGTACTCTGACTTGATCATTACACATTCTATGCATGTAACAAAATATCACATGTACCCATAAATACGGACAAATATTATGCAGCAATAAAAATAAAACATATCTCCTTGTGAGTTTGTTGTCTCCTAAAAAAAATTACTGTGCTTAGTTCAAGGCAGGACATGGCAAAGCTTTAAGAGATAAGAAATCTACTTCCTGTCATTCACCAGCCTGGCAAGCAAGTTTTTCTTGACTTTCTGGATTTCTGTTTCTTCCTCTATAAAATGAAGGGGTTGGAATCAATTGTTCTGTCTAGAAGACTGGTCTTCATTCCACTCCATGGTTCTATGAGGCGGGAGCTCACTGAACATTTGTTTAAACAGCCCTCTCTCAATGTGTGTTCTTTCATGAGGTGGTTGGCTTTATATGATTTCAATGGTTGGCCATACTTTGGAAGAAAGAAACTAGCAATTTATAGGTTAGCATCCTTTGTCCCAAACAGCAGGATTAGGCACCGGGGCGGGAATGCAAACATCATGAGGGTCAAAGGTCATAACCTTTCTGGGTGGAAACCAAGACAACTGCATACCTAAATGGCACTAGGGTCTTGAACTGGGCCAGTGGTAAGGTCCCCTCTTGCCAGAATATTCTGTGAGTCATAGGCTTGGGGGAGAGGAGCTCCTTGTCTGATCCATCAGAGGAGACTGGGTGGGGTATGCAGTGTTCAAACTGGAGTTCTTTATGTAACTATAGAAAGCTTGCACTGTTTGGCCAGACGCAGTGGCTCACGCCTGTAATCCCAGCACTTTGGGAGGCCGAGGCAGGCAGATCACCCGAGGTCAGGAGTTCCAGATCAGCCTGATCAACATGGAGAAAGACCGTCTGTATGAAAAATACAGAAAAATTGCCAGGCATGGTGGCGCATGCCTGTAATCCCAGCTACTTGGGAGGCTGAAGCAAGAGAATTGCTTGAACCCGGGAGGCAGAGGTTGAGGTGAGCCGAAGTCACACCATTGCACTCCAGCATGGGCAACAAGAGTGAAACTCCATCTCAAAAAAAAAAAAGAGAAAGTTTGCACTGTTCACAATAGCAAAGACGTGGAATCAACCTACATGCTGGGATAAAGAAAATTTGGTACATATACACCATGGAATACTACACAGCCATAAAAAAGAGTGAGGTCATGTACCCTGCAGCAACATAGATGGAGCTGGAGGCCATTATCCTAAGTGAATTAATGCAGGAACAGAAAACCAAATACCACATATTCTCACTTTTCAGTGGGAACTAACTATTGAAAACACAGGTACACAAAGAAGGGAATGATGTACCCTGGGGCCTGCTTGAGGGTGGAGGGAGGGAAGAGAAAGAGGATAAAAAAAAACTACGTATCAAGTACTATGCTTATTACTTGGGTGGCAAAATAATCTGTACACCAAACCCCCGTGGCACACAATTTACCTATGTAACAAACCTGCACATGTACTCCTGAACCTAAAATAAAAGTTAAAAAAAAAAAAAAAAAAAAGACAAGACAGTTTGGTAAAGGGAACCATGAAGGTCCTGGTGCATAGAAGCATTGTTTTGGGGATGATCTCAAAGTGTCATTGTGTGGCAACAACCCTGAGCTATTTCTCTACATTATATGGGGGCTTAAACAGAATTATGAAATTGTGCACCAACAATAAGGAACAGTGCAATGCCGGGAGAAGCACACTTGGACATAAGATTGAAAATGCTCATCTGTACTGAGCATCTTCTGGGCAGGAGGATGGTCCTGAGAGTTATAAAGAAATAATGGCACTTTTGGAAGAGAGGAGGAAGGTGGTGGTGGTGGTGGTGGTGGTGAGACAGTTCAACAGATGTGGATGATACCCTGCGCAGGGCTCCCATATGACTGAGTGGCAGAAATGAATTTACTTATCCACTGCAGTCCAGGCAAAACAAATAAACAAAAACTGGAACACACACATACACACACACACACACACACACACACACACACAGATAAATCTTAAAAGTGCAACCACTGGGCATGTCTTCCAGAGACAAGTTAATAGGAAAGCAATGCATACATAACCAAAGGTGGTGAAAGAGACAGATAACATCTTAGCATAGGAAGGAACAGATCTGGGTGTGGTGGCTCACACCTGTAATCCCAGCACTTTGGGAGGCCAAGGCGGGCAGATCACCTGAGGTCAGGAGTTCAAGACCAGCTTGGCTAACATGGTAAAACCCCGTTTCTACTAAAAATACAAACAATTAGCTGGGTGTGGTGGTGGTGCATGCCTGTAGTCCCAGCTACTCAGGAGGCCGAGGCAGGAGAATTACTTGAACCAGGGAGGCGGAGGTTGCAGTGAGCTGAGATCACACCATTGCACTCCAGCTTGGGCAACAAGAGTGAAACTCCATCTCAAAGAAAAAAAAAAGAAGGAACAGAAGCTTTGCTAGCAGGGAGAATATGAGTCTCACCTGTAAACTCAGGGAAGTCCATTGGCAGAAGGTAAACTCTTTTAGTGTGAGATGTCTGATTTATGTTAAATATGTGATCATAACTGAAGAAATTCAGAGCGAGAGCAAATGAAAGCAAGCTGCCTCCTGCAGTCAAGACCATGCTATGTCTTGCCATCCTTCCCTCACCATAAGGACTTGAGGCCTCCCCTTACCTCATCCAGCAAGGGAAATGGGAGCAGGCAAGGACATCTGTGTATCACACCTCTAGGCACTAGAGGAGGCTTTGGGAAGGATAACAGCATGGAAAAGAAGGGGAGGTAGGAAATTTGGGAGAGCAGAAAAAAGCGAACCCAGGTGCTATGTGAGTGTGTGTGGATGGTGAGGCAGACAGTGAAGGGGGTGGCATGACGAAGGGACAGGAAAATCTATGGAGGACACTCAGTGCTTCTGGAAGAAACGGCAGTGAGCTGATGCCCCCCACATCTGGACAGTGAAACTCTATGATAGGTTATAATTGGTGTAAACAAGTTAGCTCCTCTATGGGAGTCTTCCCCAAACTATAATGTCATCAACTGAGGTTGATTGCTTTATTGGTCCCAATTCACCTCACTCACTGCAAAAGGATTATACATCTCTCCTTTGCTGGATAGAGTAGTATCTGTCCTTCGCTAAGCTGTAGTGTTCGTCCCCACCCCTTTGACATCAGACAGGGCCATATATGATGTGCTTTGGCCACTAGAACGTAACAGTGACATACGCCACTGTGAACAGATACTAGGAGAGCTATCATGAGGTTTGGACACTGCTCTTTGCCTCTGTCATGACAATGGCATGTACCAGCCAAGGGATCCTTATCAGCCTGGATCCCCAGCAGTTGTGAGGGGGAAAGTTGGGCTGCAGACGGGCCATGCTATAAGTCCCAGTGCCTTTGTGCTGTAAGTCACTGAGGTTTGGGGGTTCCAGCAGCATAGTCTAGTGAATGCAGACTGACACACCAACTTTGCATTATGTGGATGTTCCCTGTGATGCTGGAACAATGCGACAGGTGGCACTTTTCACAGTTCTGAGGGATTGTGTGCCATTGGCAGAAGAAGGTGCCCTTGACCCACACAGAATAGGTAGAGAGAGAGAGAGATCAGAAGTCTCTGGCACTCAGCTGGGCAGCTAAGCTGTCAGCTCAATGTCTCTGCCCACATCCTCCCAACGCTCCCAGGGGAAAGCCAGAATAACCCCTTGTGGATGTAAGAGAAGGACCTAGTGTCTTATTCACAATTATACAGTCTTTAAAGCAGAAATAACCCAGGGAACAGACCCCCAAATGGGAAGTTTGAGGCAGGAAGATTCTGTGGACAAAGTTTGGGAAATTCCACTGAATCAAGTGTGGCTGACAATGAAATGAGCAGTTTTCATCTAGAAGTGAGGAGGTGGCATAAAGCCAGGGTTCAGAGAGCAAAGGCTTCTGCTTTTCCAGGAACCTTAAAAAGGAGAAAAAGCTAGAAATGCCCCAGGTATTGCTACTGAGAGAATAAACTCTCTTTATGCCCTGGTAGTGGGAAATTATCTGGGTAACTGGTGACAGAGTCTTTCCAGATGGAATAGAACTTTTCTTCTTCACCTACTGGGAAACTCACCAAGCTTCAGATCTTAAACTAGGGTGTCTCATGAGCCACATGATGAGAAAAGTTTTGTGCAGTTTCTTATGATCTGTTATAGAGCCAAGGTAGAAAGACCACTGCATTTCACTGGACAGGCTATGGTGGAAGCTGTACTGGGTGGGAGGTAGCCCAGATGACCTATCAGACTCTTTCAGCTCCAATAGATTAATATTTATTATTTAATGCTACGGCTCATGACATTAAAATGTCAAAATTGACTTAATTAGGGCAAACAAGTAGAATTAAATCTGAAATGCAAGTAAAGATGAAACAAGTAGAATTGAATCTGAAATGCAAGTAAAGATGAAACAAGTAGAATTGAATCTGAAATGCAAATACACCATCTTATCTCGTTTATTCCTTTAAGCCACATCAAATCATTTATAGGAATAAAGTGGGGTATAAATAAGTGAATGAAAGAATAAAATGTTATGTTGCAGCCTAAAGCCATATTCAAACTAATACGAGTGAGCAGTAGCAAGTTTTGTGAGGTGCAAGAACATGGAAATAGAACCTTTGCTCATGGAGAAAATTCTAAGTCTTGGGTGGCGGAGGGAAAGGACTGACAGTGTGTATTAGGTTCATGAGTTCCAACGCTTCCACAAAACACTGGAAATGATTCAAAGGGAAAGTGAACCATGAGGTGGTTCCCAGCAGGCACTGGTGCGTTCCAATGAGAGACGTGTCATTGCTATGGCTTTACATTAATTTCTCATCCCAAATGTTCATTTTTGTCTCCTGAGAGGATTCTTTCCTCCAGTGTGACAAATTTTCCAATTTTGTAATGGAAGCCAGGAGAAAATGGAATTCTCTTTATAAAAATCCATTTTATAGCCAACTTTCTTGAGATGCATCTATCCCTGAAAGCAATTTCCTTCATCTGGGTAGACGTGGCTGAGGTGTTTAGGGCTGGGTAAGTGGATCACTGACAATTTGCTCTTAGAGCTTGTGGGAGATTTAACAGCAAGACCTTGGGGGGAAATGTGAGGAGGGCCGTCCTCTCCAGGCCCTTCTCAAGCTGCTCTGAGGTCTTTTTTTAGAGCAGCAATTTCACTAGAGAGTAGACAGGATGTGGGGGCGGGTGGAGCTGACAGTTGCCACGACATCTCAAGGCACCAGTGTCAGTTCTCCAGTATCTCTCCAGCATGCCCAGGAATCTAGCTGCTAAACCGCACAGCTCACCAGGTAGGTAAATGAAAGACAAGTCAACAGACCAGAGTGGTGTCAAGGTATGTCCTGCCACAGATCTGAAAGGCCACTGAGGATTTGTAGGAACATGAATGAGGTTGTATAACTAGGACTAGATCTCATGTCTGGTTGGCTCTTTGCCCTGGCTTATGTTCTAACACTGCCTCTTTGGGGGCACATTTATGATTACGTAATGGCAAAATGAAGGCGTTTGGTAGTAAATTAAATCAGTTTTATACTATGTGGGTGACTCGCATGCAGTGTATACCGCCAGGCTTTGACACATTCCAATGTGGGAAACATACTTGAAGCATAACAACTGGCTCTTCTCCATCTGTTCATGTTCCCCATTTGACTCATCCCTGCTCTGTAAATACTCTCCGACTTGCTAGCAAGTTGAACAAATTTCAAAGCTCTATGAATGAAGTGCGTGGAGGTCAGGAGGTGCCTTGCAGGAGACTTCAGAGGACATACAAACTTGCCTTACCATGAGAAACGTTTCATCCATTCGACACTTGTGAGCAAGCTCTGTTTCTCACACAAGCAAGAGGATACAAATACAGATCAGATGAGGGCTGATGGGGAAGGAAATTGGTGAAAATGTGAAAGTTTATGTCCATAACTATAGAGACTGAAAATCTACCATTGGGACTTGATAAGGAAAAATAAATGCTCACGAAGGTAATAAACGTGGATAAAATGTTGACAAGCACATAAATGAGGAGCTCTGTGATTCTTCACGGAAGCTTGATGGATATCTCAGTCTCCTCTTGCTCGTTTGCATCACGGTGTCTCAGGACGCCATCTGTGACTTGCCGTGGTGGTGACACACCATGATAGGCTTTTATGAGCATGCCACCTGCTGCCCAGCCCCACAGGATGGTGATTTTGTATGGAGAATCGAGCAGCTGAACCTCTCAGGCAAAACAATCAAGAAAAATATGAAGTGCACCTTGTGTAGTAGAGAAGAGCTGTTGGATTCTGTGTCTATACACTCAGATGAATGAATACTCTAAGCCAGAGTTCATTCATAATAATACAAACTTAAATTTATTGAGTATTTGCTGTGATCCAGGCACTGTTCTAGCTACTCTACTGGTGGAAGTCAATTTAATTTTCACAATAATGAGGTTTTATTTTTGTTCTTTTTACAGATAAAAAGAATGAAACAGAGAGATTATATAATGATTCCCCCAAAAGCCACACAGTGTGTGAGGATTCAAACCCAGGTCGATGGGTACCAGAATTGAAGCTTATAACCATGCACTCTAGCACACATGTACCTCAAACCAGTCAACAAAAAGCCTGTGAGTTAAAGCATGTGCATGTACACACACACCCACACCCACACACACCAGTTACACTTGAATGCTTTGGCTTGTGTAACCAATCAGATTGATCTCAGAATAAAATATTCTTTTGTGCCTTAGCCTTCCCTTAAATCTACTGAGTGGTATGTCACATCCAACACCAATTTAACGAATGCAAGATCCCACCATGTATCAGGCAGTGCGCTAAATATTCAGGAGTTCCAACCTTTTCGCCAAAGAGTTTTCAATCTATCCACAGGGCAGTACCTAACCCTATTGCGAATATGATGCAAATGGCAGAGCAATGACAAGAGAATGAAGACTTCTGATGCGGTAGAAGTAGAAAGAGATGGGGAAGCCCAAACAGAGGAACTAATATTAGGAAAATGGATACTGGTTGACAATATACTTTAAATATAAGAAGCAGGCAGGGAGAATGGACCCCAAGCTTCTAATGATGCTCTGCTCTGCTTACTATGTGAGAAAGCCAACTATATTCCCTTTGAAAAACAAGGTAATTTCAAATCATTTTTTCTATCCACTTCATAGGTACCATGAAAAGAATCACAAAGCAACTGCTTCATCTAATCATGAAGGTTATGTTTATGTGGCTCACCTTCCCCCAAAGGTGAACTGATAAATCTTGTCTGCTTTTCATTGGTTCATGACAGTATCAGTAAGCATTTTACTATTGCAAGGAGTAGATATTCAACTCAAATTAGCTTAAATAAAATGGGAATTCATTGGCTCATATACTTGGGAAATCAGGAGTCAAGTCACGGTTTGACTCAGGAACACAAGTAATGTGAAGGCATTAAACCATTTCCCAATCATACACATGTGTCCTCACTAATCATCTCTGTCTTGCTTCAGCTTGTCTTTGCTTGGTGACACTCTCAAGCAGGCTTTGTTCAAGTAGCAGACAACTCACATCCTCCCAGCTTAGCAATTTCAGTGGACTTTCTCCCAACACTTGTACATCAATCATTGAAAATACCCACAATTGGCCATGCTTGAGTTGACGCCCATCCCTTAGGCCAGAGAATGGAATATTCTGATTGGCCAACCTGGTTGCCCACCCTATATGAGGGTGTGGAGGAGACTCCACACATAAAAGTCCAACCAGGACTACATGGTGTTAGGAAATAATTCCTCAGTGGAATTAGGAGACTAGGTGGTGGTGGCAGGGTAGGGTAAGATGGGGAAAGGCTAGACCAACAAAACCATGTTCTATAATCCATCTGATAATGCTGAAGATTTTCAGTCTTAGAACTCTCTAACTTCCCTATCAGTGCTACTTAGCATAGATAATAAGCACACCACACCTTAGAGGTGGTTACTGCTCAGTGTGATTTATGATTATGAACAAGTCTGTCTTCCTATAACTGCAGGGTTCTTAAGATGACTTGACTCCTGCTATTAGCAGTCACTTACACTTACATAGCTTTCATGGTTTACAAAGCACTCCCACATAAAAATGCCCTCGTTTCATCTATACAACATAAAACATAGGTTAGGTTAGGGCAGCCACCATTATTCCCATTTTATGGATGAAGACGTTGGGCCTCAGAGAGGTTAGTGATTTGTCCAGGGTAACATGACTGGTAAGTGGTCAACCCAACTGGGAAACTGAGTCTTCTAGTTCCAAGATGTGCACAAGAGAAATTGGAAGCTTTATGTGAGTTTAGGAAATGCTTCTGAGGTCACATGATGACTCAACCTCTGAGATATAATTAGAGTTGGAAATCATGATTTTTCTTCCCAAATTTTCATGACTAGAAATTTGGCCTCGTGGGGAAATTCCTGTCTTAAAGCTTGTCCAGAACCAATGCCAAAATGTTCTGTTTCAAAATGCCTTTGGTAAGGACTGTGCAGGCTGATATTTCTCCAGCACATACCGTCCCCCTGCAATGTTACACATGCTCACTTGATTTTCAGACTCCTTCTAAAAGCAGCCAATACAAGAGATTTGTGTTTATGAATTACTGCACTTGTAATGAAAAAAGAATTACAATACATACTTAAGATGCTCACATGTTAGACGAGGATGCAGCTTCCAGATTGCTAACACGGCATCTAACTGTCCATCCTGTTAGTAAATCCTTTATGATTTTTGCTAAAGGTAAGTTAACTTCTTTTGTGGGGGGAGGGCTGTTTGGTGAGGGGAAGGGTGCAACCTGTTTCTGGAGTTATAGATGCTAAGGAATAGGATTAGAAGGTGTCTCAAAACACCGTAACTCATTACAGTTGCTAACTGGGCTCTCCTCTGACAAGCACCTTATTGCTTTACAAAGAAGGGAGAAAAATAAAACAAGCAGCCCAGACAATTAGGAACCAAACAAAATTAAACAAGCCCTTATAGTCATAGGTATGGGTGTATAGTGCTTTGCCTTGCATTGTTAGCAACTCATGTATTATGAAGCACTTAGGGATGCTCACTAATGGAGTCTTTCTCCCTCCTGGAGGGCGACTTGAACATTAGACTCTGTGACTCAGGTGCAGAAACTCTGCCGTATTAGTGTGGGCAGAATGATGCTTTCCCCCCTCGCAGGGGTGTAGTGAGGCTTAATTAATTGTTGGGGAAGCACTAGGAGATTCTGGGATGAAAGGCACTATATAATGATAATAATTTGCATCGACAAGGTACCTTTCTTCAGTGGAATTCCAAGCACTTTACAAACATTAATTAATCCTCATAACACCCTGGCAAGGCAGGTAAGTTTTCCCAGGATACACTAAACAAATCCACCATGTTACGAGGGGGAGGGAGGCTACTGCTATGAACTCATTTTATTATTTATTCTTAGCAGGAACTTCCAGAAAGGCTGGCGTGGACCTTGCTTCCCATTAGTCCAAATGATCTGCCTTTCGCTTTTGATTACCCACAAATATCGTATTCTGCTGCAGTGCTAATCATTCTGCTTAGGGGACACGTGTCCTGAGCAAAGCAAGTCATAAACAGCTGTCATTCCAATGGATATTAATGCCTATTGTCTCCCATTCTGGAACCCTGCGCCTCCCCTAAGCAAAGAGAATGGCAGGGGAGTGGGTGACATCTGTTCAAAGACAGTCTGCAGCCATACTGGAAAGCATGCACCCGGCTTCCGCTTTCAAACCCTTGTAACCAGTGGCTTCCTAGCCCTTCTTTGTCACCAACAGATTTCATATTTTACATTCTGGATTTTCATCTCCATGCAGCATGGAGGTGTGGAGTTGAGGGGGTGGGTGGTTCTGGGCTGCATACAAACAGGGCAACCAGCATTTCCAGCATCATGAGTCTGTTATAAATCAGCAGTGCAAAAGCAGCTCCAGTGTCAGAACCCTAACAGCTCCCCAAAACCTCAGCCATTCCACAACTTAAATAAACCTCAAGGGGAAAAACGATCCTCTAGCTAGACAAATGACTTCAGCATGCTGAGTGCTCGACTTGTCAGTCTCTCTGATTTTACCTCTGTTCCTATAATCTGGCTTTAATTCTGCACATACTCATTGATTGCAGCTTTCCAGATTGAAAAGAAAAAGAAAAAGAGCAAACAAACTTGCTCGCTGTCATTCCCCATAGGCACCCGCACTTCAAGACGGTTGTCTCTCAGCCATCCTCCTGGGCTGCAAGAGTGTAGGGCCAATGAATCAACCTGTCATCCAGGATGATGTAAGTGAGATCCCCTGACAAGGGAGGGGGGGTTCTTTTATGGCTGCCCTCTGATCAACAGGAGGTAACAAGGCCCCCTGGCCTGGCATTTGATTTTGACCGAGGGCAATTGTTAACACCACTCCAGCACAGTCTTTGAGTGAATCACCCCACCTCTCTAGCCTCAGTTTACTCCTCAGTGTGAAATGAGGGGATTGGAACGTATCATTTACTAAGGTCCCTTTTAGCTCCAATACCCTATGGTGAGTTGACTTGATAAAAATCTCCCCACTTGCTCCTCTCTGTAAAGCCTCCCTACCAGCTTGTTTTGAAAGGGGCACAAGTGTGCATAGATACAGATCGTCTCTGATCTCAAGATGGCCAAAGTGTCTGAGAAGGTCTCCCCGCCTCATTTATTTACTCTGGGATGCTCTACAAATATTGTTATTTTCTCTGTGTGCTATGTCATGAAAAAGGTTGGAAAATGCTGCTCTACTGATTAGTCGCCAAGGAACACTTGAGTAACTTGCCCATCACTATGTAGCGAGTCATAGATGTGAGTAGATGTGAGTCTCATTGATTCCAAAGATAGAGTTCTTAACTGCTACTCTTGGCATTCCCAAGCCTGGCTGCCCATTAATACAACTGGAGGAGCTTTAACAAAAATACTCATACTTGGCTCCAGAGATTCTGATTTCACTAATTGGAGGCAGGATTTGGGCATTCATATTCCCTTTAGACTCCCCAAGTGATTTTGAACATGCAGCCAGCCCTGAGAAACAATGAGGAAGTGGAGACAGGGCAGGCGATAAAGTGCTGCTCCCAGTGAGGGAGTAACCTCCAGGCTCTCCAACTGGATGGTTACTTCTCTCAGAAGAGGCAAGACGGGAGGCCCAGAGCCCGGCTTCATAAGGAGGGAGCTACTGCCCACAGCTCTGCTCTAACAGCCAGACTCAGACGCCCACTACTGCCTTGAGGGAGGCCAGTTCTGCCTCCCGGTTGTGGTGTCCCACCAGCCCCATCCAGCAGGAGCTAGGAAGATTACAACCCTCCCGACAAGATAGGTGTCTTACTCTGTTTTCTGTTGCTTATAATAGAATACTTGAAACCGGGTAATTCATAAGGAAGAGGAACTTATTGCTAACAGTTATGGAGGCTGAGAAGTTCAAGGATGAGGAGCTGCATCTGGTAAGGGCCTTTTGCTGATGGGGACTCTCTGTAGAGTCCCAAGGCAGCACAGGGCATCACATGGTAAGGGGACTAAACATGCTGGCTCAGATTTCTTTCTCTCTTCTTATAAAGCCACCAGTCTCACTCCCATAACACATTAATTCATTAACCCATCAATCCATGAATGAATTAATAGAGCCTCTTAAATGCCCCACCTCTTAGTAATGCCACATTGGAGATAAAACACCAACATAAGTCTTAGAAAGGACAAACATTCAAACCACAGCACTGGGTTTTATCATCTCCATTTTGGAGGCGAAACAACAGGCCCACGTGGTGAAGAGATTGGCACAATTCATACAGCTAGGAATTAAGTAAAAGAGCTAAGCCTTAAATCAGGCTTGTTGGCTCCAACTCCAGTGCCTTTATTTCTGAAATCAGCATGGTGGATTGGAATGATCATAGGCTTGAGGTTCCTCCTGTCAGTATTCGTACGACATTGGACAAGGCACTTGAGGTTGTAGTAGATTACATGAAGTAATGTACATGGAAGTATCCACCACATGGACTAATAATAACAGGTGCTCAATAAATGTGCTAGGCATGGCGGAGCAGAAGTAGGGGAGATAAACAAGAAAGAATAACACTGAGTCTTGGCCCTTAGGAAGTTAAGTGTTTTGAGAAGCAAGATAGTGTAGCTTAGGCTCATGGGCTCTGGAGCCACACCACCTATGTTTGAAGGCTGGCTCTTCCTCTTTCTAGCTGTATCACTTTGGGAAAGTTACTTACCCTTTCAGAGCCTCAGTTTTCTCATCTGAAAAAATGGGCATAATGGCAGTAGAGACTTTAAAGAATTATTGTGAAGGACTAAATGACTGAATGCATGTAAATACTTTGGACAGTGCCTGATACACAGAAGGCTCTCCATAAATGTTAGCTGTTGGTACTATTATGTAAACTTGTAAAAATGTAAATGAAAGACTTAGATAACAGTCAACAAAAACAGTGGAAGACCTGGCACAAAGAAAAATGAAACTTTTCAAGGAACTAATGTATTCCTTAGATATATTCTAAAGAACACATTTTTTACTGGAAAATGCAGGTACAATCTGTGACCAGAGGCAAATGATCTCATTGCTAGTTGATCATGAAAAAGACCAGAAGATGGTACTAAATATTTCTTTGAAAAATTACAGTCTTTCTTTGCTTCTTTTCTCCATCTGGGGTATGGCTCTCTCTGGGCATCCTGCTGCGAAGTCGACGCCTCTGAGCTTTTCATGTTCCATCAGAGAAAGTCTTTTGTATGAAGTGTCGTATTAGTTTCCTGTTGCTCCTATAGTGAATTAGCACAAACTTAGTAGTTTTCATCAATATGAATGTATTATCTTCCAGTCCTGCATGTCAGAAGTCTAAAAGCAAGGTGTTGTTAGAATTGCATTCCTTCTGGAGGCTTTAGAGGGATAATCTGTTCCCTTGCCTTCACCAGCTTCTAAAGTCTGCCTGCTTTCTTTGACTCATGGTCCCTTCTTCCACCTTCAAAGCCAGCAGTGTGGCATTTTCTCTCCTTTCTGACCTTCTGCGTCCATCCATCTCCAATTTCATAACTTGATCACATCTGCAAAAATCCCTTTTGCCTGTTAAGGTAACATATTCACAGAATTTGGAGGTCAGGACAAGGGCATCTTTGGGGGCCATTATTCGGCCTATCACAGGCATCTATAAGTCAGACACATCTTTCTCTTCCTAGTCTGGATGGCCTTGTTTAGAATAATTAGCACATGTTATTATGCAAATTCTGCATGCACCATGGATTAGGAGGGGTGCCAATGGTGACAGGGAGTGAAAACCCTGACTGATCACATAGCCATATCATCATTGCTATGGGAATTCTGGTTGGGGCAGTAAGTCAGAGAAGGCTGTTTGCTGGGACTAAACATTTAAAAATATCTTGAGAAATAGGTTTTATTTACTCATCAAAATAGTTTTATAGAACTTCATGTATGCTAGGCATGGTTCTAAGCGCTTCGTAACTAGTCATTCAATCCTTCTATCGGCACCATGAAGTACACTATTATCAGTTAAGAGCTGTTCTTAAGGTCATGAAACTAGAAATGGTGGATCCTCCTGAGGTGGTCTCAGAAGATGTTGGGTGGCAGCATGCCTGGCTCCAGGCTACCCTTGGGCACTCTGCAACAGGGCTCCAGGGGTCCTGGAGTCCACGATTCCTACAGTGTCCTGTCAGAATGGCTTTTTGTTAGATGGTGCAGTGTGAACAGGGGAGAAGCAGTTTTTACCTAGTGGAGTGTCTTTATCTCACCTCTGGAAAGAACAGGGGCTCCAGGAAAGAAAGGAAAATCAACTATTTTTCCAAACAATAAATCCTTGAATAAAATTACCAGAACATTGTGCCATATATATCTGGTGA
This sequence comes from Homo sapiens, assembly GCF_000001405.40. Classification (NCBI taxonomy): domain Eukaryota; kingdom Metazoa; phylum Chordata; class Mammalia; order Primates; family Hominidae; genus Homo; species Homo sapiens. Next base: position 205,652,404 of record NC_000002.12, on the reverse strand, counting down.
TTTTAGTATCCCCCAGACCCATCTTTGAGCAGCACACCAACACCTGTTTAAGGGGTATGGACTCTAGCCCGCTCATTCATAAGTCTAGGCTCCAAACTTCTCAGATGGTGGTTTGGACCTGGCCTGGACACTCCATGGAGAAGCAGAAAAAAACTGAATGCCAGCTCATGAAATGCATGAGACAGGCTGGAGCAGCTTTCTCTCTCTGTCATCCCAAGTCGGTGTGAGGTCCCAAACATTCAGTAAAACCCCCTGGGTCTCAGTAGCCAGCTGTCAAGTTAACCTATATTCAACATTTGTAGGGACAAGAAAGTTCAGTCCTCAAAAGGCTGTACACATGGAAGGGCCCAGTTGTCAAACTGTGACTCTTAAGGGCTGAGTTCTTACTCTTGCCTCGAGAACTGCTTTGCATCAGATCCTCCAAGTTGGCATGAAAGAAGAGGCAGTGACAGTACACAAGGATGTTGGGTTGAAGCTATGAGCAGAGAGTGACAGTGCTGAATCCCCTTAGGACTGGAGGGGTTTTAGCTTGTGTGAGAAGCAAATAGCAACCTGTTATTTGGCAGGGGAGAGCTATGTTTCAGTTCAAGTTCAATGGGTTTTCCCAAGCAGAAATTGTAAGGGCCAAATTTAGGGCAGAAAAGGAACAAGCACACCAAAAAAAAAAAAAAAAGCAAAAGTATGTGTTCAGTTCTCTGTTGGCTCATGGGGCAGATGGTAGATTCCTTCTAGTGACTGGTCACCTTCAGGTCTGATTACCAATGCTAGAAAGCGTGGCTCCTAACAGATCTGAAATTGGTCACTTAGGATTCTAGCAGGCCGAGGGTCACTCAGTGGAGAGCTTGTAGCCCACACGTGAAGCTTCATGACTCTTTATTGATGCTTAGTCTGGCAGAGGGCAGCCTAAGAATGTGTTTCTGTCTAGGGATGATGTCCAATCAACTTGGGCAGCTTGCACTGAAGAAAAAGAGAAGGTGATGATGGGGAGGAAGAAAGACATTCTGGTTTATATTCAATCTTTGGTTCTAACTGGACTTGGGGATAAACCACAAATGTTCAAAGAACCATCAACTATGAAAATGTATCCCAACCTCAATCTAAAAAGCAGGTTAAAAAAAAGAACCAAGTGGCTTCAGCATGACCCTAAGATCAGAAAGAGGTAATGCCACTTTGCCATTCTTCTTGCTGTTCAGAACCTCATGTTAGATCTACTCTTAGAAATATGGTTCTAATCAGTAATGAAATCATACGAAGAGGCGGATACGATGGGGAAATCCAGGAGTTGCACCAGCGGCCTCTTGGTTTCAAGACTCAATCCAATGGAGCTCCAAGACAGAACATTTCAGTTCACGCTCTTCAAGGGGATTCTCATACAGAGCTAGAGAGTGTTCAGACCCCTCCTTTGAAGCTTTTGTTTCTCTAAAAGACACAATTATGGAAGGATCCAAAAAAGGAAGGCGCGCAGCAGACTGGGTGTTACTATGAACAGATGACAGCTCCGCAGGCAGAAGCAGAACCTGAGGATGGCCGGGCTCCCTTTGCTTCCTCCCTGGGCTGGTGCTTGGGGGACTATCTATGCAGACTGGAAAGCGAGCTTGGCCCTGGTCTTTGAAGCCTCTTCCCGTTTGAGGTTTCTGTGGAGGGATAATGAGTAGATGAAAGGTCTTTTTAGCTGGGGCTGTGAACAGCTAGTTCCAGATGAATGGACATTAGCAACACAGGGCAGCCTGTGAGGCCCATTCCAGAGGGGGTTGGGAAGAACAGAGCAGGCCTTTGGACAGTGTCTGCCCCCAGCACTAGCCCTGGAAACAATTAGTGATGGGAGGGGAGCAAGAGTGAAGCAAGGACGGAAGGAAGGACAGTCCTCCCAGCCTGAGTGACTCACTTAGCTGCAGGGTTTACGCATTTGAATGGACTGACAACAATAGAGGGTGTGAGCTTGGAGAAAGAGGCAGATTCTGGCAAGATCTCCCTCTTGCCTAGATGAGAACCCTTTTATCCTCCTATATTTATGGACCGAAGCTATAATCTCCCCAGTTAGGGCCCAAGAGTAATCTCTCAGACTCTCCAAGCTCGAGGATGTCTCCTCGTTTATTGCTAAGGAAATCTCCCTCTCTTTCCTCTGCTCTTACCTGTAGGAGCAAAGGCCTTGGTGCTTCTCATTATCCATGAAATCCATCCACTCTCAGGCCCTTACATGGTTCCTGTAAGATTGGGCCACAGATGGTAGTCCTCAGATGGGCTGTGTAGAGTTCACGTGGTGTTTAAGGCTGAATTCTGTATTGTTTACAATCAGATTTCCTGTTTCAGAAATAATCTTAATTCAGAAGCCCAGCCAGCACCTCTGATGGAGCAGGAGTGTTCTCGTTTCCACAGCACAACCTCTGCCCCCAACCCAGATTTAGACCCTAAGCTAAGCCTGTCCACTGCTGTTCTTGACCTTCTTACACTCTTCTGCGCTTCACATAGCCACACAAGCACTCCATAAGCATTGGAGTTTGTGACCTTAGATGAGGTTTGGTAGGGGGAACTCCTCATCTCCCCCACTTTCATGTTTCTAAGTGGAGATGGTTTCATTCCAGTAATACTCTTGGCCTCTCTTGAGCCTCAGTTGGTAAATTTGAAAGAAGGACCCAGGTATGCTCAGCTCAGCCCCTCCATGTTCAGACTTGCCTGCCTGCAGGAGAATCCATAACTGCTCTTCTCTAGCGCAGAAGTGAGAGTTCTCCTTGCATGGGACCACTGAGACGGTCTGTCACTGCCTGCGCTGATTCAGGGTGAAATGTTAGCATGCTGCATTGGCTGCACTTTCAAAGCCCCATTCTTCAGTTGGCTTCGTCAGCCATCCATCAGGTAGTCTGATATTTGGTTCAGGAAAGGTGATTGCCGTGTTTCACATGATGAAGGCTCTAGTTTGGCTGCAGTTATGTGCTGATGTGCTTCTAGTTCAGGGACCAGCAAACTCCTTATCCCAACTGCTACATGCGTGTGCACTACCTGAGATTCCCCAGGCCTTATTGATCTGTGCACATCCATAGGCCGCTGGATTTAACCACCCAGATTTCACTGGCCCATGCTCCCTTACCTGTATGGCACAGGAGTTCAGCCCTGGGCAAAATCCCCTCTCTAAAGTCAGGGGGGTCTCAAGGAGCATCTCTCTTGCTCTCACCCATGGCTCAGGTCCGTATAGCTTCTGTCCACCTGATGACGTCCACTCTCAACTAGTTCCTCAGCACCACCTCTGGGGCTGGAGTCCTCCCTGAGACAGCTCACGTCCGTTCCCATAGCACTGCCTGCTGGGGACCCCCATGTTCCTATCCTTGCTGTGTCTAAGCTCTCCTGGGTTCCCATTGGGGCTCGGTGCATGAAAGCACTGAGTAGCTACACAAAGTAGCCCCAGAGCAGCTCTGTGTGTGTCCCCATATTTCACTGTTGGCTGCAGCCCTTCTCTGTACGGCCCTCTGTTGGGCTGACTATGGGGCCTATTCTGGCATGGCTATTTGGCTGTCTTTCCCATCTCTGGGTCTTCCTCCTGCCTCATCCCAGGTTCCTTCAGTCAGAATTTCTCCTGAGCTTCTACTCATGCAAGTTGGCTTCTCAATGGCCCAATAATCATGTCCAGACAAACTGAAAGATAAAAGCCAACATTTAATTGAGCCAGACAGTGTTCTGACCACTTCACCTGATCTTCACGGAAGTCACTGAACCCTCCAACGACTCGGTGAGATAGGTACTGCTATTATCATCCACATTTTGTGGAGGAGGAAACTGGCTCTAAGAGCCTCAGAGATTTGCTCCAGGGCACCTGCCTAATCATTTGCAGAGCTGCTCCTCAAATCTGGGTGGTCTGAATCCAGAGCCTATCCTCTTAAGCCTCTTTGGACTGAATCTGTGATGTGGGCCAGGTAAGAGGAAAAAACAAGGAGGTAAGAGGAAAAAACAGGGAGGAAATTAAGAAAAGTTAAAGACGGGGTGGGTGGGGGGAAGAAAAGGGAGAAAAAAGGAAAAATTGGCATGTGCTCTATTAAGAGCAGAATTGTCCACCCCTACTCATCATATATTGAAGGCCTAACTTCCAGTGCTCCATACTGTGGCTGAATTTGGAGATAGAGTCTTTACAGAGGCAAGTAAAGTCAAATGAGGACATTAGGGTGGGCCCTCATCTGCTCTGACTGGTATCCTTATAAAAAGAAGAGATTAGGACACAGATCCTGGTAGACTAAAGGATGACAGTGTGAGGACACCGCAAGAAGGTGGCTGTCTGCAAGCCAAGGAGAGAGGCCTCACAAAAACACCAACCTTGGCAATACCTTGAGTTTGGACTGACAGCTTCCAGAACAGTGAGAAAATAAATTTCTGTTGTTTAAGCCATCCAGTCTGTGGTATTTTGTTATGGCAGCCCTAGCAGACTACTACATGCCCCCAGCTGCTGACACCTGCATGCGAAATCACTCCAGCATGCTCTATTACATAAAGCTAGAAGGATGCTCAGAGAATTCAGCCTTCTCATTTCACAAAAGAGAAAGCTGAGACCTGGAGAGGTGAGTAAATTGCCGAAGATGAAAATATGTGTATTTTGAGAGGATAAAGGAAGGCAAATGAAAAGAGCTTCTAAAATTGAGATGGCTCAAATCTTTGTTTTGCTTTATAAGTAGAAAAGCAAGACCCAGAGGGATGAAATAACTTGCTCAGGATTAAAATATGTGCATGTCAAAGAAGATAAGGAAAGGGGACCAAAAAATGAAAGGAACTGGCATGAAATCACTTCTGAAATGAAGATTGCTCCATTTTTGTGTTATAAAATTTTTTTTAAATGTTCTATTAAATCAGAGCAATATATTAAGTGAACTCAATACACTGCTATTGAGTAATGGTGAAAATGGAAGGTTTGTTTATTGATCCTTTTGGGCATCATGTCAAATAAAGATATTTTCTAGCCAGAATTTGGGGCCAGATGCTCTTACATTTTGTTAATTAAAAAGGGCTTTTGTGGCTGGGCATGGTGGCTCATGCCTGTAATCCCAGCACTTTGGGAGGCCAAGGTGGGTGGATCACAAGGCCAGGAGATCGAGACCATCCTGGCCTACGTGGTGAAACCCTGTCTCTACTAAAATTAAAAAAAAATTAGCTGGGCATGGTAGTGTGCACCTGTAAGCCCAGCAACTTGGGAGGCTGAGGCAGGGGAATCGCTTGAACCCGGGAGGCAGAGGTTGCAGTGAGCCGAGATCGCACCACTGCACTCCAGCCTGGTGAAAGAGCAAGACTCTGTCTCAAAACAAACAAACAAACAAAAAACAAAGAAAGGGCTTTTGTTGGGTATCTCACAGGGGCTCAGAATTGTGCACCAGGAGCTCACTTGAGGAGAGCGCATAAATCCATGGCAGTATGACAATGACAAAGGTATGCATGGCTTTGGGCTGGTGGTGCAAAATCCACCTGTGCTTAGGCATCAGGATAGATCAATGAGTAGGAAGCGCAACACATTGCAAACATCAGGTAAATGTTTAAACGTGAATCACTGCAAAAGGCTGAGGTTAATGTGAGCGCCTTTCACTTCCCTAATAGAAAATCGAGCCAACCCACGCCTTTACCCACAGACTCAGTGAGGCCCGTGTGGTTTCCGTGTGGTCAGAAGCATTAGTTAGGGTCTTGTCCACATCTATTAGGAGAGAGGAAGACCATTTAGCAAATTAAAATTGTTTTTATTCCCCCAGCTAATTGTTTTCTAATTGTTTAAGTAAAAGGTTTTGGTCTTGATTAGAGGCTTTTAGTAAATTAGATCTGTTCACATTTTACAAGTCTAATATTTAGATCATAGAGAGGAGTAATGGTTTGCCATGGCAAGGATTTTGAAATATAAATGTTGATGCTGAGTGGGCCTTAGAGATTATCTGGTTCAACACTCTCATCTTACCACTGAAGGAATGGAGGCATGGAGAGGCTGTGCAGTTTGAAGAGTGAGAGAAGCGAAGCCAGGGCTGCCAAGGTCGGCTCTTCCAGGCTAAGCAAACATTTTTTGGAGGTACACCCATGGTCAGTACAGAAGGTTTTAATTAAACAATTAACCTCCAAAACAGCCTAGACGTAGAACAAATGGGGCACGCAGAAACATTAATGAATGTGTTTTACAACTTAATGTAAATTATGTGTTTCACACTTTAATGTAAACCGATCAATACCTAATATTTAACTGAGCAGTTGTTATGGGAAAATTTAACACACTGTTGTGAGAATTTGAGCTAATTGACCAAAAGCTATAAACACTCCTTAAAATACAATTGATATATTCTACTATTTTTTTTTAGAACAAATGCGAGTGAGGGGGGTGAGGAAGAACGTTGATGTGATATAGAATTTCCCAGTGTATTCCTTGGAACCCCATATAAATCCATAGAATTATAATAGATCATGTAAGGGGGGAAAATGATTTCATGGTCAAATAAAGTTGGAAAACACTAGGTTAAGCAAGGTTAATAGATTTTCTTTTATTTTCCTCCTGTGCTTTGCTTGCTTATTCCTTCATCCTTCCTCCTCTCCCCTCCCTCCCTCCCTCCCTCCGTTCCTTCTTTTATTCTTTCCTTCCTCCCTCCCTTCCTCCCCTTCTTTTCCTTTACTTTCTTCTCTTCTTTTTTCTTCTATTCTTCTTATACTCTTTGAAATTAGGCCATTCAAAGACTTCAATATTGTGAATCACCCAGAGGGAAGGAGAAAGGAATATAGCATTTTATTTCTGCCTTCCTGACTTTTCTTTAAAAAAAATTATGGGGATTTTACATGCTAAAGAAATTGCCAAGTAATGGAAATTCTCTAACAATGTGGCAGGAGTGTTGGTTGGTTAAATCTATTTTGGAGAGCAATTTGGCAAAATGTCTGGGAAAGTTGAAATTGGCTATAGAAACTTTTTTCTTGGAAGTAGTTTTGTAAGAAGTGAACTTTAAAGGCCATAGTAGACCATCATCCTGGTTTCCCCTGTGTTTGAGTCAGCCCCAGCTGTAAAGTGGAGCCAGACATGGCAGATCAATCTCTGGGACCTTGTTCTTTGTGGTCTCCTGCGTCCCTTCTCCTGGGAAGCCATTAGACACCACAGATTCAGATTAGTATCTTTTCAAATGTAATAGTAAGTATCACATGATTTTATTTCTACTGTAAAGTAACTGCTTTTCTATAAGCAATAGGGAAAATCGAGATTCCAGCAAATCACAACATTCTTTCATTTACCAAACATTATTTAGCTCCACTATGTGTCAATTACTATGCTTGCCATTAACAATGCTGAATAAAGAAGACTTAGCCTCTACCAATGAGGCGTGCACTGTTATGTGATGGTAGACAATAAGACTCATCATAATGATCATAATTCTTGTTGAGTGCTTACTATGTACAGAACATTATTCTAAGCTTTTTTTTTTTTTTTTTTTTTTTAATGAGACTGAGTCTCACTCTGTTGGCTGGAGTGCAATGGCACGATCTTGGCTCACCACAACCTCCGCCTCCCGGGTTCAAGCAATTCTCCTACCTCAGCCTCCTGAGTGTAGCTGGGACTACAAGCACGTGTCACCATGCCCAGCTAATTTTTTTTTTTTTGGTATTTTTAGTAGAGACAGGGTTTCACTATGTTGGCCAGGCTGGTCTTGAACTCCTGATGACCTTGTGATCCACCTGACTCGGCCTCCCAGAGTGCTGAGATTACAGGCATGAGCCACCACCCCTGGCCTATTCTAAGCTGTTTTTATATAGAAACTCACTTAACACGACAACCCTATGAGGCAGGTACTACTGTTGGTCCCATTTTACAGTTGACTCAAGAAGTGACAAAACTTGCCCAAGGTTGTTTAGCTTGTAAGTGGCGAGCCAGGGTTTGAAACTAGACAGATCAGCTCTAGAGACTGCTCTTTCAGCCTTGGCTCTAGACTGCCTCCCTAGGGAGTGATGTGTGCTCTGAGTTTAACAAAAGGCTTTGGGAACACAGAGGAGAAACAACGAGCTTGTATGGGAGACATGAAGAAGGTTTTAAAGAGGTAGTAAAATTTGACGAGCATCTTGAAGAATGAGTAGGTGTTTACTGATGGAGAGGAGAGACCTTTTACTGTTGGAGAATAGAGACTACTGAGAGAGAGGAGAGGAGAGCAAATAGTACTGGAATAGAGTTCTGTGTGGGCGAGCACCTCTTGGTTTCCATCTGGGACCTGGGAAAGGCTGGCTTGAGTTACACTCCACATTTTTCTGGACTGATTCACCTGAGGCTACTCACCGCTCTACCCAGTCTCAGCCTTTTCCTCAGATCCCACCCGCATCTCTTTTTTTAAACCCTCTAGCCTGGATGTTCTCTCTTTTCCCTTTCCTCCAGTGTCTACCGCAAGCCCACTTTGCCATCAGGCTGGATGATTCCCATAGATACTTGAAAACTGGAGGGCCATGCATCTTCTCATAGCAAACAAAGAGGCACCTCCTGTTTACATTCAGTCAGGGACACACAAGCCCATTTTCTTGGGGAGTCTGGTGGAGTACAGTCCTATGGCAGCTGTGAATCCCATGAAAACACTGTGCCTCAAATGCTCTCCTGAATCCAGGATGGATCTGTAAGGGGGCCAAGGATAGACACAAACTTTCTCCTTCCTATACAGTCACTTTTGTTATTAACAGTCTGTAGAAATAAGCTTCCCTGCCTTGAAATATGGAATGACTGAGAATATGGCCCCAGGATTTATTGCTCCACACGGCACGCAGATATATTTTTTACTCGGCTGCTGTGATGACAAGTTTCAGTAAGGCATTAGGCAAGTAAGTCTGAATTACTCGGCTAAAATATGGGATGTCCCTGGACACTCAGCTCCCCGGAGAGGATACCCGATTAGCCTTGGCCCCTCTGGGGGCAGGCAGATGTGTGCAGTCTAATTTCCATTAGGCTGACTTGGAAAGGTGGGGACCAACTTGGCTGAGTCTCTCTCGGGATTTTTGGAGGACGGTGTAAAAAACAAAAACTGGCGACAGACCTGCCACTCAATGTCAGTCGCTAAAATCAAAGTCAGATTTTAGATAAGAGCTCCCTCCTTCTTTATTGTCTCCCTCACTTAACCTCTGCCTTGTTTCTTTTTCCTCCCCTCTGGGACTAGGAGAAGGGGAGAGTGGGAAGAAGGAGAGAGAGGGCTTTCCTTTCAAGCTGGTAACCATTTTAGTTCAAGTCTGCAAATAAAGGTTAACCTGAGAGGGAGCCTGAGTGAGCACAATAAATGCCCACTTGAGCTTATCAGGAGCTCTCCCTGCACTGGGAGGTCTCCCCAAGCCTCCCTGGAAGAAGCAGCTGCAAAGATCAAAACCTTTAGCTATTTGGTCTTCTGAATCTGATTTGACTTGGCCCCACTATCGCCCCCTGACATTTGAAACGTGTCTATTTAAAAAGGAAAAGAAAAAGGAGCAAAAATAGGAGGGAAAAATATGCCAAAGATGCTGTATCCTGCTAGGCAAGAAAAAGAAATATCCGGCTTTGCAAAGATTGATGGGTGTGTGTGTGTGTGTGTGTGTGTGTGTGTGCGAGTGTTTTGTTGGTTTTTGTTTTTCCTTTTTGTCTTGGTCTTTTCCTGTGTTTAGGCCGTCACACTGCCACATTTATTAACATGATGATAAGGATGACTTAAACAGTCTGAATTTTTTCAGGATGTAGGAGAAAGGGAGGGGCTTGGGAAATGGATGGGCTGAGCCCACCCTCTGCTCAGTCACAGGGCAGTGCTTTGAAAGGTGTTCTTTGGCCCTGGGTCCCTGGGTAAGGGAGGTCACTGGAGGAAGTCGGCTGTCCTGAGAAAAAGACAACAGACATCTCCAACACAGGAAGGATGTCCTAGACCTGGCCCTCAAACCCCAGAGCAAGGGATAGGCTCCTGCAGACTTGCCATTGGTGGTCAAAGAGCACTGGAGGTGCCCATTGAGAATCTGTCCACAGGGCATCCTGAGAGGGGGCTGTCTGGGGAGTGTGTAACTGGGGATTGCTTTCTGGTTGTTTCTGGTACCTGCAGGTCTTCCAGTCTAGTGCTTCTGAATCCTGTTAGAGTGTAGGTTGTCACCCAGTCAGTCTGGGGTGGGATCTGAGAGTCTGCATGTCTAGCTCCCAGGTGATATTGCTGCTGCTGGTTGTGGTTGTATTTTGGGTAGCAAATGTGCTTGGCACAAATGTAGAGATGCAGAAGTGAGGCAGAAGAGTTAAAAAGGCTTTTCGTTATCTGGAGGCATAAGAGGGTGACACTCAGTTTTCCCACACTTACCATGATGGCCAGTACATTGGGGAGCTTTCTTCTCAATAAGGAGTGGTTCATGTCACTGTGCTTCCCAAAGTGCTGCCCTTGGACTGGCTGCAAAAGAATCACTTTGGGGCCAGTTGCAGTGGCTCATACCTATAATCCCAGTACTTTGGGAGGCTGAGACAGGCGGATCACTTGAGGTCAGGAGTTCAAGACCAGCCTGGCCAACATGGTGAAACCCCATCTCTATCAAAAATATTTAAGGCCGGGCACAGTGGCTCACACCTGTAATCCCAGCACTTTGGGAGGCCAAGGCAGGCGGATCACCTGAGATCGGGAGCTCAAGACCAGCCCGACCAACATAGAGAAACCCCATCTCTACTAAAAATACAAAATTAGCCGGGCATGGTGGTGCATGCCTGTAATCCCAGCTGTTAGGGAGGCTGAGGCAGGAGAATGCCTTGAACCCAGAAGGTGGAGGTTACAGTGAGCCAAGATTGTGCCATTGCACTCCAGCCTGGGCAACAGAGCAAGACTCCATCTCAAAAAAAAAAAAAAAAAAAAAGAATCACTTTGAGAACTTGTCAGAAATGTAGATTCTGTGGCTTTTCCCAGACCTCTTCAATCGGAAGAGGTTGGAGGTAGGTGGGAGAGGGGGGAGTCCGGCAATTGGCATCTATCAAGCTTGCCAACTGACCCTTGGGCTCAGGGAAGTAGTTAAAGTATGAGGTTCTCAGGTCCCATGATTCTTTCTTTGAATCTCAATAGAGTAATAAGCACCACAAGAAAGCAGAACATTAAAAAAAAAAAAACCTTAAAAAAATACAGAAAATAGAGAAATTGAGAAAAGACAGAAAAGCAAAATCAAGATGAAATTCACCTATAATTTACGATTTTGATGTATGCCGTTCCAGATATTTTCCCCGTGCATTTTAGAAACAAAAATGGATGCATAATTGTAGTAAGATGGTAACTGTTTTTTAACTCCACAGTGCATTGAAAAACTCTCTTTAAGCTGCTGTATTTCTTCAATGGTAATTAGATCCTCTTGCATTTTTCTTTTTAAAATCTATTGTTCATGAGCACCTTCTCTTTTTAAACATTGCTTCCTTAAGTACTTTTTTATTGTTTTTTAAACTTTACATTTACTTTACTTTCACACACCAGGTGACAAACAAGGTTTGAGAGTTTTGAATTAACTTCCTAGGCTCTGTTCAGTTCCCCTGGTGACTTGTTGAGTCACCCGGAGGATGGCTCTTGCTTCCTCTTAACGTTAGTTTCTTTATCTCTAAGATGAGACTAACGATGCCTGCCCTTAGCTCACCCACAGAGATATGTCCAGAGTTATATTAGGAGAAAATCTGCAAGTGTCTTTGAATTACTGAGATCCAGTGTTAAAAATCCAGGGCACTATTGTTATTTCTTTAGTACTTGTCGCAGAATTCCCAGCTGTTGTTCTATAAGACTACTTTTAAAAATTAACCACTTTAAAGGTGAAGATAGAACATCCTTCTAAACATCATCCCTATGCTTCTGCAGAGACACATTTAGTATCTCTCCTGTTAGATAACGGGCATGACATTGGCTGCAGCGGGGCTGAGACAGAGGGAGCCTATTTATATGTCATGTAATTTAATTCTACTCTGAATCTACTTTCTATCACACGGACCAGGTAAAGAGTTGTTGAGTAGAGTCAGGAGGAGACAGAAACATAGCTAAATAGATAGATTGTATATACATGAATTGGGCTGGCTAAGCAAGTTTAAAGTCTGTAGAGAAGGCCATCAATAAGGGAAGCTCATGGGCAGCCTAGAACCCCACAGGCACAGGCTGAAGCTACTGTCCACAAGCAAGAATCTCTTCTTTCTCCAAGGAAAGCCTCAGCCTTCCTTAATCAGTTAGAAGGCCTTGAAAGCCTTCTAACTGATTAATCCAGGCCCCCCAGTACAATCTCTAACTTAAGGTCAACTGATTAGGGAGTTTAATTACATTGGCCAAATCCCTTCACAGCAGCACCTACATTAGTGTTTGATTGAACAAATGGGGGCTGTAGCCTAGCCAAGCTGACACATCAGAAAGCTATCACAGTCCACTTGGCATTCGTACACATCTCCTTAAATCATACTTCATCTCCAAGTAATGACTAAATTATATTCCACCTAACATGATAGAACGATCCAGAGGACAACTGAGAATAGCTGTGAAATTTGGACACCTCTCTGCTTACTCTGCCACTTTTCAACTCTACAACCTTTTCATATTCTCTCATTATTAGCACATCATTTGTTAATTTTCACTTTTCCCAAATCTCTACCTCTTGTTGAAGCCAATATTCCTCTTAGTTTCTTTCCACTGTCCATTGTTTTTGTTATAGAGAACCAGCTTAATAAGACAGTGCCCAACTTTTTGATGGCTCTCTTCCTTGAGGCATTTTTCCTTGGGAATATACCTATATGTGGAATGCTTATAATTAAGAGGCCCGGTGCTAAACATTGTTTATACAATATTTCATTTAATATTCATAACAACCATAAGATATAGGTATTATTATCTTCATTCTCTAGGTTAGGAAACGTGAGCCTTAGGGTGGCTAAATAAATTGCCCAGGATCATACAGCTGGCACATGGCAAAGCTGGGATCTGAACCTAGTGATATTGTATTTCAAAGACAATGATTTAAACACAACTAAGATATTTTGAACATTCTCATTAGTGTCTCTTTACGGGTGGTCTTTAGACCATGTATATGAGAATCATCTAGTCTACATGTTAAAAATGCAGATCCCTGGGCCCAACTCCAGACCTAGTGAATGTGCATCTTTGGAGACCGGCCCAGGAATCATTAGTTTTAACCAGTTTCCCAGGTAATTTTTATGTGCTCCTGGAGCAACTCTGAAGTAGGTCATAAAGGGGAGCATTTGCAAAGACGGGCTACCTTGGCTGTTACTAGGCTTCAATTATTCTTGTTGTTGAAGAAAAACATTGTCAAATGTTGAAAACAACCTCCTAGAAGGGTTGGGCCAGCAAGCAGGAGATTTTCCGTGGCTTGGAGATAGGTTATGCTAACTAGGGAAGTTTGTTCTTTATGCAGAATAATTTTCCCACTTTCCCTAGAGGTTCGAGGAATGGGTCCCTGCCAATGCCATGTATCACATTCTTGGAGGACCAATCTCATTCTATAATATATCAGTTGCCCTGATAGATTCAGACACGGTTATGAAATGCTGTTATTACTGTTCCCAGACAGCATTGGATGGGCTGATAGGTCAGATTACAATGCAATTTTTGGTAACAAATATATACTCCAGAGATTTATAAGACCTTTTCATTATCCTGCTTTTGCACATAAAGGCAAGGGTGGGGGAAGGAAAGGAGACCAGAAGGACTCTGAAAGGCATATGATTAAAAAAGAAAAAGGGAAAAAAGATGCCTATTCTCATTCCCAAGCCAGATCAATCATTATTCCAAAGTGATCTCTAATCAAAATTCAGCATATGGTCTTTATTAATTTTGGGGCAATTCCCCTACCATCTAGTGCAATAAAAAATATATCACAAAAGATTGATATAAAAGATTGTAGCATCCCTTATCAAGCTAGCAAACAAGAAGTATAAAATCCAAGATAATGAAATAAGTTGAATTGCTTTGCCCTTCCCTCCCTGGTTTTTCTTATTATAATTATTATTATTTTTTATTGCTAGAAGTTCTGAGGGGAACAGATTTAGAGCTGGGTTATGAATAGATTATAAATCAAGTTCATTTCTAGTTGAAGCTGACACCAAGGGCCCAAACTTCTCAACAGCCTCAGTGGGGAGAAAACAAAGTACTCTCTTTAAGCTCTGATTTGCAGGAATGATTCACCCATATTCACCTTCCTGTTCTCTGAAGATAGAAAAAAAACAAGCTTCTGGGGTTTTGTTGTTGTTGTTGGTTCGTTTGATCAACTTTTGTTCCCTTTAGTTTACTATGGGTTCATATCACTTTCCCCAGAGCTAAATCTTGGGACATTGGAGACCATTAGTCCTCCCACCAGGCAATCTTAGGTTCTCCCTCAGGGGAGGCTGGCTCCTGAGGCTTTCTAGATCTGCCACCGTGAACTCCTGAAACACAGCCTCTAAGTCTGACCCACTCAGATGGAGCTTGGGGAAGAGTGAACTTTGGTGATGCCAGAGGAGATGACACACCTACCTCTGGGAGTTGCTAATTCATTGTGGAGAGAGGCTGGGAGGAAGGGGCAGGGCGAAGGAACCTGGCTGGGTGCTGTGCGGGGTGTGTTTACACAGGTATCTCACTCATCTTCCTAAGCAGCCTGCGAGGCAGGAATTAGTACCACCACCTCGTAAATGAGGACACTGTGTCTCAGAGAGTTTCAATAATTCACTCAAGGTCACACAACTAGTTGGTGGTAGTGCAAGGATTCCAACTCAGCCTTGCCTGACGAGACGAGAAGGGCAGTCTTGCTCTGCCTACTGGTGCCTGCTGAGGTGACAGAGTTTTCTTTCAGCCACTACAGAGAGGGGAGAAGCCAGAAGGTGAAGGTGAGAGGAGTCTTTCTGTTCTGTTTCCTGACCTGCAGCTCTGGGTGGAGAGAGGACAAGCTTGGCATCACCTACCTCATCTTGGGATGGCCTGAAATTGGCTTTTCCATAAGGAGAACAGGTTAGTTTAGGGCTTACCAAGCTGAATGATGCAGTGTGTGTGTGTGTGTGTGTGTGTGTGTGTGTGAGTCAGCTCTAGGTTTTGGAGAAAAATTCTGACCCACAGAATTTTGGTTTGCCAAGCTGTGAAACACCCTCCATCACTTTACAGATTGTCATAGCATGAGCATTCAAAAGAAATGACCATAGATGGGGTAATTCCTAAAGAAGAAACGATCATGCCACATTTTATGGATGAGGGGGTGTCTTAGTCAGCGTGGGCTGCTATCACAAAATGCCACAGACTGGGTGACACACAATGGACAGTTCCTTCTCTTAGTTCTGGAGGATGAGAAGTCTAAGATCAGGGTGTTGGCAGGTCAGGTTCCTGGTGAGGGTCCTCTTCCTGGCTTACAGATGCCCACCATCTCACTGTGTCCTCATTTGGTAAAGGGGGGTGGGGGGGAGGAGGGAGGGGAGGGAGAGGGGCAGAGAGAGAGTGTGAGTATGTGTGTGTGTTCTGGTCTTTCTTTTTTCATGAAGACACTAATCCTATCATGCAGGTCCCATGCTTATGATCTCACCAAAACTTCATCACCTCCCAAAGGCTCCACCTCCAAATACCATCACACTGGGGGTTAGAGCTTCAACATAGAAACTGGTGGAGGCACAGACATTCCGTCCGTAGCAGAAGGGGCCACTGCCTTGATGAGATGAAGTCTGACCACTTTCTATTCTCCTCACAATCTAATCTAAGGCTAGGTATGACAGGAAGAGGCCTGACTGTAAGAGAACAGCATGTGAACAGCACAGTGGTGAATCTCTTGTTTCTGCTTCCTTTGCAGAGACAGAAATTCACCACAGTCTCTGCCGTTCTTAAATTGCCTTGAAGCCAAAGAGAAGGTTTGCAGTTGGCTCTTCCATGGGCTCTAAGGAAAGCTCGCAGGGATTCTTTCCAGCTGAACGAATTGTCTCAGTAAGTGGGCACATAGAAATCCTTTTCCTGTCATCTTTAAGTAATTTTTCTAAACTTGAAGCTTGGAACAGAAGAATTTCCTTGCAACCTCAGCATCCTGTTTTGAAAAGTTGAGAAGCATCTCAGGATAGCTCATGGAATGCCCTGTGTGACTTGTGGGGCATGAACGAAATTTAACATGGAAGGAACATTCCCTAGATTAAAATGCAAGAGAACTGTTTAGAGAGAAGCAGACAGCATAGATAAGAGTTTGGCAGACAATAGGTGTCTCCCTAATAGGGCTAACAATTTAGAGGAGAATGTCATCAATTGTAATATAAGTTTACTTTTCATCTAATGAATTTTAATCGTGGCTTTTGCCATTACCTCCAGGAATCTATAAGAAAAAGAAAAACCTGCCTGGAAACTTATTTGATCGCCTCTAAAGCAAAGTCTCTGGCATTATCTCACTCCATTTCTAAAATGCATTATTTTCTCACAAAACATTTTAAATATACCATCAGAAATATTCATCACATCGCTTGTACTCACTGCAACCTGAATGCAGGCTCTCTTTGAGAAGTCTTCTTTTTTTTTTTTTTTTTTTTTTTGCCTATCTTATTTTGTTATTCAAACGATGAAGCATATTGTGCATGAAGTTACACCTTTTTAGAGGCAGATTTTGTTCTGGAAAATCGGTGCAGAATTTCCATTTCTCACATCTTTACATAACTGGTTTCTTGTCAGCAGATGTAACCGTGTTTGACAAACCAGCCCTGTAATCTGGATCTCTATAGGTAGTGGGCTTCAGTGCATTGCTAAATCTCTAATTAGGAGAATACACCTTCCCCAGGAAGAATATTAAAAACGGACAGGTGTTTCTCAAGATCTAGAATATTTCTTTCACCAAATTTTGATTCAAAATACAGACCCTTGTCACCTAAGAGTCAACTTTGTCCTCAATTTAACCTTTGGATTTAAACCTGACTGGCTTGCAGAAAAAGAATGTGCTCCTCATTAGCCTTGATAGAGAGAGTAACTGGGCCACACAAAGTCTGCATTGACCTGGCTTATCTGACTGTCGAGGTTCAGCTGAGAGAGGGAAACCCACGAAGCTTTCGTTTTTGTTCTTTTTTTAAATGGAGTTTTTGACATTAGAATGGCATTTTGCACTCATTATCAAATACCAAAATCACTGGACTGAAAGCCAGGTGCTTTTCAGAGAGGTTGGCTGTACAATACCAATGCAGACATTTGCCCTGCTTATCCCTGGCTCTCCAAGCTCCAGCCAATATTCTCGCTATGATCCCACATGACCCCTCTGACTAGCAGGCTTTGCATTGCACTACTGTTGGGGGGCACTGTTCACATTCTATTCTGCATGAATGGCACCCCTGAGGCTATGTGAATGGTGCCCCTTGAGTCGCTTACCAGGTGAACCCTGCATACTACACCAGAATAAGTTTACACCATAGGGTGAGAAAACGAGGCACTGAACATCTTTATGATTCCACGAGAGGGTGGGACTCTTGGTGACCTTCATATGCAGCTACTCAGTTTCATCTTTAAAGCCCCTAGGCTAACTCTCTGGACTACGTCTGAAATCCCGTTATTACTTGTATCAGTTTTCTATTGCTGCTGTAACAAATGACCACAAACAATGGCTTAAACAACACAAATTGATTATCTCACAGTTAAGTAGGTCAGAAGTCCAGCCTGGGTCTCATGAACTCAAGGTGCTGGCCGGGCTGTGTTCCTCTTCGTGGGCTCTAGGGAAGAATCCATTTTCTTGCTCAATCAGGTGTTGGCAGAATTCAATTCCATGGGGCTGTAGGATTGAGATCTCCATTTCCTTGCTGGTTGCCTGCTGCTAGGGGCTTCTCCTCCGTAGCAGCCTAGAGCACGTAGCATGTAGCCTCCTAGAGCTCAGAACAGCAACAGAACACTGAATCTTTCTCATGCTGCCATCTCCCCAAACCTCTGCCATTGAATCTCTCTCACTGCAGTCAGCAAAGGTTCTCTGCTTTAAGGACTCATGCGATTAGAGTGGGTCCAACCAGACAATCCAAAGTAATCCCCCATCTCAAGGCCCTTAACCTTAATCACATCTACCAAGCCCTTTGTGCTATGTAACATATGTACAGGTTTCTAGGATTATGATGAGGAAATTTTTGGGAGGCCATTATTCTGCCTACTACATGATTGATGTAATTATGTTGCTTCTTAGAGAGGTTAAACATTAAAGTCAATTATTTATTGAGAACTTATGTTTTACCCACTATTAACTGATTGTTATTGTTTTCCTTCATCCACAGACACATATTTCCTCATTTAATCCTTTTGATGACCCTATGAGGTAATATCAGTGTGTCAGCCAAGAATGAAATCAGCTACAAGTAATGGAAATCTTAAGCAATGCTGGTTTATTATTTTAAAATAAAAAGGAGCTATATAGCAGCTCAATGCTGCCAGCAGGACCTATGAACCCTGCAGCCCGTTGCCTGGGGTCATACAGGTTTCATCCTCTAGAAATGGGGATAATAACATGCTCAGCTAATACTATTGATGGAGTGAGTTAATACTCTTAATGTGTGAGAATCATGCCTGGTGCATATTAAATGCCCAATAACTGTTGGCTCTTTTGAATATGATAGTTGCTTTATTATCTTTAACATGTGGGGTTTGGGCCTCATATCTTCATGCTTATCATCTCCTGGTTGCAAGAGGGCTGCTGTGCTTCTAGTGATCACATCTGGGTTCCAGGCAGGAAAGAGCAAGGAGAGGTAAGGGAGAAGGAGGCACGTGTGCTACATGTATCAGACAGTTCCTGGAAGTCTCCCGCCATTTCTACTCATTTCTCATTGGCTAGAACAGTGAGCCAGGCCTTTCCTGTGCAGAAGGAGAGTCTGGGAAAAAAAAGTATTTTGTTTTCACATAATGAGGGATCTGGAAGAACAGACTCACATTGTTCCCATCCCTTGATTACTTTTCCCCAGTCCACCAACAAAATTGTAATGTTTTCAGAAAAGAAGAGGGAAGAAAAGGAATACAGGAAGGCACTAGCAGGGTTTGCGCAGTTATCAGGAATTCAGTGTACGTGAGTCTTAGGTGCACGCTGGGCAAAGCTGCACACGATTTTGATGGGTGGGGGCTGCTGAGAGGTGCAGAGATAGGGGCGACGTCTGGACATTAGCTGTGTTGTGGGTTGAATTGTGTCTACACAAAAGAGAAGCTCAGGTTCTAACCTGCTTGGTGCCTGTGCATGTGATCTTATTTGGAGATAGGGGCTTTGGAAATGTAACCAATTTAAAATGAGCTTGTACTAGATTAGGAGAGGCCCCAATCCAATGCTTAATATTCTTACAAGAAGAGAAAAATTCGGACAGAGAGACATGCAGATAGAACAACACCATATGACAATGGAGAGAGAGATTGGAGTGATGCATGTATAAGCCAAGGAACATCAAGAACTACTGGCAACCACCAGAAGCTAGGAGAGATCCATGAGACAGGTTCTCCCTAGGAGCCTCCAGAAGGAACCAAAGCCGCTGAGACTTTGATTTTGGACCTGTGGACTCCAGTACGGTGAGAGAATCAATTTATGTTGTTTTAAGCTACTTAGGTTATGGTAGTTTGTTATGGCAGCCTTGGAAAATGAAGACAGACACCTTGGAAGCTGGTGGTGAAACTAAGAGAGGCTCTCATCAAGGAAAAAAAAAAGAGAGAGAGGGAGAAGGCTGGGATTGAAAAGACAAGAACTTTTACAGCACTCCTTAAGGCAGTGGGTCCCTGACATTTTTGGCACCAGGGGCCGGTTTCATGGAAGACAACTTTTCCACAGTCCAGAGGGGTGGATGTTTGGGGATGATTCAAGCACATCACATTTATTGTGCACTTTATTTCTGTTATTGGAATATATAACGATATAATTATATGACTCATCATAATGTAGAATCAATGGGAGCCCTCAGCTTGTTTTCCAGCAACTAGGTGGTCCCATCTTGGGGTGATGGGAGACAGTGACAGATCATCAGGCATTAGATTCTCATAAGGAGGGTGCAACCTAGATCCCTTGTGTGTGCAGTTCACAATTGGGTTCAGGCTCCTATGAGAAGCTAAATGCTGACACTGATCTGACAGGAGGCGGAGCTCAGGCAGTAATATGAATGATGGGGAGCAGCTGTAAATACAGATGAAACTTCACCCGCTCACCCACCACTCACCTCCAGCTGTGCAGCCTGGTTCTCAACAGGCCACAGACGGGTGGTCTGTGGCCCATGGGTTAGGGACCCCTGCCTTACGGGCTTTAACTTCAGGGAGTTGTCCTCTCTTTATAGAAGACTGTAGGCCAGAAGGGGCTAGGCTGTTTTTCCAACAACATGAGACTCAGGCTCATTGAGTGGATACAATTCAATTTCATGTGTATTTATTGAGGTAGGATTCAGCATCGTTGGACCTTTTTCAGGCTTTAGGATTCTAGTGAACCTCAACTAATTACCAGGTGGAACTTTTACTTCCTAACAAAAATGACTAGCTCTTCAGACCTCTGGTTATGTTTCTGTCTTTTCCAGTTTTTCTCTTTAATCAATAACTGGAGCCACATTATTTTTAAATGGCCTTTCCTCAATTTCAGGAATACCTGGTATGGATTCTTCCTTTCATAATGTAGTATAGGGGAAAGAGCCTTTTATTTGGAGTCCCAAGGCCAGGGCTGTAGTCTTAGCTATGAGGCTGGCTAACTGGGTGACTTTTTGCAATTCATGTCATTTTCTGGGTCTTACTTTCTTCATCTCTGAAATGAAGAAACTGAATGAGGTCAAATTTTTTCTAATTGTAGATTGCAATTCATACGGGTCACAAAACCATTTAACGGGATCTTGACCAGAATAAAAATGCATACAATAAAGAATTATATCTAAGTTAGTACCATTTTGTGAAACTTTTTTATGCATAAATGTACCTTTGTAATAGGTCGAGATGTGAACTGCATGCCTTAGTATGAGCCAATGTCCAAGCGTGTTTGAAAGGCAGTAGGACAGAAGAACTTTGAGGCCTGCTTTAATGCTCAGGCTTTGGGGAGAAGAAAGTTTCCATTTAATCCTCTATGTCAGAGGTCCCCAACCCCTGGGCCACAGAACAGAACCGGTCTGTGGCCTGTTAGGAACCAGGCCGCACAGCAGGTGGTGATGGAGGGCAAGCAAGCATTACCGCCTGAGCTCCACCTCCTGTCAGATCAGCACCGGCATTAGACTCTGGTAGGAGAGAAAACCCTATTATAAACTGTGCATGAGAAAGATCTAGGTTACATGCTTCTCATGAGAACCTAACAAATGTTTAATGATCTGAGGTGGAACAGTTTTATCCCAAACCATCATCATCATTCCCCCGCAACACCAGTCCATGGAAAAATTGTCTTCCATGAAACCAGTCCCTGGTGCCAAAAATGTTGGAGATCACTGCTTTACGTACTTGGGTGCAGCCTGGTTTGTCTCTGGCTTTTCCAGGAGAATCAGCCAGTGCTCCTGCAGCCACCCACGGCTTGGGGGGTGAGAGTAAGAAAAGGGCCTATGGGCAGATGGTGAAAATCCAGCTGGGAGCAAGAAGGGGTGGGAGCCAGGCAAGATCTCCCTTGGGGAAAAACTCCTCAGTTTCTGAGACAGTCTCTGTCTCAGAACATCCTGGCCTCATGGCATTCCCCTCTAGCTTACCCTGGAGTCCCAAAGTTCAGCCAAATAGCTGGCATCCTCCAGGAGTCACTCCACTTTCTAGAAGCTTCAGAGGCCCCTGGGGCACCTCTCCGTGGTGTAGCACAGCATTTCTACACTTCATTTTCCTACCACACCATGATTGTTACTATATCTAGCTGTACCATCTGTTACTTCATATTTACCTAAATATTAATAATTTTCACAAAACCTTCTTTACTACTGTAAGTGAAAAAACTCAGGATCATTTTTTTCCTAAATAGGAGACAATCATACAATTAATATAATGAAAGCAAATCAATGTTACGGAATTCCAGTTAGAGCCGGCAGAAATTCAAGCTGAGGCCTGCTGTCTGTGAGTATAATAGATTAGCAAGTTTTAGGGGGATGTTGAAGACATCCTAGCACCTGATCAAGTTTTTCTTGTTGACCAAAGCTGAGGATCAGAAAGGAAATAGCTTTCTCATGGTGATTATGTGCTACTTAAGTACCACCTAAAACCAGATTCTTTGTGGAAGTAAGGATGAATGATGGTAAATAACCCAGAGCCTCCATCAACTACTGTACTAAATGCTTCATGCAGTCTTCCCATCACCCTGTGAAGTCAGCACAACCACCACTTTAAAGACAGGTGGGTGAGGTTAAGAGATGGCCAGGTTAAGGGTCACCCAGTCTGTCAACGCCAGAGCCACAGTAACCCATCCTCCACACGGCCTGTGGTGGCTCATCCCCCATGGAGAACTGGGGGAGGAGGGTGCCCCTGCCAGTTATTTCCCAACCTTGACCCAGCATGACTCTGCTTATCAACACTGCTCCAATGAGTTTGCTGGTGCAGGGACATGATGTAGGATTCACTCCTAAGGAAGGCAAGCCTGAGAGGTCCTGATGCAGGTCCCTGGGGAGGACCTCATTGCCTCTGAATAGAATACACAATTTTCAATTGTCAAGAATACACAAGTTTCCCCATCTCTGGCCTTACTTGGCAAGAGCCTGGTTTGTGTGTTGTGGCAGGGGGTGATACATCAACAGAAGCAAAGATTCATGTTATGGGACAAAGCCTGACTTTGCACACTCCAAACCTGCAAGACAGTTCACCTGCAGATATGCAAATGCTGCTGATGGAATGTGTCTTCTGCAGGGGCCCTGCATCCTGTAGCTTGATATTGCAGATACTCAAAGGCACAGCCCAGAGGGCAGGTGCCTTTGAAAGTGGGTGTGTGTGGCCACACCTCTCAGAGGCTCCCCCTTTAAAGCCTGGATGGAAAAAAAAAATCACTGTGAAGAGGCACAGCTCCAGGGCAAACACTGTCACATGGAGAAGGTCAAGAGAGGGTCAGGAAAAAAAAATGAAAATTGAAAAGCCACCTGGAGAGCAGGCCTGCGCCTGAGTCTCCATCACCCCCTCCCTGCCCCACCATTTCACACCTAGGGGGTCGGGAGGCAAGATGGTGGGAGGGTACGAGGCACAGCCCCCACTTTCCAATCACCCAGAATGCTACTTATCAAAGGGATTCGACTCCTAGGTGGTGGAGCTGTTGGAAGCCTCAGAGCTGGGAAGGTATAATATGACTAAAAGCTGCTTTAATAAAGCCCTGGGCTGGGTTTGAGCTGCCCTCTCCATAAATCAGAGGGCGACACCACAGCACTCTCTGAAGATCAGCAAGACAGCGCATTGTGGAGCAGGGGCGGCTCTTAAATCTAATCGACAGCTCTTTGAGCAAAAATACTGCCGTGACTAGAGGACAGGGGTGGCTGCAGCCTGGAAAATATCCTAAGGAGCACGCACATTTCCCAAGTGAAAAGAATGCTGAATGGTTCTGAGCCGAGAAACCTTGGAAAACAATTAGCTGGAGAGGTAAGATCACCTGTTGAAATTATGGCCCTGCGCTTTACTGCTCCTAATAAGTGTTCTGGCAGCCTCTCTCCAATTCAGGGTTCTGGTCTGCTTATACCTTTAACAGTTGGGGGAATTAAGTCATCAAAGTTTCATCTACCTGTCTGACTTCAGCCAGAAGTACAACTTATTTGCCTGGATACCTTTCAAAACTGCTGTCTTCATAGATTATCATTTAATATATAGTGGAACTAACCCAAGGCTGCCTGTTTCTTCAGTCTAAAATGTCAAAATCTGCATTTACATGTTCTGAATTGTCAACATTGCACACACTTTAAATAGTAATCACAACGTAAGCTATGAAGAATGAAAAGAAATTACATTGAGATTTACTTTTAATCTCCACTCCTCATTGGTGTAGCAAGGAGGACAGGCCGTGGACTCCCAGCTGGATTTGAGATCAGCACTCCCATTTTACTAGCTACAGCTGGTTCTTAATCTCTTGGAACCTCACTTTTCTTGTCTGTAAAGTAGAGATAGTCACCTGATTGGTGTGAAGAGAAAATGAGATAAACGTAGGGAAAGTAACTAGCATAGCTCTTGTATACTCAATAAATATTAGTCCCCCTTCCTTTCTACTAAGGGCTGACGATTTGTTGAGTTTTTCCAGTTCAGTTCTCATGGTGGTTTCCTGGGGCCAATTTTATGTAAACACCCATTTGTGTGAGTGACTTTTGTAAGTACCAAAGTAAGCCCCTAAGTAACTTGCTCTTGTTGGATCTGAAATTCCAAGGGCGAGTTATTTAATTCATTTAAGGCTGTGTTTTCTTACAGAGTTTGAGGATTAAATGGGATAAATTATAAAAAATATTAGCTATTATTATCACTCACCTACAACCCTCCCTCTACCACCCAGTCACACACATTCGGGGAGTTCCTGTCTCCATGCAGATGCTTCTATTCTGTTCTTTATCTGGAAAGCCAATATCCTTCTTTTCTTGGCCTATTTACAGTCTTCCCATCCTTTAAGGCTATTTCAGATGTCATGTCTCCCACGAGACCTTCCTGACTCTGTCTACGCCCAAAGTCAAAAGTCAGCCTCCCTCTTGCAGGCTTCCCAGTTATAAGGTACCTCCCTCAAGCACTGATCACATTCAGCCTTGAGTTCTGGCTCTTTGTGAACACGTTTTTCTCTTCTACTCAACTCTCAGGTCACTGGGAGTAGAATCCAAGGCTTGTCTATGGCTGGGATCCTCTGTAGCATTTTACAGTGTCTGACATAAGTATGTGTTGGGCTAAAATTAAATGTCATTTTATTTTTCTACTTCTTAATAGACTAAAGAGGCAGAAGAGCTACAAAGTCAAGGGTTGTTAGGATCTAGTTAAAACTATATATGTTTGTGTGTGTTTCTGTCTATAAATATATACATATACACATGTATCTCCTCTCTATATCTAAATCTATATCTATCTATAGACAGAGACAGGGTCTCGCTCTGTCACCCAGGCTAGAGCACAGTGGTGTGATCATAGTTCACTGCAGCCTTGACCTCCTGGGCTCACACTATTCTCTGGCCTCAGCCTCACGAGTAGCTGGGACTGCAGGTGTGAGACATCACACCTGGCTAATTTTTCAGTTTTTTGTAGAGACAAGGTCTCATGTCATGCAGGCTGGTCTCAAACTCCTGAGCTGAAGCCATCCTCCCACCTCAGCCTCCCAAAGTGCTAGGATTACAGGTGTGAGTCACTGCATGATGTCACACATTCATGATAATACAGCAAACTTAGTATTTGGGTTTGTGTGGGGATTGTTGGTAACAACCAAATATAAAGGTTCAAGTTGAAAGGATGATCTTTAAAATGTTGACAGCTGAAGCATCTCTCTGCCATTTTCAGATGACTTGGGTCATCTTTAACCATGACAAAGGACCTCTGAAAGTCCAGTGATTAGGAAGGCACAGGGTTGAGGCACATTGGCCACAGGCTAAGGAAGGATCTTTTCATGCAATCTGAGAGGTACCCCTCACACTGCAAAGCAGAAAGTCCACTCAGGAGCTAGCACAGAATGCCTGGAATATGGTAGGCTCTCAAAAATAACAAATAAAAGAAGTTTAGCTTTCTTTCCCCACTGTGTAGCTCTGGATTGCCTGGTTGGCTTCTTCTTCTTTATTTTGAGATGGAGTTTTGCTCTTGTTGCCCAGGCTAGGATGCAATGGCACGATCTCGGCTCACTGCAACCTCTGCCTCCTGGGTTC
The DNA here is from genome assembly GCF_000001405.40 of Homo sapiens. Taxonomy (NCBI): domain Eukaryota; kingdom Metazoa; phylum Chordata; class Mammalia; order Primates; family Hominidae; genus Homo; species Homo sapiens. The sequence goes on along the minus strand of NC_000002.12, from coordinate 205,626,786 downwards.
AAACGATTCTCCAGCAATGGTGTGATTTTGGCTCACTGCTACCTCTGCCTCCCGGATTCAAGTGATTCTCCTGCCTCAGCCTCCCAGGTAGCTGGGATTACAGGCATGTGCCACCACACCTGGCTAATTTTTGTATTGTTAGTAGAGACAGGGTGTCACTATGTTGGCCAGGTTGGTCACGAACTCCTGACGTCAGATGATCCGCCCACCTCGGCCTCCCAAAGTGTTGGGATTACAGGTGTGAGCCACCACGCCTGGCCGGCTTCTTCATGCCTCAGTTTCTTCAGCTATTAAAAAAAATATAAACCTGATGTTCTTTGTGTGAGAAGCAGAAATTACTGTCATCAGGCAACATGCAGCATGTAATGCAAACAAGAATTAGAATAAATATGGCCACTAAAAAAGAAATCTCAGTTACCAAGACACTTACAAAGTAATTTCTAGTTTCTTTGGAATAAATAGCTTTCATTAAATCTTTTTTTAAGTACCACTGTATAGAGGACCCAGTTTCTTTATGGGAAGTCAGGGAATCATTCCAACTCACCATCTACAGTTGTTGCAAGGTGCTGGTAATACAAGTGATTGCAAAGCACTTGCCTAAAATTCAAGGAGTTATACAATAATAATAGTAATCACCTGTCGCTAAAAGTATTTCCATCTTAGTAGGTTGTAAGTAATACATTTTCGATTTGCTCAAGTCCCTCTTTACTCTCTAAATAATGCATTACCCATTGCATTTACAATCTCCTGGCCTGGTTCCTCGTGTTTTAAATTAGAATCCAGCCTGTCCACATGAGCTAACACCTTTCACCTCAAGAATAGTACCAGGCGATCTTTAACGACAGGACTTTGAGATTTACAGCTTGAGCTTCGAAGTGGAACGTCAGCGGTGTAACAAGTCAGGAAAAGAATCCTCACACCTCATTTCTTCATTCAAATGAATTCAACAAATATTTCTTAAGCATATAGTCAGAGCCAGGCAGGTACACCTTAGAAGGCCACACAGACGTGGAAACTAATTATTGTAATACAGGTAGTAAAAGTTTTATTGAGAATCTGCAGAAAGCATCTCAGTAACATACAGTGTAGAATTATCAACTCTGCCTCGGGAGGAGGGGTGTGGAAGGTGTTTGTGTCGGTAGAATTGCAGATAACTGAGCCTCTTCTAGCAAGTTGAAACAGGAATTTAATGTGGGGAGTTAGGTGTTTATGAAATTGTTGGAAGGGCTGGAGGAGCAGGCTCTAGGCAGTGTTTCCAGGAATAAGTCTCAGAAAAACATCACAGAGCTGGCCCACTGAGAAAGTTGCTACCTTCAGTGATAAGAAAGTCAAAGATTCTGGACAATTTTAAAAAAGAAATAATACTTCTCCTGGCCAGGCACGGTGGCTCAGGCCTGTAATCCCAGCACTTTGGGAGGCCAAGGCGGGTGGATTGCTTGAGCTCTGGAGTTCGAGACCAGCCTGGGCAACATGGTGAAACCCCATCTCCACAAAAAATACAAAAAACTAGCTGGGTGTGATGGCACATGACTGTAGTCCTGGGAGGCTGAGGTGGGAGAGTTCCTTGAGCCTGGGAGGTGGAGGTTGCAGTGAGCCATGATTATACCACTGCACTCTAGCCTGGGCAACAGAGTGAGACTGTCTCACAAAAAAAAAAAATTACTCCTCCTATCTTTGATGGTGAATCCTCTGACCACATCTCCCCATTCCTCTCTCTCCTAACTACCCAAGTCTCTGGTAACCACCATTCTGCTGTCTCCTGCTATGAGAGCAGCTTTCTAAAATGCCACATGTGAGTGAGAACATGTGGTATTTGTCTTTCTGTGTCTGGCTTATTTTACTTAACATAATGCCTCCAGGTTTACCTATGATGTCACAAATGACAGGATTTTATCTTCTTTTATGGCTGAATAGTACTTTATATGGTTTGGCTCTGTGTCCCCACCCAAATCTCATCTTGAATTGTACTCCCATAATTCCCACATGTTGTGGGAGGGACCCAGTGGGAGATAATTTGAATCATGGGAGTGGTTTCCCCCATACTGTTCTCGTAGTAGGGAATAAGTCTCACGAGATCTGATGGTTTTATCAGGGGTTTCTGCTTTTGCATCTTTCTCATTTTCTCTTGCTGCCGCTATGTAGGAAGTGCCTTTTGTCTCCCGGCATGATTCTGAGGCCTCCCCAGCCATGTGGAGCTGTAAGTCCAATTAAACCTCTTTTTCTTCCCAGTCTTGGGTATGTCTTTATCAGCAGCATGAAAATAGACTAATAAGGTACTCCACTGTGTACATATGCCACATTTTCTTTAATCATTCATCCATCGATGGACAGGATAATTCCAGAGCAGGCAAACATACAGAAACAAGTGATTCCCCTGGATGGGGGTAAGGCAGAGGAAATGGGGGAGTGGAGAAATGGGGATTGACTGCTGATGACTATGGCGTTTTCTTATTGGATGTTGAAAATATTCTAAAATTGATTGTGGTGATGGTTGCACAGCTCTGCAAACATACCTCAATAAAGCTGTTTTAAAAAAAGGGGGGATTCAAAGAACCAGTGGACAACAGGATCCCGTTGCCTCATCTGGGATGCATGCTGACACAATGGCTAACCGTCACACAGCCCTTTTGATGCCCAGGAAGCTAGAGCCTGGGCACTCCAGCTGGTGCTGGGTTAGCCAGCAAGAGCAGGCCTAGCCTCAGTTCCGTCTGTCAGAGTGCTGGGTCTGTTTGGTGGAAATGAGTCTCACGTGGAACCCAAGTTGAGAGGAAATCTGAAAAATGTGGCGGCCCATGTCAGAATTTCTGACTTACCCTGCAGTAAGTCCTGCTACAAGAAAGCAGGGTGGAAGGGAGGGAGTCAGTCTCCAATTTCTGTTTTCAAGGCTTCATGGAGAAAGAGCTGCTTCACCTGGGCTTGAAAGATGAATAAGGATCCACAGGACAAAGCAGGGTGGGCAAAGAGGGTAGTTTGAGCAGGGGTGGCTGTGCTATTGCCTACTGCATACTGCCAGGGTACGGAGCTGTGAGAATTCATGTCCAGGTCACACGGATCAAAGTCATTAGAAATAACATTAGCACACCAGCCTGACCAACATGGTGAAACCCAGTCTCTACTAAAAATACAAAAATTAGCCGGGCGTGGTGGCACGTGCCTGCAATTCCAGCTACTCAGGAAGCTGAGGCAGGAGAATCGTTTGAACCTGGGAGGCGGAGGTTGCAGTGAGTCAAGATCGCACCATTACACTCCAGCCTGGATGACAGAGCGAGATTCTGTCTCAAAAAGAAAAAAGAAATAACATTAGCACAAGATGTAAACTATGAGCAGCAAGGACGGAGGCGGGAGAGGCACACAGGGGTTTTGGATTTCTGACTTAAGCTGTAAGTAGTAGGAAGCCACAGAAAGGTTTTAAGGTGTGTGTGTGTGTGTGTTTGTGTGTGTGTGTGTGTTTTTGTGTATGTGTGTGTGTAATGGGGACGGGTTAATTTTCCTTGACTGCTGGGGATGTTACGACCATGGTGTGCTGTGAAATGTTTAACAACTGGCTCTCCAGAGGGAAGGAAAAAACGCCCTGATTTGTCAGATATGCCAATTCCTGTGTTGTAAATACTCCCAACATATCCCGTTTCAGCCTTTCTCCATGACATCACTGAATGTGGAGTTGGGACGAGATGCATACAGTTGGCTCTTTGAAGCTGGCACCAGTGCTTCTATACAGTAAGTCCTCCCTTAATGTCCTCAATGGGTTACCGGAAACTGCAATTTTGAGTGAAGTGATGTATAATGACGCCAATTTTACCATAGCCTAACTGATAGAAGCAAGAGTTACGTTCCTATGGTATACTTCTGGTCACAAAAGCATCACTAAACTTCTAGATAAAGACCCAAGTGCTTCTAATCTTACCCATGAAAAATACGTGTGAGCTATACATACATTGAAGAAATATTGATGAAAACAAGAAAATAATTTATCCATAATTTGGTGAATCAGTGAATAACGGCAGTGAGTTAAATCAAGGAGTAAATGTTTACAAAGTGAAATTGTAAGGAGCACCTCCCACCATCATGCGGTTCAAAAACAATCACAGATATCGCAGGCTCACTGAGCATTCTTGTACCGCATCGTTTACTGTGCATTTGTATGATTATTGTTTACATATTTGTATTTTAGATTATTTTGTATGCGTTTTTCCACTCATTTTTCTTTTTTTCTTTTTTTTTTTTTTTTTTGTCAGGGTCTTGCTCTGTCACCCAGGCTGGATTGTAGTAGCAAGATCTTGGCTCACTCCAAACTCTGCCTCCTGGGTTCAAGTGATTCTTGTGCCTCAGCTTCCTGAGTAGCTGGGATTACAGGTGTGCACCACCACACCTGGCTAATTTTTGTATTTTTATTAGAGATGGGGTTTTGCCATGTTGGCCAGGCTGGTCCTGAACTCCTGGCCTCATGTGATCTGCCCACCTTGGCCTCCCAAAGTGCTGGGATGATAGACGTGAGCCACCGTGCCTTGCCTCCACTCACTTTTCAACCCACTTATATCAGTTCAGGGTCATGGGTGGCTGAGCCTATACGGGCAGCTCAGGGCACAAGGCAGGAACCAGCCCCGGACAGGATGCCCTTCCACTGAAGGGAGGACTCACGCTCACACCCACACTCATTCACACTTGGACTATTTAGGCCTGCTGTTTAACTGAACAGTTACATCTATGGGATGTGGGAAGAAACTGGCGTATCCGGAGCAATCCCATGCAGACGTGGGGAGAGCATGCAAACTCCACACACACAGTGGCCCCGGCCAGGAATCAATTTTTTTTTTCCTAATTAATGTTATAATGATACAACATTGAGTGAAATGAGGTTATTTGAGGGCCTGCTGTCTGTCATGTGACTTAATTCTGAAACCAACCCTATAAGGTGAATAGCAGTTCTACTTCACTAATGATGCTAGACGGATAAATAAGTATTTTATTCAAGGTTATGCAACCAATCAGTAGTTGAACTTTGTTTTAAATCGATGCCTACCTGTTTTCAAAGCCAACATTTTTTTTCAAGAAGACATGCTGCCTCTAGAAGAGTAATATCATCAGATCTCTACTTCAGAAAAATTCCTAGGCAGCAATATAGAGCAGGGATCGATGCTGTTGTGAAAGAGCTCTAGAGCGTCATGTAAATGAATGGGTGTGTATGTGTTCCAATATAACTTTATTTCCAGAAGCAAGGAGCAGGGCTGTATAGCACAGAGGTGGATTGAAGGGAACAAGGCCTGAGGTGGGGGGCGATCACATCGAAGGCTATTGAAGGGGCTGGGTGAGAAGTGATGAGGCTGAGCCCAGGCATGTCACGGTATCAGGAAACATAAACATATTTGATGGAATTGCAGGACACAATGTTGGCCTTCCATCTCATTATATGGGAATGTGTAGGAGGAAGGGGCAGAATTTTAAATGGGAAATCCAGGATAATTTCCAAGTTTCCAGTTTTTAGCTGTGAACTTGGTTCACATTTTGGCCAGGACAGAATTGTGAGGAGGAGGTTTCTTTGGAGAAAGCTTGTTTTCAGTGTGGGCATGTTATGTTTAAAGGCTTTGCAGGACATCCAAATGGGAATGGGTAGTGGAAAAGCAGAAATGCATGAGCTCAGGGCACAGAGCTGAGCTGGAGCAGTCAGTAGAGAGGCGGTGGCCGAAACCTTGGCTGTGGATGGGCTTACCAGGAGTATGGGGAGGTCTGAGACTAGGCCAAGGGAATAAAGGAGCTGGGGGTTGACAGGGACGGTCTCAAGGAGAACTTTCTAGGGATGAGTGATTCCAGCACCAGAAAGTGGTTGCCAGTTTTAGATGTTGTCCTGAATGCTGTGACAGGCTGCTCAGATGCCACATTAAGAAGGAGCTCTTTTCCAGCTGTTTTGAATACCATCCAAAGATGGGCCCCAGCTGTCGGCTTTCTTTGGGTTTGCCTCAACTGAAGAAAACTGCCGAACCCTAGCTAGATCTTTCTTTCCAGAGGTAACCTGTATTTACCAATCAATGGTGGCATAAAGGCTCAGCTCCCTTGTCCCAACTGGGGACAGCTCTGAAGAGCCATTGTTGCTCCCACTGTGGGGTGGCTGAGGCCTAAGCTGGGAGTGCACTACGGCTCAGCTTCTCCCTCTGCCCAGGCCTGTTTCCCTCCCTTTTTAAGGTATTGAAACCCAAGTGCACACCTCAGTACACATTGGCTTGAGAATCTCCATCTCAGCATCTGTTTCTTGGGGGGCCCAGCGTGTGACTGATGCTCTTGTTCCTTGCCCTCTTGCTGTTTGGAACGTTGCTATTCAACTACTGAATGTTGCTATTCCAGGGTGAGTAGGCCCAGACCCACTTGTTGATTCATCAGATCCGATCCTGAAACAAGCTTGTCCAACCCACAGCCCAGGTTGGCTTTGAATGTTACCCAAAACAAATTCATAAACTTTCTTAAAACATTGAGGGATTTTTTGCAGCTTTTTTTTTTTTTTTTTTTTAGCTCATCAGCTGTCATTGGTGTTAGTGTATTTTATGTGTGGCCCAAGAAAATTCTTCCAAGGTGGCCCAGGGAAGCCAAAAGATTGGACAACCCCATCCTAAAGCAATCCAAGACTCTGACGTCTTAATGACTGAATAAAGCTTTATTTTAATGTAAAATATGAAAAGAAAAATTTATATACTCATATATAACAACTTCCAAAATGTTTTCTGTGGTACAAATGGATCATCTTAAAAAGTCTGTAAAGAATTCATCCTCCACCCCCATATGCCAAAATATGATTTCACATAATTTATCTTCAGAACTTATGAACAGACTTGGAATCACAAAAGCACAGGAAACACCAGAAAAAGTGATGGTACAAACAACAGGTTTTGTTTTAGGTTCCAGTAGTAAGCAGCCCTACAGATGGAACAGGAGAACACTTTCTGAAGGAGCCCAGTCAGGAGACAGGTTAGAAGAGTCTTTGGGGTTGGTTCATTTCCTGTAGCCAAGCTTGTCTTTAAAAGTCAGGCTGTGTGTGATTCTGTGACTATTTAAGGACATGAGGGAGAAAAGAGTTTCACTTAGAAGTCACAGCTGTGTGTGAGATTCTAGGCTTATTTTAGATATCTAACTTTTTTTTCCCTCCTTTTTATCAGAAAGGTGACTTTGTAGGGATACCTTAAGGCGACTCCTCTTTCTGGTCTCGCTGTGGCATCGTTTCCAGCTAAGTTGGCAGGAACTGGGAGTGCTGAGAAATACTTCTGTGGCTGTTTCTGAGTCCAAATCCCTCCTGCCTAATTGCACTAAGACCAGTCTTTCTGTTGCTCGTAGACTCAGAAAGCAGTAGGGTGTTCTCCCAATTTAACACCAATTTGAAGGCCATTGATTGTAGGTTTCAGAGTTTAATGCCAAAGGGAATTGTACAGACACACATTCAGACCAAACTCTTTAGATCTCTCGACCCTCCTGAAATGCTACAATGTTCCTCCAAAGAAAACGAATGCAGTGGTTACAGGTTTGGGGAAATAATTACTTTTTTATAGGCTTGATATTTGTGCATACCAGGGAAAAGAGAAATGAGCTTTATGAGCCTCCTAACATTGTTAGGTGGCTTTTCTTCAGAAGATCACTTTAGCTCAAGAATTTTATGAATCTTTGGAGGGGACAATGAGTCATGTTTTAATTTGATTGACTTGGTGGAAAACTATAGCTACAGTGAAGCCTCTGTTCTTCCCCATCAGGATCCACGGGTGACAGTCGGTCTCAGAACCCCTACTATGCTCTTAAGATCTTTACTTGGTGCCATCCTGTGGGAGTCAACACATATATATCTACAGATCTAAGAATAATGAGCTTCAGAATAATTGTTTTTTCAATTTTTGTTTGCTATTAGGTTATGATTTAGGAAAATGTTCCTGTTTCTGAGCTTGTATTTCATCCACTGATTTGATATTGTTAGGAAACGGTATTATGGCAAGGGTGAGAGTGCCACAACCCGATGGCATAATGGATTCTGGGGAGGCTGTGTTTCTCTCCCTTGTGGAAGTCTCAATTCTCCTGCATCTAAAAGTTTTCAATGGTCTGTCCTCTTTCATCTCTCTACTCCTGCAAAAAGGGAGAAAAATAGGGCTTCTTAAAATATCTAGTGACTTGAGGGCAAACATCATTTCACGGCCTTCATGACCCAGCAGTCAGATCTGCAGCCAAGTGGATGTATGTTGATTGGGTTTGGAGCTCAATGTGCCACTCTCTTCCAGGGGGGCTATTAGTGTTCTGAGCTACAAGGAGACACCGGATTGAGTTTTCCCAAGGCCATAAATAAATTGGGAGCTATTTCCTGCTCCCAGGCACATTACTGATTATAGCCTGGTCTTCTAAATACTCTAAAAGCCTGTTCCCCTAAATGCTGGGAAAGAGTCCTGTAACCTCTGGGTGGTAACAATTGAAGGGTGAGTACACGGGCATTTATAAATCTTACACTTGAGCTGTTAATTGTTGCTTGGCTTGATGGAGCCTCTGTCTGTCACAAATATAATGTTAGCTTCTTTCAGGCAGGATCAAATGGAGCGTGTGTTATACTTCAAGCAAGGAAAGAAAACTGTTGCAATCTAGTTTTTGTTCACTTTAATAGTACCTTCACATCACTGGCTGCCATTCAGGATTAGCAACTATTTTATTGACTTTGTATGCAACACAAAACCCAGCTTTGGAGCAGTTTACCCTGAGCCTGTGTGCAGGAGGTATTGCACACTCTGGTGGCAACGCTGCAGGTGAAAACATGGGCACTCTTCCTGTAAAGGCCACTCCTTCAAGACACAGGATTCTCACCTGACACCATCACCCCTGGCTGCCCCTCAAGTGGCCTAGGCTTAATCCAGAAGGAATGTTCTGGCTTGGCTATGTTTAGTAGTCTACAGTAGTTTGGTTAAAATATGGAACATAGTGAAGAGCTGCTGGTTTTTAATGCTTCAAAACAAGTTACACGTCCCTCGTGTTATCATTTTCCTTAAGGTGTATTCAACTCGAGGGGAAGGTAGCATTCAGCAGGTCAGCAGGGAAACCGGTAGCTCCCCTGCACTCCACCTCACGTGAGCAGGGCCTGAGATCCTCAACCACTTCGAACAAATTGCAAACACTCTAAAGGTGCCTGGCTTAAGAGAGATGACAGAACAGAGACAAAAAACTTGATAGTCTGTTTTCAACAGGGCCATAGTAAAGTGTAGTTAAGAAAATAATATCACAAAGTCCAGTAAATAACACTATTTACATCTAAAACTAGCAGTTGCATCCTTCTTGGTAGCAGAATACTATTTTAAATTAAAAAGATAAGAGTAAGCTGGGGTAGAGGGATGTCCTATGTATTCAATAATACTATAATTTATTAAATCCTGTGAGTCAGAGGTATGCTAATCTCAGCCAAAATAGACCTAAATTAAACTCAAGACTTTTTTTTTTGGAGGGAATAAAGAAGGAATGTGAAAAGGCTTAAAGCATTTCAAATGTCAGTGCCTGGTTCAAACCAGTGCTCAGGTTTTGCTGTCTTCCACATCTTTTGCTTGTGTTCTCATTTGGGCCAGCTTGTATGTTTTAGAGGTTTTAGTTTCCATAGAAAATTACTGCAAAGCTCAGAAAACATTGTGATCTACTTAGAGGTTGGGGTTTCAGCTTTTTAAAGCCATAACACTGTCCTTTGCCAATTGGAGGCCTTGGCCCTGCCCTGACCTGACTTTAGCTAATGAAATATAGCAAATGCAGATGGATTTAGCCTTAGCGCCTTTTCTCCGTTTCCCCCACTTTTGCATCAAACTCTCCAGAAAGCATTATTAATCTTTCATTCTCCATACTGGCAATCATATGTGTTCGAACACACACATACACACACACACACATACTCTCTCTCTCTCTCTCTCTCATTCACTTCCATCTAATACCTGCTGGTCATCAGAGGCCATGGTCAGCTCCTCGCTGTCCCCGAGTGCAGATGGTTACTGCTTGGCACTGAGTCTGGACTTGGCATTTCCCAGGGCACTGCCTCCTGTGAGACCTCCCCAGTAGGCCCTCTTTCCCAACTACATTTTAGCCCTCAAGTGGGAACCTTAGAGACCCCAGTTAAAGTAATTATAGGCAGGAGATTTGGGGCTGACTCTGAAACCAGATATCTCCATGCCTGGAATGTGGGAGGGAGGAAGGTGAGGGCCGTGGGATGTTGAACCCTCTTAACCTGATCACCTTAGTCCTCGGAAGATATTCCTTCTGGAAGCTCTGACCAGCTGTGCACATCCTCCCGGGACTAATACTGCATTTTACCGACTTTCATATCAAAAGTGAGGAAACATGAAATGTTTACATCCAATGAGTGGTATCAGAAACCTGATAAATTCTACAAATAAATGCAGTCTTTCTCTCGGTACAAAATATTTCAAGATCACTAGTCATGTTTGCTGTTGTTTTTTTTCTTAGTCAAAAAACCTATACTCACTTCAGATGCCTCTATCTCTGTCTGCTCTGCCACACCTTAGACTTAACAGCTCTAAGAAGGGGGCTGAGGCTCCACCTCGGAGCGGGTAATGCTGCCTGGCAGAGACTGCCTCTGGACCGCCAGTCTCAGAGGGGGATGTCCACGTGTCTGCACATCAGCACAGGTTATCTAGCCAGAGAGGATCCCCAGAGTAGAGTTCCATAATTAGTTGTTTGTGTGTTCCGTTGCCACTCTCACTGATTTGAACAACTCTGAAAGCGTTTCAACTATCAGGTAGTTTTGTTTTTATAGCCCCATCTTTCGTCTTCCTTCTGATTTTTTTTCCTCCCCAATTCCCTTCCCCTTCTTTTTCTCTCTGATTAGCAGTCATGCGTTACAATGTCAGTGAGAAAAAGCTTATCAGTAACATGGAGAATTCCTAACACCAAGGAGGTCTTCAGGTTTAGAAAGGGCAAAGGTAGAGTAGACACCTTCCTTTCTGGACCGGGCTGGCCTCGGTGGCACTCAGCTATACGGCTGCAGTCATGGGGTTCTTCTGCCGGGAATCCTGGGTTCGGTAAGGGTACTGGTCTGGGCTGCCCCCACGGGGCCCTGGTCTGCCTGTTTCCTGATAGGCTGGCATTCTTTGGTGCTGGGGAGGGGAAGGCGGAACGTCTTGTCGAAAGGGTCCTTTGTGCTGGGGAGCTGGCGGGGGTGGGTAGTGCTGAGGATACCGGAGATCTGCCACCCTGAGCTCTGTGGGGCGGGGATAGCTCCCTTTGGGAGGGTGCATAGGATGAGCCCCTGGATAATAGGGAAGCTCCCTTTCCTTGTAGAGCCCCCGAGGTGCTGCTGGCAGATAGTCTACAGGATCTGCGGGTCCTCCCCTGGAAAGAGAAGAAGAGACACATGTTAGCAGCTCCTAAGCTGGCCGTCCGGCTGGAGAACATGTTCCTCAGCCTCCTGTGCAGTTTGGTGTGGCCACCGCATAGGTCTGGCCAATGGGATGGGAGCAGAAGTGATACGTGCCCTTAAAAAGAAGAGAAGGGAACTTCTTCCCTTCTCTCCTTCCTGTTGGCCAGCAGAAAAACCATCTTAGGCCACAAGGTGAAAACCACGTGCTATGGGAGGCAGAGCAACAAGAAGGTGAGAGCCTGGGTCCCCGTTGCCATGGAGCCACCATGTCAATCAGGATTGCTTCCATTCACATTGGTGCATGAGAGGAAAATACACTTCAATCTGGTTTATACCCTTTTCTGTTGGCCTTTATTATAGTAACCAAACTAGTTTCCTAAACAAGGCAGTGAGTTTGCCTCTCTTAAGGATGGGGTCATTAGTTCCCTCCCCTTTTCTACCACCATATCCAGGACAGGCTGGGCTGAAGTCTGTCCTAGGCATGGTGATAGAAATGTTCAGGTTATTTGGAGTCATAAAGTTTCCATGGACTGCACTCGCTTTTCTAAATCTGTGAGGTGCTCTTTTAAACGGGCTGTCATCTTGGTCTAACTCTGGTTGGCTGCTGTTACATCTTGGTGTGGATTCATATGTCCCTCCCCTCCCTAAATGCTCTACAGTCCTTAGAAAAAGTCCCAAGCCAGAGCACCTAGAGCTCTTTTTTTTTTTTTAATTTTTTTTTTGAGAGGGAGTCTCATTCTGTCACCCAGGCTGGAGTGCAATGGTGCGATCTCAGCTCACTGCAACCTCTGCCTCCTGGGTTCAAGCGATTCTCCCACCTCAGCCTACCGAGTAGATGGAACTACAGGTGCCCACCACTACACCTGACTAAGTTTTGTATTTTTTTTTGTAGAGATGGGTTTCATTATGTTGGCCAGGCTGGTCTCAATCTCCTGACCTTAGGTGATCTGCCTGGCTCGGCATCCCAAAGTACTGAGATTACAGGCGTGAGCCACTGCACCCAGCCCACACCTAAAGCTTTGATATAAAGTAATCAACTCTACCACAAAGCCAGGAAGTAGCACCAGTCCAGTAGCAGAATAGGGAAATGCCAAACCAGCTGTAAGTTGTACCTTGTAATGGGTAAGGCACACAGAAACATCCAGGGTAAGAATAGACACTAACAGAAAGTGGCCCTGTCTGGATCTCTCACTAAAGAAAACAAGCATCTTCTGATCCGTTTGCCATAACAGAAGCAGTGTGCCTCTAAACAATGTGCAGATGACTGCATTTTATCTAGCCTGGGGTTAAACAGATGAGTTCTGTTTGCAGCTCTTAAAATCTCATAAACCTTCTGTGCACACATTCACCACCACCACCATCCCCAGATCCTTCCCATTTTTTTGCCACTCCCCCTTTTATAATTTTTAAAAAAGAAAAACAACAACAATAATTAAGGGAAAGCTCCCCAATGTCAGACACACTGCTAGGACACTTGAAAGAAATGACAGGGCTGTGAGAATACAGTGTCTGTGGTTAATCAAGCACTGTCAATGAGGGTCAGAATCACCCTGTAATCTGTGGAGGTGGATGTTAAAACAGCTCTGTAAGTTGCTCAAATCAATGAAGATTTGACAAGCTCCCAGCTCGGTGCATGTAGAAAGCAGCTTGTGAACAAATCTATAAGGATGAACAATAGAATTCTCTCTACTTTTTTGTCTTAATTTGGCTATGTATAATAATGAAAGATCCTTGAGCTTGGGGTAATTTAGTTAGAGTTTTCAGATAAAAAATTAAATTGTTTGTGTACAAGTTATTATAGCATCAGCTGCTATTATTCAGTGCAGTTTGCTTTGCTGTATTTTAAATCGCCCATGACAAATGGAGCACAAATGGATAATCTGTCACTCTAGCCATGGGAAATAAAGGCTCTGGATTTCACCTTTCCCTTTCTTTAGAATTTCATTTTTGATTTAGAAAACTTCCAGCCTTCGGTATATCTTTTATCATAAGAATTCTTTAAGTCTCTCTCCTCCACCTCACCATGCTCATTTTCATTTCCTTTTGGTTCATGTTGGAGATATCCGATACACTCAAAAAATTTTTCTTAACCTGTACTTTCTCTCAAAATCCACTGAAGATATTTCTCTGCATGAAGTGAAACATGTGGTTTTTCTGCACTCATTTTAAGCCCTTAGGATAAATCACTGACATTTGCAACACACAAACATTATTTGCCTTCAAATGAACATACAACCAGCCCTCCCTCCGGACTCTCTTAGCATGAATGCTTCCTGTTTAAAATGGAAAGAGAGAAAGGAAGAATTCCAGGCCTTGGACTTTTAGGGTCCTGTTCTCTCCCTGGAGATTTCTCTCTCTTAAAACAGAGCATTATAAAAGACAGGCACGCCTTGTTTTTTTAAATTTTTGGAGAGAGAATCCAGATCAAGTGGTGACAGGGCAGAAGCCACCCTGAGAGGTTGTGACAGTACAGTCGGCGAGCACATGGGGGGACAGTCGCTATCTCTTCTCCCACACCTTGCTCCTCCCAGGCAGCCAGTGCTCACAGCTCACAGTGAGGGGGAGGCTTCCCGTGGGCAGATAGGGCAGACCTCAAGATACTTTTGTGGTCCCATATTGCTTCCTCTGAGGGGAGGTTTTATGTCTGGGAGTTTGCTTGTATGTGGCAGAAAGCAAGAGAGGTAGCTGTTCTTTGTCAAGAAATGAAGTCATGGAAATTGTCTTTTTCTGTGGAACTCATCATAACAGTTAGCATTTTTAATTTTTCAGAGAGAAGAAAAACAATGAGTTGGCCTACTAAAACACTGTTTAAGGTTCAAAGAGTGCTAGAAGAATTTTTCTTTATTTTGGGGGATGGTGTGTAGCTGTTGTTTATAACAACATTTTGTTCATAACAGAATTTCCTACAGACTTTTGTCAGAACAACTTCTAAGTTCTTCTGACTATTATGTGTGTATTATTTTAAATTATTAAAAAAACTAATTTTGGCCGGGGGCGGTGGCTCATGCCTGTAATTCCAGCACTTTAGGAGGCCAAGGTGGGTGGATCACTTGAGGTCAGGAGTTTGAGACCAGCCTGGTGAAACCCTGTCTACTAAAATTACAAAAGTTAGCTGGGCGTGGTGGTGCATGCCTATAATCCCAGCTACTCGGGAGGCTAAGGCAGGAGAATTGCTTGAACCTGGTAGGCAGAGGTTGCAGTGAGCTGAGATTGTGCCGCTACACTCCATCTTGTGCAACAGAAAGAGACTCTGTCTCAAGAAGAATTTTGAAACAGGGAAAATAAGCCCCTCCTCATCAACTACAGAACTTAGAGGAAGAAAAGGCAGCTAAAATTTTAGTTTTGTTAATCGTGAGTTTCTCTTTTCATAGTCTCTTTATTTGTGTGAAATTTAGTGTTTGTAGGAAAGCCCAAAACCAATCCATTCTGGGGCCCCAGCAATGCTCATCACGGTGTCGGATGCTGTGTGCTTTGAGCCAACCCTGAGGAATCCAGGGGCAGCTTCCTTAGGAGATTCTGATTAAAACAAGAATCCGCATAACAAATGTATCAGTATTTTAAGACCTTTCATTTTTCATGTGACTTCTTGAGTTTTGTTTGTATATGTTACTGTTTTTCTTTAAAAACTTTCAATTTAAAAATTTTACTCAGAAACCATATTTACTTAAGGAAAGAGAAACAAGCCCATATTTGTTTTCTTTACAACTCGTAGAGGGGGCTGTCATGAAAATACCTATATTTTGAAATTATTGCTTATTTTATTTCGGATTAGGCTCATTTCCAGAGGCCAGAAGGATTCAGATTTTGCTTGGAAAACTGATAGGAACTATCTCAGGCATGCAGTTTTCAATCACATAGATGCACGCAATAAAGAAAGTTAACCATTAAGTCTGAACACGACAAAGATATATGTTATTTACATGTAAAGAAGCAATAAGCATCACTTTGTTTACATAAGGATTTCTTCTTTTTGCCATGTCAGTATGTCAGTATTTTTCATTAAGCAAAAGGGGGGCTGGAAATCAGAGACTAAGCTGGTCAGATAGCCAGCTCTGGGTGCTGACTACCTTCAGTTTACGCAAGGATGAAAGACATCTTCCTACATTTGCTAAAACAATTCTGTATAGGGAAAGGGCTCAATACTGGAAGGACAAAATTAATAGCAAACCTCTTGCTAGGAATGAGGTGGCTGTACTTACTGGAACAGATGAAGGGGCATGAGCAATTTTGAATCCTCCTATGTCTACACCACCACCCTCAATTGCAAAGAAAATCTCTCTCCTCTGTCTCTGCCACAGCTGGTCATTCTCACCTCATCTGTCTTTCACCCTGCCTTGTGGCTGGTTGTATACTGCATGGAGTACAAGCATCTTGAAGGAAGGAACTGAGTCTTACATATCTAACTATCTCCCTTCGAGCTTAACACAGGGCTTTGCACATCACAGGTGCTCTACAAATGTATGTTGAATTTGTTCAAGAGAGTTTAAAGTAAAGAGAAAACCCACACACATACAGTAACTATAAAAGGTTGAATGTGGGTAGGGGCTGGAGGAAGGTAGGGGAAAAGAGGAGAAAGTGGGCTTTCTTTGGGAGCCAGGGATTGATGGTGGTTGAGGTGAGACTGATTTCTAAATTCTGAAGAAGGAAGGAAGTAGGAGGGATGGTGGGCTGAATAAAGGGTTGTATTGGGTCCAACACAGAATGACTGTAAATTTTATCAGGGTAGAGGTTATTTTATTTGTCTTGTTTGCCAAGAACAAGATTATACTGTCTTATCTCTGTTGCCCTACAGAGTACTTGAAATACAATAGGTGCTCAATAAATCTTACACTGGGATTCAATTTCTCTGACTTCCCAGTGAGCTCAGCATGACTAACTGGTGCTGAGGAAATTGAGAGCTCTCTTGACTCAAGATTAACTGGAAACTGGGCTTACTAGGTACAGGCTAAGCGTATTTATTCAAGGGTCAGTTAACTACTATTTTTATGATGGTACAGCAAAGAAATTTTCTTTGTCTCTGTCATAAATGCAATAATCTAGGAACATCTTTATGTATTTCAAAGTACAGTACACAGGATTTCAAACACAGGGTCTTAGGGAGACAATGTCAAACCCAGGTGTGATGACCATAGTTACAAGTGTGGTACCTGGGCTTGAGGGCTGATGAACACGAACCCGAGGTCAAGGTGGTGTCCTGTTCCCTCTGTCCCAGTGCCTCCCAAGCTTTTCTCCCTGAGAACAGACGTGATGGATGATTTTCATATAAGCTACTCATACCCAGGAGAGGCAGAATCCAGAATTATGCAAACTTCTCTGCCACCTGCTGTAACTCAACACCCTTTCCTTCCATCCAGGAAAGAACAAGGGAATTCAAATGAGTGGGAGTGACATTATTGAAGGGGAAAACTTGAGTCTGCTATAATTTATTAAAAGAAATCATTTGTAATCCTGTCTTCAAATATCAGTGACAGATTCTTGCAATACAGAACTGAGCACACTTCCTCTACATGTCTCAAGGCAGAGTGTAAGAACTCCTACAGTATCTCATCTGATGAGCTCCTTTTAGGATGTGGAAGGATAGATGAAGTTGAAGAGTCACAGAGGGGAAAAACAACTAAGTTGGAGACACATCAGCAACTAGAAGATAGTTTGTTTTGAAAGGGGGTGAGTTTAGTATGTGAAGAAATAAGATATGCAGCAGAAAGTATAAAAACCATGAAGAATTTATGAGCAGAGGTGTGAATGTCCGGCTTAGGCATATGCATTGGGTTTTTCACTTACAGAAAACCTTCCAAAGGGTAGAATCTTGTTCTTAATTTCTATAAAATACTATGTGTGTGATTAGCAGCCAAAACAAAGCTAATTTTTTAACTTCCAAAGTAGCCTTTATGGGTTTCCTTTTTTGGTAATAATTGACTGTGGCCAAATTTGGGGTTTGAACGGCAGGAAGTAACATGATGTAAAACTCCTGTGAGCTGTCTAAGAGAGGTGCCTGTACCCGTTGGCAGAAAGTCGACATCTGGCAGAGCCATGCTATTCTTGAGCATGCCACACATAGATTATTTAGTGGCTGAGCTGGGGTCGGTGCTTTCTTCTCTGGTTCTTCTACAAATACTGCAAAGCTTTAAAAAAAATCAGCACAAACTAATATACTTGAGTCGCCCATGCTATGTGCACAGAGATGCTTTTAGTCTGTGCTTAGAATTCCTTTAGTGTCAGGTTTCCAGTTACCAGACCTTCCTCCTCGGTCCAGGCACGAATGTGGTTGGCAAGGATTAGCAGAGCCCTCTGCAACGTATATTACATAGCTTTGATTTCGGCAGATTTTACGGAATCATAAAATATAATGATCATTTGATGGCCTATATTATAGAAATGATTATGGAAAAAAATCCGCTTTCATCACTCACATTTCCCATTGTGTTATGAGAAGAGGGGGGTCTTGTTCTTTCCAAAGAACTGGAATGGGTGGAGTGTGCAGCAGCAGATGCTTGTGGCCCTCATACACACCAAGGAAATGTTTGTACAGAAAATGAAGGAGAAAGGATAGTGACTGAGTGCTCAAAGACATTTCTCAAACAGTTTAAACAAGTATAATTTTGGTTGCTCATATTTAATTCCTTCTTTTTTTTTAAACAATGACCACAAATACAAGAATTGAGTTATTAACAAACTGCGTGTGCAATGAGTTTTGGATTCTGTATGACAGTTCAGCAGACATTATCTGGAAAATGGTCCTTAAGAGTGTTTCATCCTATCAGATGGTCCTAAAAATGGTCCTGCTAAAATAATTTCCTTTATGAGGGGATGAGAGGTTTTTAAAGTGGGTGCTGAGAACAATTAGAAAAGATAACTGAGAACAACATAGAGAGGGAAATCTTGGGGAAGGCAGAAGCTATCCTGCGCGGCCACAAAAAACAGTCATGCAATCCATTTGAACGATACCTGCATATCATTACCCCATGGTCTGTTTATCCACAGAACAGGCTTTGTTTAAAGAGAATGGCAACCAAAGGAACAAATCATCCTAACTTGATAGGCCCCTTAAATCATCTCTCTCTCTTTCTATTGTAACTGTGGTCCTAGAATTTCAGTATCTAAACACTGTGGATTTCGTCTGATAATCATGTAGCAGACAATGGTTCAATTCCAAGGTCAGACTTTGGGGGCTAACAGGTTCAACAGTGTAAGGTCCTGATTTCCTCCTGCCCCTTAGGAAAAACCACTACACAGTTACCTGCCCAAGGTGCTACCTGGAGACAGAACACTCTAGGGGCAAAATATACTGTTCCTGAAGTCTGCTTTTCCCTAACTATTTTAGATTACATATATATGTTAGAGTAGCACATGCAATTTTTGCAGTAGATATTTATGCATCATGGCCACATCTTTACCTGACCCCTTTCCCCTCCCATTAATTTCTAAAGCCTGTGCAATAGGAAGATTTTGATGTAAACTACCTATGATCATTAGATTATTAGAATCCCTCTTCACCAAGGGCAAGGAGTACAACGAAGGAGACTTAAACACTTCCATCTTCATGCCTCTGTGTGTGTGTGTGTGTGTGTGTGTGTGTGTGTGTGTGTGTGTGTGTGTATGGGTGTTGGGGGAGAGGGCCTCCATGTCATGATTTCATTAAGACACAGGAGAATCCTGCCACGGCAATTGTCTTACTCTGAAATTCAGAAGCAGAAATGTAAGTGCAGGGAAGAGTGCCACTCTACTTGATGGGCTCAGTAACCAGCTTCAAACATTGGGTTTAGAATTGCAAAGATTCATAAGCCTGCTGAGCACAGCAGCATGTTCCCAAGTGCCTACAGCAAGTTAGTTTCCATCCTAAATGTTTCCTCCATTTGACGGATTTATTCCTCATAACAATGTTACCAGGTAGGCATTATTATTATCCCTGGCTTTCAGATGAGGAAACCGAGAAGCAGAGAGGTTAAATAATGTGATCAAAGTCACACTGGTAGTGGCAGAGCCCAGTTCAAGCCCAGGCAGACAGACAGACCCAGAGGCTGCATGCCTGACCACTAAGTTAGACCATGCAGTCTCTGACCTCACTTGCTTCTCATCTGCTCACATGGTGCCTGCTGGCACCGGGTGAAAGAAATTGGTTTATATTTGGAAACACATTTCTAAAAAACAGGATCTAATGCACTAAAAAGAGACTTCTTTTTTTTTTTTTCCAATGGGTACTTTGGCTGTTAGCGGCCCAAGAAGCTGAAACTGCTGATGGTGCTTGCAGAAAGAGCACAAACAACATTCCATGTGGGAAGTTTCATTCAGAGACCTTGAGGTGCCTTTCTTAAGGAAAGCAAAGTTTCTTGGTGCCCTTTATGAAAATCAAACAGATATTTGTGCGGTTCCGTTTGGAAGACCCTGTGTTCCAGGTCTAGTACCTTGAACGTTGGCATCACTAAGAATCAATTGAGTCTTTATTGAATAACACAGATTCTGGGGTTGCAACCCCAGGAAAAGGTCTGAAAGGGGTCTGGGAGCCTACATTTCTCTCAAGGGCCCAGGTGATTCTGATGCAGGTGGAGCTGGCACCCAGCTTTAAGGAATCCCTGTGGCTATGGGGGTTTGTAAGACGTGTTACCTGCTCTGCAAATAACCTGGAATATAAATATAAGTCAGTTATCCTGAGCATCTGAAGAGATAAACAACAGGAGGAAAGATACAGAGCTAACAGCCTTGGAAAGTGTTCTGGAAACAGAGACATTCCTCTGATGCTGGCTTGTCAAGAGCAGGCAAGTAAGAAGCAGAAGGTTGGTCTAGAGAGGGTATCTGGAGCCTGATCATGAAGGGTCTTAAATACCAGGGGCAGCATAGGAAGGATTAAAGAGTGTGATTTTGGTGGGGAGGGGCCAAGATGGCCAACTAGAAACAGCTGTGGTCGGAGGCTCCCACTGAGAAGAAAAAAATGGCAAGTGAATTCTGCACCAGCTACTGAGGTATCCAGGTTCTTTCATTGGGACTGACTAGGTGGGTGGCATGACCCATGGAGAGCAAGGAAAAGCAGGGTGGTGTGACAGCCCACCTGGGAGCCACATGGGGCAAGGGAAGCTCCCACCTCCAGCCAAGGGAGGCAGTGAGTGACTGTGCTACTTCATCTGGGAAACCATGCTTTTCCCATGGTTCCGTGTAACCCATGGATCAGGAGATCCCACTCGTGAGCCCATGCCATCAGAGCCCTGGGTCCCAAGAACAGAGCTGTGTAGATTCTTGGTGGCCACTTGGCTGCAGACTGCTTAAGATTACTGAGTTCCTGTGGGGAGGGGTGGCTGTCATCACTGTGGCTCCAGTCTGCCATTTTTCCCCTGCTGGCGCCAGGGAGACTAGATGGTTTGGACCCAGGAGGAATTCCCCACAGTGCAGCACAGCAGCTGTGGCGGATCGTGGCCAGACTGCCTCTTTAGGCTGGACCCTGATCCATCCCTCCTCACCAACTGGGTCTTCCCTGCAGGAATTTAAGCAACTCCAGCCAGGATTTTAGGGACAGAACTCTGATCTCGCTGGGACTGAGCTCCTGAGAGGAGGGGCGGCTGTGATCTCCATGGATCAGCAGATGTAGTCTTCCTGCTGCTGGCTCTGAGGAATCCGGGCAGTCTGGACAAGTGGGATTCCTCCCAGTGCAGCACACTCCCTTCGCCAAGGGGCAGCCAGAGCACTTCATTAAGCAGGTCCCAGTTCCCGTGCCTCCTGACTGGGTGAGACCCTCCAACAGAGGTTCCCAAACACCTTATACAGGAGCATTCCTGCTGGCATCAGGTCGATGCCCCTCTGGGACAGAGATCCTACAGGAGGGAGCAG
Source organism: Homo sapiens (assembly GCF_000001405.40). NCBI lineage: Eukaryota > Metazoa > Chordata > Mammalia > Primates > Hominidae > Homo > Homo sapiens. The sequence continues at coordinate 205,605,611 of NC_000002.12, read as the reverse complement.
GCAGCCATCTTTGCTATTCGGTAGCCTCCACTGGTGATACTTCCAGGTGCAGGAGAAACCCAGGTGAATAGGGTCTGGAGAGGACCCCTACAGAAGAGGGGCCTGACTGTTAAAACAAACAAACAAACAAAAAACAACAAAACAAAACACACACACACAACTAAAAGGAAGCAACAACAATAGCACCACCACCACTACCAACAAAAAACCCCATAAAAACCCCATCCAAAGGCCAGCAGCCTCAAAGATCGAAGCTAGATAAACTCATGAAGATGAGAATCAACAACAACAACAAAAAGACGATGAAAACTTAAAAAGCCAGAGTGCCTCTTTTCCTCCAAACGATTGTAACACCTCTCCAGCAAGAGCACAGAACTGGGCAGAGGCTGGGATGGATGAATTGATAGAAGTAGGCTTCAGAAGGTGGGTAATAACAAACTTCACTGAGCTAAAGAAGCATGTTCTAACCCAATGCAAAGAAGCTAAGAACCATGATAAAAAATCCCAAGAGCTGTTAACCAGAATAACCAGTTTAGAGATGAACAAAAATGCCCGATGGAGCTGAAAAACACATCACAAGAACTTCACAGTGCAACCACAAGTATCAATAGCTCAATTGACCAAGAGGAGGAAGGAATTTCAGAGCTTGAAGACTATCTTGCTGAAATAAGACAGGCAGACAATATTAGAGAAAACAGAATGAAAAGGAATGAACAAATTCCCTGAGAACTATGGGATTATGTGAAAAGACTGAACCTATGACTAATTAGGGTACCTGAAAGAGACAGCGAAAACAGAACCACGTTGGAAAACATACTTCAGGACATCATCCAGGAGAACTTCCCCAACCTAACAAGACAGGACAACACTTAAATTCAGGAAATCCAGAGAACACCGGTAAGATACTCCCTGAGAAGATCAACCCCAAGACACATAATCATCAGATTCTCCAAAGTCAAAATGAAGGAAAAAATGTTAAGAGCAGCCAGAGAGAAGGGCCAGGTCACCTACAAAAGAACGCCTCTCAGACTAAGAGCAGACTTGTCAGCAGAAACCCTATGATATGGTTTGGCTGTGTCCCCACCCAAATCTCATCTTGAATTCCCAAGTGTTGTGCGAGGGACCCAGTAGGAGGTAATTGAATAATGGGGGCAAGTCTTTCCCATGCTGTTCTCATGATAGTGAATAAGTCTCATCAGATATGATGGTTTTAATAATGGGAGTTTCCGCATAAGCTCTCTCTCTTTGCCTGCTGCCATCTATGTAAGACATGACTTGCTCCTCCTTGCCTCCCACCACGATTGTGAGGCTTCCCTAGCCACATGGAACTGTAAGTCCATTAAACTTCTTTCTTTTGTAAATTGCCCAGTCTTGGGTATGTCTTTAACAGCAGTGTGAAAATGGACTAATACACCCTACAAGCCAGAGGAGACTGGGGGCCAATATTCAATATTCTAAAAGAAAAGAATTTCCAACCCAGGATATAATATCCAGCTAAACTAAGCTTCATAAGCAAAGGAGAAATAAAATCCTTTCCAGACAAGCAAATGCTGAGGGAATTTGTCACCAGCAAGCCTGCCTTGCAAGAGCTCCTGAAGGAAGCACTAAATATGGAAAGGAAAAACTGGTACCAGCCACTGCAAAAGCACACTGAAATACACAGACCAATGACACTGTGAAGCAACTGCATCAACAGGTCTGCAAAATAACCAGCTAGCATCATGATGATAGGATCAAATTCACACATAACAATATTAACCTTAACTGAAAATGGGCTAAATGCCCCAATTAAAAGACACAGAATGGCAAGCAGCATAGAGTCAAGACCCATTGTATTCTGTATTCAAAAGACCCATCTCATGCACAAGGACACACACAGGCTCAAAATAAAGGGATGGAGGAAAATTTACCAGGCAAATAGAAAGCAGAAAAAAGCAGGGGTTGCAATTCTGGTTTCTGACAAAACAGACTTTAAGCCAAGAAAGATAAAAAAGACAAAGAAGAGTATTACATAATGGTAAAGGGATCGATTCAACAAGAAGAGCTAACTATCTTAAATATATATGCACCCAATACAGGAGCACCCAGATTCATAAAACAGGTTCTTAGAGACCTACAAAGAGACTTGGACTCCCACATGATAATAGTAGGAGACTTTAACAACCCATTGTCAATATTAGACAGATCATGGAGACAGAAAATTAACAAGGATATTCAGGACTCGAACTTGGATCTGGATCAAGTGTATCTGATAGATATCTACAGAACTCTCCACCCCAAAACAACAGAATATACATTCTTTTTGGTGACACATGGCACTTACTCTAAAATTGATCACATAACTGGAAGTAAGACATGCCTCAGCAAATGCAAAAGAATTGAAATCATAACAGAGACCACAGCACAACCAACTTAGAACTCAAGATTAAGAAACTCATTCAAAACCACACAACTGCATGGAAATTGAACAACCTGCTCCTGAATAACTCCTGCGTAAATAATGAAATTAAGGCAGAAATCAAGAAGTTCTTTGAAACCTCTGAGAACAAAGAGATAACACAGCAGAATTTCTGGGATGCAGATAAAGCAGTGTTAAGAGGGAAATTTATAGCACTAATGCCCACACCAAAAAGCTAGAAAGATCTCAAATTGACACCCTAACATCACAATTAAAAGAACTGGAGAACTAAGAGCAAACAAGCCCAAAGCTAGAAGAAGGCAAGAAATAATGAAGATCTGACCAGAACTGAAGGAAATAGAGACATGAAAAACCTTTCAAAAAAAATCAATGAATCCAAGAGCTGGTTTATTGAAAAAATTATTAAAATAGACCACTAGCTAGACTAATAAAGAAGAAAAGAAGACTCAAATAGAAACAATATAAAATGATAAAGGGGATAACACCACTGACCCCACAGAAATACAAACAACCATCAGAATGCTATAAACAGCTCTATGCAAATAAACTAGAAAATTTAGAAGAAATGGATAAATTCCTGGACACATAACCCTCCCAAGACTGAATCAGGAAGGTGAATCCCTGAATAGACCAATGGGCTCTGAAATTGAGGCAGTAATAAATAGCCTACCAACCAAAAAAGGCCCAGGACCAAATGGATTTATAGCTGAATTCTACCACAGGTACAAAGAGGAGCTGATACCATTTTTTCTAAAACTACTTCAAACAATTGAAAAGAAGGGACTTCTCCCTAACTAATTTTATGAGGCTAGCATCATCCTAATATCAAAACCTGCCAGAGATGCAACAAAAAGAGGAAACTTCAGGCCAATATCCCTGATGAACGTCAATGCAAAAATCCTCATTAAAATACTGGCAAACCAAATCCAGCGACACATCAAAAAGCTTATGCACCACAATCAAGTCAGCTTTATCCCGGGGATGTAAGGCTGGTTCAACATATGCAAATCAATAAATGTAATTCATCACACAAATAGAACTGAAGACAAAAATCACATGATTATCTCAATAGATGCAGAAAAGGCCTTTGATAAAATTCAACATTCTTTCATGTTCAAAACTCTCAATAAACTAAGTATTAATGGAACATACCTCAAAATAATAAAAGCCATATATCACAAACCCACAGCCAATATCATACTGAATGGGGAAAAGCTGGAAGCATTCCCCTTGAAAACTGGCACAAGACAAGGATGCCCCCTCTCACCACTCCTATTCAACACAGTATTGGATGTTCTGGCCAGGGCAATGAGGCAAGAGAAAGAAATAAAGGGTATTTAAATAGGAGAAAGGAAGTCAGACTGTCTCTGTTTGCAGATGACATGATTCTATATCTAGAAGACCCCATCTAGAAGATTCATGCAATTAGCCTACTAGAAACCTATTTAATAAATGTGCTGGGAAAACTGGCTAGCCATATGCAGAAAATTTAAACTGGACCCCTTCCTTATACCTTACATAAAAATTAACTCAAGATGGATTAAAGACCTAAATGTAAAACCCAAAACTATAAAAACCCTAGAAGAAAATCTAGGCAACACCACTCAGGACATAGGCACAGGCAAAGATTTCATGATGAAAACATCGAAAGCAATTGCCACAAAAGCAAAAATTGGCAAATGGGATCTAATTAAACTAAAGAGCTTCTCCACAGCAAAAGAAACTATCATCAGAATGAGCAGACAGCCTACAGAATGGGAGAAAAATTTTGCAGTCTATTCATCTGACAAAGGTCTAATATCCAGAATCTATAAGGAACTTAAATAAATTTACAGGAAAAAAAATCCCATTAAAAAGTGGGGGAAGGACATGAACAGACACTTCTCAAAACAAGACATTTATGTGGTCAATAAACATATGAGAAAAAAGGTCAACGTCATTGATTGTTAGAGAAATACAAATCAAAACCACAATGAGATACCATCTTATGCCAGTCAGAATGGTGATTATTAAAAAGTCAAGAAACAACAGATGCCAGCGAGGCTGTGGAGAAAAAGCAACGTTTTCACACTGTTGTTGGCAATCTAAATTAGTTTAACCATTGTAGAAGACAGTGGCAATTCCTCAAAGACCCACAACCAGAAATACCATTTGACCCAGCAATCTCATTATTGGGTATATACCCAAAGGAATATAAATCATTCTCTCATGAAGATATATGCACATGTATGTTCACTGCAGCACTATTCACAATTGCAAAGACATGGAATCAACTCAAATGCCCATCAATGACAGACTGGATAAAGAAAATGTGGTACATATACACCATGGAATACTATGCAGCCATAAAAAGGAATGAGATCATGTCCTTTGCAGGGACGTGGATGGAGCTGGAAGCCATTAGCCTCGGCAAACTGATGCAGGAACAGAAAACCAAACACCGTATATTCTCACTTACAGGTAAGAACTGAACAATGAGAACACATGGATACAGAGAGGGGAACAACACACACTGGGACCTGTCGGGGTGGCAGTGGGAGGGGCAGCATCAGGATAAACAGCTAATGCATGCAGGGGTTAATACCGAGGTGATGGGTTGATAGGCACAGCAACCCACCATAGCACACGTTTACCTGTGTTACAAACTTGCACGTCCTGCACATGTATCCTAGAACTTAAAAGACTAAACCTGAGAAAAGAAAACCAACTGAGTTAACAACAACACCACCAACAACAAAGAGTGTGATTTTTATTCAGTAGGATTAGGAACATGGGGGTGATGTGGATTACCTGTGGGAAAGCTCTACTTGGAGGTTCCCTAGGCACCTCAACCTTATGAGTACAAAATTAAACCAATCACCTCTCCCTAAACCTGCTGCTCCTCCAACGGTCTCTTTGGAGAATGTCATGATTCGTGCAGTTAGCCCACTAGAAATCTAGACTTCTCTCTCATCCCTGCTCCAGTCATACATCGGGTTCTAGCAAATATTCTCTTAGCTATTCATGGCTGTCCACTTTCATGCTGCAGTCTTGATTTAGGCTCAAATCCCTTTTCCAATGGACCATTCCAATAGTAATAGTATATTAGGATTCAAAGACAGGCAGGAAAAGTTGTGGTTCAGCTTCAGAGAAGGGCAGGTCAGCAGTGCAGAACTGTAGCATCAGTGCATGTGACTCTGAAGGACAGCTGAATTCTATAGCCAGTTGCTTACCAACTTTGAAGAAATTTTGAGGACATCACACTCTCGGATGAAAGCATGGTAATACTGTAACCATAGGACCAGCCCAAACTGGGCCTACTCTGTTGATAACAGAATAAAGTTACCATGTAGGTAAAATAGAGCCAAAACTGTAAGTCGGGCAGCCCAGGCATGTGCAAGAGAGAAAGCTTTGACCTCTAACAACACCCAGAACCAACGATTCCTCCCTACAGAACCAAGAAGATTCATACGTGACTGGAACCTGAATGCAGAAACTCTTTCAGAAGTGAAGAGTCTGTTGGCCTGAAAAATCCAGGGCTAAAATCTGCCTCAACATACCTTAATGTAAATGGTCGAAATTGAAGCTCTCCAATGAGACTCTACAAAACCAACATTCCTAAATCTTTTCCCTTGCCCTCTGACACCTCAAAACTTGCCCCAGACAGCAAACTGGGGATGCAGATTTGAGCCCAACTCCTTTTTCCTTGCTGTCTGGTCTTGCAATAAAGACTTCCTTTTCTCAAATGTTGGTGCCATGTTATTGGCTTCTATACTCATCAGGCAGTGAGACCACTGGCATGATAATACAACTTCTGGAGACAGGTGAATTCAGTCTTTTGGGAACTGTGTGAACATTAGACTTTTTAGATGTAGTGCTATGAAATTTAAATACTGATAACCTAATTGGTAAGAGCTTTTTGCATGTGCCTCAATGTAAGATCTACCATGAGCCTTTAAAAAATTTTTACATCTGGTAATCTATTCCCCCTAAATTTATAATACTAAGTGAGGTTTATATAACATATTCATGAACCTCTGGGTTCACTTTCTGTTGAAAGAAATGAGCATGTCTCCATTTGGTTCAGTTCTGCTCTAATTTTGGTTATTTCTTTTCTTCTGCTAGCTTTGGGGTTGGTTTTGTTCTTGTTTTTCTAATTCCTGTAGGTGTGATATTAGGTTGTTAATTTGAGATCTTTCTAACTTCTTGATGTAGGCATTTAGTGCTACAAACTTTCCTCTTAACACTGCTTTAGCTTTATCTCAAAGATTCTGGTATCTTGTGTCTCTGTTCTCATTAGTTTCAAAGAATTTTTTGATTTCTGCCTTAATTTCATTCTTTACCTAAAAGTCATTCAGGAGCAAGTTGTTTAATTTCCATGTAATTGTGTGGTTTTGACAGATCCTCTTGGTATTGATTTCTGTTTTTATTGCAGTGTGGTCCAAGAGTGCAGTTGGCATGTTTAGATTTTTAAAAATGTATTCAGATTTGCTTTATGGCCAAGCACGTGGCCGATCTTAGGTATGTTCCCTGTGCAGATGAGAAGAATGCATATTCTGTGGTTGTTGGGTAAAGTATTTTGTAGATGCCTATTAGGTCCAATAGGTCAAGTATGGAGTTTAAGTCCAGAATATCTTTCCTAGTTTTCTGCCTCAATAGCAAACAACTAATGCTGTGAGTGGGGTGTTGAAGTCTCCCACTATTATTGTGTGGCTAAGTTTCTTTGTAGGTCTCTAAGAATTTATTTTTATGAATCTGAGTGCTCCAATGTTGGGAGTATATGTATTTAAGATAGTTAAGTGTTCTTGTTGTATTGAACCTTTTATCATTATGGAATGCTTTTTTTTTTTGTCCTTTCTGATGGTTGTTCATTCAAAGTCTGTTTTATCTGATAGAAGATTAGCAACCCCTGCTCCTTTCTGTTTTCCATTTGCAAGATACATCTTTCGCCATTCCTTTACTTTGAACCTATAGGTGTTGTTGTGTGTAAGAGGGGGTCCCTTGAAGACAGCAGACAGCTGAGTCTTGTTTCTTTATCTAACTTATCACTCTCTGCCTTTTAAACGGGAGTGTTTAGCCCATTTAAATTCAAGGTTAATATTGATATGTGAGGATTTGATCTTGTCATTGTGGCGTTAGCTAATTGTTATGTGGACTTGATTGTGTAGTTGCTTTAAAGGGTCTGTGGGCCACGTACTTAAGTGTGTTTTTGTGGTGGCAGGCATCATTCTTTTGTTTCCATGTTTAACATTCCCTTTTTAAGGCAGGTCTAGTGGTCCCTTTGCATTTCTCTGGCTGAAAAGGATTTTATTTCTCCATCAGTTAGAAGCTTAGTTTGGCAGGATACGAAATTCTTGGTTGGAATTTCTTTTCTTTAAGGATGCTGTAAACAAGCCCCCAGTCTCTTCTGGTTTTTAAGGTTTGTGCTGAAAGTCCGCTACTAGCCTTATGGGGTTTCCCTTCAAGGCAAGTGACCTGTCCCTTAACTCACACAGTCAGAATGGCTTTTGTTATAAAGTCTAAAAACGACAGATGCTGGTGAGGCTGCAGAGAAAGGGGAATACTCATACACTGCTGGTGGGAATGTAAGTTAATCCAGCCACTGTGGAGAGCAATCTGGAGATTTCTCAAAGAAGACTGAACTACCATTCAATCCAGCAATTCCACTACTGAGTGTATACCCAAAGGTAAATAAATCATTCAACCAAAAAGACACACGTACCTCTTTGTTTATTACAATGCTATTCACAATAGCAAAGACATAGAATCAACCCAGGTGCCCATCAACTCTGGACTGGATAAAGAAAATGTGGTACATATACACCATGGAATATCATGCAGCCATAAAAAAAGAACTAAATCATGTCCTTTGAAGCAACATGGATGCAGCCAGAGGCCAGTGCCCTAAGTGAACTAATGTAGAGATAGAAAACCAAATGTCACTTGTTTTCATTTTTAAGTGGGAGCTAAACATTGAGTACACACAAACAAAGATGAGAACAATAGGCTCTGGGGACTACAAGAGTAGAGAGTGAGGGCTGAAAAACCACCTATTTATGCTCGCTATTTGGAAGACACATTCATTTGTAATCCAAGCCTCAGCATTATGTAATACACGTAGGTAACCAACTTACCCATGTACTCCCTGAACCTATAATAAAAATTAAAAAAAAAAAGAAATGAGCACATTAGTAGTTTAATTGGGATAAGGTAGTCAAAAGATAAATGGATCAGGGACCAATGTAAAAATGAGGAGTGCCGAGTTTGCTTCTGGGTAGGAAGGATTTGACATTAGTACCTCCCAATTCTGACTATCTCATCTCCATGTCAGCTTCCTGTGAAAAGGGCTTCCCTCATCCTTCTCTCAATAGTGCCCTGGGCTTTTTGGTACCCCTCTCAATTGCAGGGAGGGCAGGAAGGAGGCATAGCTTGGTCCCAGAGTGCCACCTGGGGTTTATTTGGATTACGGTACCCTATTTGGCCACAAACATGATTACATACATTTTGGGGATGATTATTCTAACATTCTCCCCCATACCCAGCACCAAAGCAATGGGATCCATTCCCCAGTTTCCACCAGATAATAAATGGAAGTGCTTTTGGCTTCTCTCTATTAATTTTGATGTAGAATCTAAGCACCCCATGATAATTTTCAGTAAAGGGTGAAGGGTAACTTTCAGCCTTCATTTCAGTCTATGCTAAGCTGGTTCCAAAGCCCCAAGCTGGGCCTGGTAGGCATACACAAGTATCTGCTGTTGGCCCCCCACAGCCCTCCCATCCAGAATCCAGCTCATTATTTGGCAGAGCACTTTGGAGATAGCATCAGCATGAGAGATTCTATATAATATCACATTCTATTCAGCTTTCATTTTTGCAGATGAAATGGATTTATAGCACAAAGGTTACTGAACTGTGTTGTCAAGATGATTTTCAACAAATAATAAAAGTTATTAACAGGTTCTTAGGTATTGATGACTTGTGGTGAATTTCCCCCATCCTGCCTTGGTCTCTTCTTACTCTGGCTGATCATTACATGGTTGGTAAAGACTGGTTATTAATGTAATTACAAACCTTTTACATTCAAATCTTCTTTTATTGAAATTAGAGTATCCTTTGTCATTTCTCCTTTTGCTGTAATCCAGCCTGTCAGCCTACCTTCTGTGGGTTCCATACTTGCCTTTGATGCTGGTAAAATGGAGCAGCTAGCACATCAAGGCTTATAATAACCCAAACTGATGAGGGCTATGCAATTACTCTGCTCTCATCATTACTTCTTCTTTTTTTTTTGTCTCAAATGTTCTTGTACAGTTACTCACTGTCCTGAGCCTCTCCATAACCCCCCTCCCATGACCTACTCTCACTCCTTTTAGCAAACTAGTATGTGGGTCCAGGGCCATTGATGAGTGCTTTTAGAAAAGAGAGAGCAAGACAAGGTTTTATTGTGAGTGAGCTCCTTTAGATGTTATTTCATCCTACATTGTTCTCTAACTCCCTGATTTATTGATTTATTCCTTGAACAAATCAAAGAAAACTGTAAGTTCACCCTCTCTTCTATTTGTTTGAGTGCTGCTTTGCTCCAGCCATATTTGGTGTTGGTTTATATACCAATGTGAAATGGTTTCCTTGTTTTTAATCACATGCCTTCTATCATTAGTATAGCGGCAACCTCAATTCTTAAAATCAGTCACGAAGCTGCAGCTTTAATAATTTAAATAAAAGCTTATCATAGAAAAGCAAATATTTACAAGTATGAGTCGTCTAATTTAAAGAAATTAATTAAAAGTAAATGCTGAAGTGATTTAAAACTAAAGAGCCATTACCCAATAAAATGTTATTTACCGTTTGCCCCATGCCAGCTGGTTTTTGAACTTCAGAGAGATGGAATTCCAGGCTCTGCCTTTGCTTTATGGACCTGAGGCTTCAAAACCTGCCCACCTGTTCTGGAACTAGGTTCATTTGTCCTCTATGGTGGGCAGGTGCTCCCACAGTTTTCAGTTCTGAGGGATCTCTGGGTGCATCAGTGCACTGGGAGAGAGTGTGCAACTCAGAGGTGAAGACTGGGCTTGAATTGTGCGAGGCACTTCATGAAAATACCCTTCCTGAGCCTCAATAACCTCATGTGTAAAATGGGAATATTGGGACTGCCTTTCCTCCCCTTGCAGGGTTGTGATGGAAACTGAATTTTAAAAGTGAATAAACAAACAAAAGGACCAATCATACTGAGGCCCTCAATATTTTCTGAGTTCGAAGTCACACTCAGTCTTTAAAAAATAAAAATAAAATTGGATCTTCTATGTGGAGTATAAGGTGATTGTCCAAAGACCTTGAATGAACAAGCAAATACATTTGTAAACAAATCCAAACTTTATGGCTGAGTGGTATGGACCCTAAATGTCCTACTCTACACTGATATGTCAGGGTAGGAAATCCTCTAACAGAGGTTGCAATCTGTAGGCTCATTTTTATACACTCCCATCCCCAACACACTGTTTAAAAAATTTTCAGCCAGTTGCTGACACTTCAAAGTCAAGGGCTTTCACATAAAAATTCAGTTTTCCTGCTTTTCTTTAATCTCAGGACTTGCCTTCCTTGGAGGTCATGGTCAAGTGAAGCTATGCTCTTGAGGAAGGGACTTTGTCCTCTTTAGGCTCTGCTCCCACCTGCTTCTCTCACTGACATTTCCCATGTGCCCCTATAGCTATTTGGGTTTATTCACATGGTCCCTGACCCATGTGAATAAATCTTGCTCTCTAGATTTCCACATCATTGTGTTCAGTTTGCATCCTCTGCTAATAGGTGTGTGCCATCCCAATTCCCCACTTTAAAGAGGGGAAGTGTCCTGAGAGGCAGACTAAAATTTCCATCACCTTACCTGGTTCACATTTACATCTTAAAAAATAAATTATCCCTAAATAACTCCAGGCAAGCGACTGCTGCAGAAGTGAGAAGGGACCTCGGATAGGAGCTCCGGACACTGGGTCATATCCCAGGAAGTTTCAGACAAGTCACTTTACTTTCTCAGGCCTTATCTTCAACTCTGTAAAATGAAGGCATTTGTGTAGGTGGCCTCCAATGAGTTGACAGGGGTTATAATTTCATGGCCCTGCCAGAAACCACACAGGCTCCAGGCCAAGATGAACTCAGCTCACGTTGCTGCCCTTCAGCCTGCCCTCTGCAAGTGTGACCCTGACTGGGCCTCTTCACTTATCTGTGCATTGGTTTCTCCATCTGTAAAGTAATATGTGCTTTTCTTCTCATAAGAGTGGATGAAATGATATGGGTGACAGCACATTGGAGGAATGTTGGGATAAAATGAATCCATGATCTTATATTACTCTTGTGTCTATGAGGCTACAATTAGGAAGGGGAACTTGCTCTGCCTAACGGGATTTCTGGATCAGAATTTGCAATCCCTATTGACAGCATTATGCAGATATTTCCACAGCCAACAAGGTCATACTGTGGCATTTCTACCCCACCTCTCGCCACCGTAATACTGGACCTCAGTTTAAGGGTAATTGCGTCCCACTTCAGAAAAGGGGGACTCTAATTTACCTCCTTGTTCCATGTTCCATGCAGTTTATGAGGAATGTATGTAGTTAACTGGTATCAGGTTGTTAAGCAATTTGATGAGGTGTGAACTAGCCCTTTAATTGTTTTATTTACAACATACTTATCCTTCACTAACATCCCATTGGGGAATTTTCTACTTAGCAAATTAATTTAAGTGTGGTTTAGTGAACTAAAATTTGGCAAAACCAGAAGCTGAAAAATACCCATTGAAATTTTAGCAGTCTTAGAGCCATTTGTAATTGTGGCACTCACTCAGTTGGGGTTTTAAAAAATGCATCAACTACAACCAAAAAATGAATTAAAAAGTTAATTACCTTCATCACCACCATTTAAACAATAATAACATGGACAATCAAGGTGGGGAAAAATAACTAAATTTAAATTTACTTGTTGTTCTCTAGTATTTTTTCTGGTAGAAAGAAATGGCTTCTGGGGAACAATTCATTTGTCAGGGATAGGCAATCAGAATTGCTTTCAGAAATCAAATGCTTACTCTTAAAAAAATAATGCTCTCCTCTTTCCTCTGTAGTTCTAAAACTGGATGGACAAAACTTCTAATGTTACTCTGACCCAGAGGGCCATCTTACTCCTTGGTTGGTGATGGTGACAACAATTAAAAACCCAAATATAAAGTATATAAAAAAGGTATGGGCCACAATGTCTATCCAGGTTGCACCTAGCTGGGCAATGAGATGAAAGACAAAACACAGTGCTTCTGCTCAAGGCTGAGTCAGTGCCATGGGGCATCTGCTGCAGGTGTGGCTTCTGACAAGGGGACTGCATTAAGGGAACCTTGAAGACAGAGTTCGGTTTGGGCAAGTAGCTCAGAGGCCAAGAGAAAGGTTCTTGATTTGGCCATCTGTACTTGTTCCAGATGCCGCTTCTTCCTGATCCTTTACTTCTGAATCAGATGCCCCTCCTATGAGCTAACTGAGTAATCATCTCAGAAATATACGTTATGATTGATTTAGATTTATATGGTAAGATATATAAGATCATGAAAAACCTTAAATATAACGCAGGCATTATAGTTGTATGGGAAACATTCTGCCTCTATGGAATCAATAACCATTGTATTTAATCACCTGTTTTCTGGTGTCTCCAACGAACTGTGAGCTCTGTGATGGTAAGGACTATTACCGAGTTCACCGTTCACTCTCCAGTGCCTGGCTCATGGTAGGCACCCAATATAAAGTTTATTAGTGGATGTTCGCTGGAGATTCCTGTTGTGGGAAAGAAGGGGTTTTCTTTTCTTTAAATGGGTACTCATTTGAGTTTCAGCCTCATCCCTTTCTCTCCCAGTGACTGGCATCTTGCTTGTTGCCTAATGACCAAGCTCCCAAGGCGTACAGCAATTCCAATGAACAAGTCAACCTTGATGTTACGCTCAGCCCACTATAGTAAACAAGAGCACTGGGCTCTGAGGCAAAACACCTGGGTTCAAGTTCCAGCTCTGCCATTGGCTTTGAATGAGAAACTTCTCTGTGTTTATTTTCTTCACTCGGAAGTGGGAATTATGATACTAAGCAAGCTCCTAGGCCTGCTGGGAGAAGATAAAATTAGGGAAGTATGAAAAAGCACTGTGTAACTGACAAAGCCCAGTTACACACTGTAAGACATCATCACTGGTAGGATTATCCTTCCACTTTGTCTAGGTGTGACCATTAAATGAGATCCTAGCCTTGAATCTTAATGTCCATGCCTGGGTGTCTTCGTTCCCTGCTGGACCATCCTGATGCCAACAGAACCTTTGCCTTTGTCTTTTATGAGATTCTTTCTCAGGCTTTGCTCTCCTCTGCCTGTGAGGACATTGAATTTTTATCCAAACCGGACAGCTTCCTTTTCTTCAGTGACCTGAACCACCAGACCTTCTCTTTTTATCTCATCTGACTGGGGTCCCTCCTGATTCCCTCCTTGTATGTCTGTGTTTAGGTTCCAGCCAACCTTGAGCTCAGCAATCCTGTCCATCAACACAGATCTTGCAATGAGCATCAAAATATGAGACATCAGGGAGGTTAGGAACAACAGTTCTGGGTTTCCAATGAACGAATGTTTCCTCTGTAAGACAGTCTGTTTCTTCCTCTGTCAAATTGGGATAGTAATGGTTATTTGCTTCCACTGAGTAGCTAGGAGGGTTAAATGAGAAAGTCTGTAAAGCACTCAGCATGGTGCATGGGTGTGGTAAGTGACTGATAATGGTAGGCAGTTATTATTATTCCTGCCCCAACTTTTTATTTATTCTTGATTCCATAACTTCTCATGTGCTTTTCTCAGTCTTTCAAATATTCAAATATGTTTAGAGGCTTATTTCTCCTCCAAAAATCTGCTTCCTCCAGATGGAAATGAAGCAAGTTATTACCACTTTCCCAAAATGTATGGACTATGTTCATTGAAAAAACTTATACAAAATACACTAAAATGTACACTCTCTCTAAACAGTTTTTTGTCTTGTCCTAGTTATATTCTAGATGTCTAACTGCTACTCCTTGGTGGGTCTACATTGATGTCACCTCTCTGAGAAATGCTGGATGACTTAGACTTGGGATTATTCACATTCTCAGGGAAAGACAAACACAATGACACGTGGAGCTCTAAAGTGAGGGACAGATGCAGCCAAACCCAAAGGAAGTTGGGCAACAGCCAAGAGACCATCCTGGTCTCAAAACAGACATAATTCTTGTCTCTCTTGTCTTTTTCCTTTATATGGGATTATCTGATGGATGAATCACTGGACTATATTTACTTGAGGAAGTATTCTTGAAGCCTGTGGGTCAAATGACAAGCAGACCGGAAGCAGAGAGGGTTTGGTGTACTGGTTTGACAGAACATTTTTTAGGGATTTGGTACTCATCCTACTTCTTGTGAATATGTGGCAACAGCTTCTACTTTTCTCCTTCATCCTTGATCCTATCTTTCCTTCTTCCCTTGTGATCCGAGTTGAGACAGTGGAAGAAAGTTGCTGCTTTTGCCAGTCTAGCATCTGTCCTACTTTATCCTGGTGACAGCCTTCTGTTCTTTTGGGAATCATTCCATGCCCACTCTCAGTCCATGTGGTTCAGGTGGAATGACTCCACTCTGGACTCCAGAGGGGCATGTGACCCAGGCCTGGATCATCAGAACGTTCCATCCCCTCGGGCACAGTGATTGTGTATGGTTAAAAACATACCGCGATAAAAGCAACCTGAGATGATCCTAGGACTTCTGTGGAAAATGTTAAAATGAGAGGATCCCTCTTTTGTGGAGTAGCTGAGAAGAGGGGGAAGTAAGCCTGATGCTGTGGGCAGCCATCTTGCCACCATGGTGGAAGAGCGTGCCTGAGAGCAAAGCCAACAATGAAGAAAACAGTCGAGAGATGGGGAGAAAGAAGCCAAGTGCTGACAGCCTTTTATGAGATCTTGGGTAGCTGAACCTGAAGATAAGTCTGTCCTTGGACTTTTCAATTCAGTTACATCTACCAATAGATTTCTTTTCCTGTATTGGATAAATAAAGCATCGGAATAATATGTAGAGAGAACAATAATGTTTACCTATTGTCCATGTGTACATTCATGTGTTGGTATATTCATACCAATAGGTATGAATGTAAGTACTAGAGGATAAAATACTTAGAAAGAGCCAGTGGTCATTCACTTTGGAAACCACCTTGGGGGAGAAAAGCTTTGTTGCAGCTTATGCTTCTTCAGCTTGATACAGCTTTCAACATTTCCAGGGTAGAGAAAATGAAAAGCAAAAGACCTAGAAGAACTCCCTCTTTCAGCTGTGCTAAAGATGTTAGTGGACAGGGAAATAGGAGAGGCATGGAGTGTAGGAGGGTGTCTGATAGATTTTTGGTTCCTGACAAACTTCCTTTAGGCTCAGATATCTGTGCCTATAACTAACTTTAGTAACTACATATGCAATTATGTTAGTCTACTTCTGAGAAAGTGAATCATCCCTAACTCGAGTCCTCTAGCAATTCTCCAATAGAGACAACAATGTGAGGGTGCAATTAATTTGCAATTAGTTATATAAATAGAAAACATGCCAAGACAAGTCTTGCCTGCTCAGACCCAAGGGAGTAAATAAAAAGGAAGGTACCAAAATGACTTCCACTGTGCCCATCTCTTCCAGCCTGCTCCTACTTCCAGACACAGAAACATGCACCTTGATTAGTTCCTCATCTCTGTCTGCATCTCTCTGTTTAGAGACAGCATTTGAGATGGGACTGGATCTGGAGTTGCCGTGGGAACAGAGGTTTGGAGAGCCTGATTTTGGTGAGATCCTGTGGTGAGATTTAATCTCATCCTGTGGCATAGTGATTTGATAAAAAGAGTGATATGGCTCAGGATTTGATTGATTGATTGATTGATTGAGACAGGGTCTCGCTTCACCACCCAGGCTGCAGGGCAGTGGTGCGATCACAGCTTACTACAGCTGCCTCGACCTCCCGGGCTCAAGAGATCCTCCTATCTCAGCCTCCTGAGTAGCTGAGACCACAGACATGCACCAATATGCTCAGTTAATATCTGTATTTTTTGTAGAAATGGGGTTTTGCCATGTTACCCAGACTGGTCTGAAACTCCTGGATTCAAAGGATCCACCTGCCTCAGCCTCCTGGTGTGCTGGGATTATGGGCATGAGCCACCATGCCCAGCCAGAGATGCTTATTTGAATGGCAGACTATTCTGTGGCCCAAGAACATGGAAATTCGTTTCTAAGGAGCAGCACAAAGCAGCCAGGCTTGCTTGGGTTCTCTCCTGTGCTTTTGAAAGCCAGGGCATTGTAGAGATCCCTGAGAGTTGGAGTTTGCCAGGGAACAGCAAGGGCCATAGCAATGGAAGATTTCCTAAGAACTGAAGCTCCGCCATGACATGGACTAGCAAGTAAAGCCCAGATGAAGATGAGCTTTTATTTTCTTTAATTAAAAATTTTATTGAAGTATAATGTATATACAATAAATGTATCAATTTTAACTGTTCAGTTCCATGAGGTTTTACAAATGTACACATCTGTACCACCACTAGCATCAAGGTTACGGGTGACTCTTAATTCCACTTTATTCATTGATTCATTTTTTTGGCCACCTTTTAAAACTGAGCTTTCTATAACTCTACAGAAGATATGCACACGCACACACACATGCACGCACACAAAATCTCACACTTGAAAAAAAAACATTACTTGTCTGGAAAAACTCCAATCACTCATGTTTGATAAAAATTGCTGAATGTATTAAAAAATTCAGGTCTGGATGAATAACAAAAATAAGAAAAGTGTGCTGTGGAAAGAATTCTCTGGGATAGATACAAAGTATTGAAAATTGAAATGTGGAAAACATGCCATGTCATCTCAATCATGATTTTCTATTGCTTTATGCATTTATGTTAGAGGAAATCTTTTTTATGAGGAAAAATACAAAGTACTAAAAAAGAATGTGCTTTCAATGAAAGAATTTTCATGACTCAATTAGAAAATTCACAGAATAATACAAGTAGAATGTCCACTTAGTATGGCTGAAAATAGAGAACTGTCTTTTCTGACACCTTCACAGTGAAATGTCTGGAAATTTTCTCCTCAGTTGTATATTTCTTCCCAAGTTTTTGCCTTTCCTTCCTGTTCTGCCTTAAATATTAGTTGAATGCCCACTGCATGCAGGTGCTAGGCAGAGGAGGCAGTGGTGAAAAGTCAAAGCCCTGCCCTTAAGGCCTTCCCTGCCCTTTAGGAATGCATGGCCTTTGCTTTCCATGTTGTAAATCCACTCTCATGTTCATCCTGCTTCTAGAGTATCTGTTGCTGTCTCTGCAAAGCAGGGCTATAAATGGGAAGCTGGGAAAAGAGAAGGGGGCAGAAAAAGGGAGGAAACGAAATAGCTCACTAGCTCTTTTCCGTGTGATGAAGACTAGCAATTCTATTTATTTTCTCACCGTTTGTCAGGGGTAGAGTTCGTGGTAGAAGAAGATTTTAAAACTCCAAATCAATAAAAAGCAAAAACCCAACTAAAATAGCCCAATACCTGAGTGCTTGCCTGAAATACAGCAGCTCTACCTACATTAGGGAAAGGGAAAGCCACAGAGAGAAGGTAAGGTCAATGCCAACACAATGAGGTACCAGAAGCTTTTAGTATTACTGCGTTTCTTACATGTCAGGAATTTGGAAAAGAGTATAAACTATTTCTGATGGCCACGGTATTATTATTGAGAACATTAGAGCAGTGATTTACTAAATATGGATAGTACAATAGTCAACCATCAGATATAAATCTGATATATTCTACTGCTGATTGTGGTCATTAAGAGTTTTAAGAATAGGCCTTCTGAATCCTTTTCCATTAAGTAGCTTCTTCATAAAAATGCTAAGAAGCAAAACCGAATCTACACCGCAAATATAATTGTGGCTTACGAAGAAATGGAAACAATTTGCCTCATGACCAGTGACTTCTGTGATTTTTCAAGATGCAATGACTCATTCAAATACCGCATTAGCTCTTTGAGACCTATGATTTCTATATTAGCATCAGAGACTAGACTCCTCAAGGTACCTGATAGTAATGTAGGTCTTCTGGTCAACTGTGGTTATCAATGTGATTCTTAACACACGCCAATGTGAAGCTTACTTGTTAAGGCCAAAGGATGAAAGTGGATGTGTTGGCATGGAGACTCTTTGCTCTTGGAAGAAAGACTCGAGAAATTCACCGTGCAGGTTGTTACGAAAAATTTGAAATGGACAAAGGGCAAAGCCTTATAACACCCACCACATACTTGGTATCAACGTTTACAACTTATGAAACATTAAAAAAAATAACTACAGGGATGTTTGGCCCCAGACTGAAATTTTGCAATGGCCTTTGTACAAAAGAAAACTATTACGCCATGCTAGTCTGTGTCAGTGCTAAATTGTCTCCAATAACAGGGCATCAAATACTAGGCAATGTGTCAAGTATAGGAAAATTGTGACTTAGAATGTATGAAATTATGAAATCCAAATAATTTTATCCTTATGCCAAACTCCCAAAGAAATTATATATATGTATATAAAAATATATCTAATATGTATATAATTTTGTATATCTTAAGGCTATGTATAAAGATGGCTAAAAACAGGAGACAGAACATTTTCCACTGCCTTTCTAAAATAAACAAGGAAAGGTCAGGCCAGACCATAAGGAACGAAATATCTGAGATGAAGAATATTCTCCAGTAATCTCTTCCCAACAGAACCCTTTCTGGATACTAGGTGACAAGAGAGAAAATCATAATGGAATAATAGCCTTCCACATAAAAGAATTATGGTAAGTTGACATTAGGTTGAGCTGCAGTCCAGTCAAAATGAAAGAAGTTCTGAGCTGAGCCTGTCACGGAGTCTCTAAAAGAGGACAATCAATATGTGTTTTCTGACTGTCTTCCTCATATTCAGCCTGCAGTAACTTGAACTGAGAATTGGCTTTTTATGGAGATTTATTACAACAGCATTGCCATTCAAGAATAGGCGGCTATCATCATAAATAAAGAGCGGACACAAAGGGATGTGAAGATCCAAGACAGAGAATTTGTCAAGATGGGTAAATCATGAACTTACTTATATTGCAAATAAATACACACTATGAAAGCCATCCCTCATTAGGAGAAAATCTTTTTTCTGCCCTGGAAAAACCAAGTCAAGCTGTTGTGTTTTGAATTTCCTCACATTGGCCTTCTGAAAGCTCAGAAACCAATGCCTGGACTGTTGGTTTATTGTGGACGTAGGCTGCTCTGTTGAATGTAAGATGTGGGTTCCCGTGACCACCAGACCTGCTGTGGCCGGAGGGTGGATACTTATCATCCACAGTGCTGACAAGGCTTTCTTTCTGCAAGAGCCCACAAAGCTACCGAAATCCAGTTCAAAGCCCTTCCTGAAATGTGGTGGGGGAGAAACAGCTGACTCCTGATTCCCCACCTTCAAAGCCCTAAAACCTGAAGAGGCAGGGCCTAAGTGTCCCCCACATTTCCTTTGGACATTGAAATCTGTGTAAGTGAACATGTTTCCATGTCCCGCTTTGTTGTTTCAGCTGTTAGGAGAGCTGGGGATATCAATTACTCCCTGCCTGGAGAAGTGACCTGCACCAACAGTCCCTGCCACACAGCTGGCCTGCTCCCTCCCTAACTGATCCCATTTAAATAAATGCCTGCCGATTCTTCCGGAGGCTACCATCCTGGCCTTCTCATCCCCATTAAATGATTCATTAGGTTGGATTAACCCTTTAAAAACTACTATTTACCAAAGGGTCCCTGGGGATTCTCTCACACTCCATCATTTTTAGCCATTATAAACAGCCAGCCCCAGCAGGGTGGAATCCACTCTAAGGCTACTCAGGTTGACAGTGTGGATTTTGTTAGCCCCAATTCACTTAAAAGCCCAAGACAGCATTTACTTTGTGGGATAGGGCATACACATTTTCATCTCCCAGCCTGTGCATTCCAAATATGCCTCTTGCCATAAACACCTAGGCAGGCATTCCACAAAAAAGACTAAGCCAGAAAGGAGTGAGCAATCATTCCAAGGCTGTGGGGTTACGAAGGATCTATTTTCACGCCTCCACTATCCAGGCCTCCATTTTGGTTGGTGCCATTTTCTGCCCATAATCAGCGGGTGTGCACAATGAGTGGTGCCTGTCAAACGGTCATTTGTGGGCGCAATTAGACACCTGTGCCTTCAACAAGTTGCAAGCACCTAATTGTGTCTGCATGTAGCCACTTGTGGGTGCAATTATCCAGAAATCCAGGTGTGCCTGGTATTATGTACAATCTAAGGGGAAAAAAGTGTTTTCCAAAAAAGAAGGCTCAGGCTGAACATGAGCTCTTCAAACTTTCAGCAGGGTGGTTCAACAGAAGCTACCATCACCATTTATAGATGGAGCCTCTTTGACAGTCTACAGCATTGCTGCCCCAGGAGAAAATAATGCAAGCCACATATATCATTTATTTATTTATTTTTATTTATTTATTTTTGAGATGGAGTTTTGCTCTGTTGCCCAGGCTACAGTGCAGTGGTGCAATCTTGGCTCACTGCAACCTCTGCCTCCCGGGTTCAAGCGATTCTCCTGCCTCAGCCTCCCGAGTAGCTGGGATTACAGGCACCCGCCACCACACCCGGCTAATTTTTGTATTTTTAGTAGGGATGGGGTTTCGCTATGTTGGCCAGCCTGGTCTCGAACTCCTGACGTCAGGTGATCGGCCTGCCTCGGCCTCCTAAAGTGCTGGGATTGTAAGCATGAGCTATCGTGTCCGGCCTCGCATACATAATTTAAAACTTTCTTGTATCCACATTCAAAAGTAAAACTAATTTTAATAATTTATTTTACTTAACCCAATATATCCAAAGTATGATAATGTCAACAAGTAATCCATATAAAAATAATTTATATTTAATATTCTTTTGCTTTTGGCATTAAGTCTTGGGACCTGGTGTGCATTTTACATTTAAAGCACATCATAATTCAGACACATTTAAATGTCTGATAGCCCCATGTTGTTGCGGCTACCATATTGGAGTGCAGATCTACAAAGAATTATTTCCAATTGTGATTAACTGCTTGTAATTTTTGACTTTGAAGCATTTTCCTAAATACTTCGAAAATCAAGTTTCCAAGATAAAATATTTGAAAATGCCCTGTAGTGTCTTAGAGTTATCATGGGTAACATGGCTCTTTATAAATTCCCAGCAAAATGAAGGAGAATGTGTAAAATCCTCCCCTTCCTTTCTGTTTTACAATTTATGAGGGGCAGTTTGGAAGTGACAGGCACAGGTTGTGTAGACAGAGTTAGAAGATAGGCCAGTAGAACTGGAGGTGAGGTGGAAGAGGGGGATGTAAGACAGGAAAAGGAAATAGATTAAAGATTGTGGCAGACCTCCGTAGCATCTTTTGCTATGTATCAAAATGGTTGTTCCAATTCGTCCAAATGAGTATGGTTTTAAGATCATTTTACAAAAGGTATGATTCATTTTGGTTGCATTTGGGACTATTGGATTAAAATTTGGTAAGAAACTCTTCAACTGTGAAATAGATAAATAATGGAACCAACATAATAGGGATGTGGTGAGGATTAAATGAGTGAATACACATAACATGCTTAGAACAGCGCCTAGCACACAATGAGCAGTCAATGACTATCAGCTGCTTTCATCCTCTTCATCACCACCACCACCATCATGATGTCTATTCTCAAGGCAATCCAGAGTAGTATGTGCATCTCTCTCTCTCTCTCTCACACGCGCGTGCGCGCGCACACACACACACACACACACACAGAGCTTAGGAGGAGAGAGATGACTAATTTCTTTGCATATGATTTCCAGCGTTTCCTAATTCCTTCCATCATCATTGCCATGCACTCAGATCAGTTCTCTGAGTTCAAAGAGCAAATGTGAACTGCTCTGTTTCTCCCATCCATTCTTAGCAGACTTTCAAGCTGATAACACAGGCAGTGCCTGCGTACTTGTTAAATGAAGACTCAAAACCACTTGCTATGCTCTAATTTTCATTTCACAAAAGAATCCACGGAGAGCATATATTGCACATTTTCTGTCCTGGATCAAGAACAACCTGAATCTCCCTAAATCAAGAACAACCAATTCCATACACTTTTGTAACAATTAACTTATATTTCTATACAATTAGGTTATATATTTACACCCTTCCCCCCACCTGCCATAAGCACCCATTCCCTGCTACTCTGAGAATGGCCAGTTCAATGACCGAGCTGTCCTGAATTCGGTGCCCTTTTCCCCAGCTGTCACAGGGAACTGTAGGCTCAGATATCTCTTCCTCATCCCTTCTTTTTTTTCCCTCACCTGCATCAGTTGGCAAGGGAATTGAGCAGGCCACTTCCCTATAAGTGTCACTAATAAACTCCTCAGTTACTTTTATCGGAGGCAATGCCACTTCCTTTACTAGCTCCCAATCTCCTTTCCCTGCCTCTCTCACTCTTCCCTAGACACGTAGGAAAAAAAAAAAAAACAATAACCTTCCTTGTTGCTCTTGGTTCCATTTGTTCTGTGTTTCACTGCCAAAAATATTTGAGGAAAAGGCAATAATCTAGTCTAGAGAATTTAAAAAAAATTCCCAAAGGAATCAAAGTCATCAACATGGAGAGTGGCCAGATGCCTCCTTGAGAACCTCAAACACAGCTTCCAGCTACTTCCTCATCCTTCTCTGATTGAACCTGCTTTTTCTCAAGCACAATTATTAAAATAGATGAAACATGATTACTTAATTTTATTTTTTTCTGCTTTAATTACCAGCATTGTAATGGTATTCTTAAAAGCAATGTTTCTTCATTCTGTTTCCGTTCGTTATTTCTCATTTTTTATGAGACTCTAGTACGTAAAGGCAAGACGATAGGAATTATCCAGAGTCTATTAACTGTAGAGAATGCCCACACCAGGGCAGGTGTGTTAGCCGATGTCCCACAGCAACCATATTTTTAAGATGATTTTCACATGGACGGTACTTCACTTACATGAGCTAAGTAGATTTGTGCAAGCCTTGCAACCTGCTCACTGCATAGTGCATCATTTCTACAGGAAAGGTACCCCAAGTTCTAGGCCAGTAGAAACTGCCCATTTGAGATTGAGGACTGATTGCATGAGGGATGGATTTGGGTTGGCTAATGCATGACTCCTCATCTAGTCATTTCCAAGTGTCAACCAGAAATGAAGACAGCAGGACCAGGCTCCCCATCTGGGAACCAAGGGAACCAAGCTGCTGCCAGGCTCTGTGGACCATCTCCAAACCCATCCACAAACGTTGCCACAGAGGCAATAACCTTCATGTGCCTGAAAATTGGAGTTATGCCTACTTCCACCATCTTTTTATTCTAAGAAAATAATTACAGTTTTTAGATGATTTAGGTATCTTTTTAAAAATTTTGATTTTTAGTTTTTACTAGTAGATGTATCTATTTATAGGGTACATGTGATGTTTGGATACAGACATACAATGTGTAATGATCGTATCAGGGTAATTGAGGTATCCACCACCTCAAGCATTTATCATTCCTTTGTGTTAGGAACATTCCGATTCCACTGTTTTAGTTATTTAAAAATATATACTAAATTATTGGCTGTAGTTACCCTGTTGTGCTGTCACATACTAGATCTTATTTATTCTATGTTTCTGCATCCTTGTGCACCATGTGGAATATTCAGCCATAAAAAGAATAAGATCCTGTCATATATATTTATATATATTTATATATATTTATATATTTATATATACTTATATATATATTTATATATATTTATATATACATACATACACACGTACACACACGTACACACACACACGTATATGACAGGGATATAAATGACAGGATCTATCTATCTATCTATATCTATCTATATATCTATATCTATCTATCTATATCTATATATATCTATATATATCTATATATATCTCCCCACCCCACATTCTCTTTATCCATTTATTTGTTGATAGACACTTAGGTAGATTCCAAATCTTGGCTATTGTGAACAGTGCTGGAATAAACGTGGGAGGGCAGATATCTCTTTGATATACCAATTCCCTTTCTTTTGGGTATAAATGCTTAGGTATCTTAATGAAAGCATTAGTTAATGCTTAATCTTATTCAAATACTTGAAATGTGAGCATTTTCTGAATTAAAGATACATATTCCCAAAAGTATCCTGGTATTTTATACTCAGATTGCAGTCAAAACTTACTTTATATTGTAAGTCACTGTCACTATGAAATAGAATAATTTATAGTGAAATTTCTCATGATAGTTCTAAAGAAGGCTATTCTAATTATTGTTTCATCAAGGAGAGCAGCTTTTTTTCCAAGGCATTTTAGTGTCTCGTGCCTTCTCATGACTCACCAAGTGAAGAATGCAGCAACCATTGGTAGAATGGTTGAAACAGAGGAAGATTTAAAATCTCTCTTATATGACTATCATTAAGAGATCCATTCATGTTTCCAAGTTCAATTCTTCGTGATTAATTCTTTTAAAACCTGCAGTCATATAGAGTAAGACATACAAAGCCACCTTTTTTAAGGCACTGAAACTTACTCCTTGAATTTTTGTATAGTTAAAAAATAGGCATTAGTATAGCTTTTGGTGCAGATTTGAGACAGCAAGTTGTTGATGTGTGTTCTCAGCCCACCCTCCGGTCATGGACACTCAGTCCCAGCCATGAAGCAATATCAACATGCCCTCCTGTAACAGTGTCACCACTCACATGTCATTCCCATTATTACCGATGTCAAGGAAGAGACCGGAGAAGCCCGTTTTATTATAAGCATGAATGATAGCGAGAGATTGGACCTTCCAGGGGCCCTCTGCTGAAATGGGTGATTCAGAGATGCTGTGCGTCATACTTGAAAAAAGACCTAAATTTATTACATTTAATGTTTAATATAAATCACCAAACCTGAATGTGTTATAAAAATGAGCTAAAATGCTGCTTAAGAGACATTATTAAAGAGTCTTAAGTATGGAGCCATTTCTAATTGGTAAAAGTTCACAGATGAACACTTCTTGCAAGTACTCATTTTTAAGAAATATTTCTTCCAGTAAGAAGGCCCTTATTTCAGTGTGAGATATAATCCAAGGGACAAATCTCTTTATGCAAGTATCATCTTTAAGTTCACAGAAGGAATGTCAGTGAAATCTATGACTTAGACTTTATTCCCCCGTTACTTAAATATGAGAAAAAATCAAGTTTAAAAATAATTAAGAATACAATGATACACAGTCCAAGGTAGGGTGCTTGGAATAAAACTGCTATATAAGGCAATACGTGTCAAGAGCCAACTGGCTATTATTACTCCCTCAAAAATTAAAAAAGAATAGTGCAGAAAATTATCTGTGCTGTTTTTATAATCCTGATTAAAGGATATAAACATAGGTAGTTGAAATTAATCTGTGAAAGAATATGCTGTCGTTTCAATTAGAGAAAAGGGAATCCTTTAACTGTCCCCCCTCAACAAAGGCGCCACCTTAAATCAGGCAAGGTTGGCCTCCAAAATGGGACGAGTGCAGTAAACCAATTTTCAGCCACAAAATGTGATTTGCAAAATTGGTTTGAAGTACTGCTGGCTGGATACCACGTCTGCTGGGGAGTGAAATTAAAACTGTCACCCACTCACACAAAGTCCCAATAGCTTGCCGGCCTCTGGTGTGTGCTGGTTCATAACCGCAGCTGCCTTCCCTGTCGGCACAGACACCCCTTTGGGGACTCTGCTCCTTCAGCTTGTTTATTAGAATTCTCAAACTGATACTGGAAAGGTACCTCTGGGTCACAGGGGAGACCTCATCTCTGAGGATGAGGATGAGGATGAGAGAGCCAGGAAAAGCTGATGATGCCACAATAGCCTTTTTTCTTCCTTAAATGGGCCACTCAGGGTTTTCTATTAATTCTTTAACTCGGACATTCCTCACCTCCACCCCCGACCATTTTGATTCCCAAAATCCAGATGCTCAACCGTTCTCATTTCTTTTTTGAAAAGAGACTTCAGGGCCCACAAAAATAAACAATTAGAAGGCTAGGAAGAGAAATATATTTTCTTACAGCTTCAAAAAGCTGTTTTATGGGAATATTTACATTTTTACGTTTTGCTAATTATTTGTTCATTATGTTACGTGTGTTCTTACAATGGATACACTTTATTAAAACAGCTCATTATAATCATTTTTTGAAAGCAAATATTTACCAAATACCTACTATCTAGCTAGGTACTGCAGAGAATGCAGAATGCAGAAAAGGTTAAGAGACGGCCCTTACCTTATTCTTTCTGGTTGGGAAAAGCTTATTTTTTTCTGATTGGGAAGATGAGTTTAAAATTCATTTAAAAAACAGAAAAAGTAAGATAATTTGACGTGATGTGTCAGTGCAAGAATCTATATAATAATGACATAGATTTTGACTTCATACAGTTAAATCACTAATTATTATGTGATAGCAAAATCTGGATATATCATGGTCAGCTTGAAAGGTTGGCTTTGGGCCAGTCCATTTTGACACCACCAATACCTTGATACCATTTTTTCTCATGATTCTATTTTTATCATTCATTCTTATGATTCTGGCTTATATTACTTTATCTTGTAAGGATACATGTTTTATTTATGTTTCATAGTAGATATACCTTCATTTGCTTGTGTACTTCGCCAATAATTTAACTATAGCTTTCTGTACAGGTGCCAAGGTGATTGTAGGGTTATAGATGTGTCTGTCGTAACTTCTTAAATGTCACAAACATGTGCAAGAGAACGGTCTTTCTTTTTTGGGGGGGATCTTGTTCTTTAAATGTGCATGGTCATGGTATTGACAAGGGATATAAACCTCTTGCTTTGGATGACATGATATTAATGAAACTCTAGTTACCACATTGTTATTTGGAATTGACACACAGAAGCTTACCTGATCTAATGCACTCGTAACACTGTCAATGTAAAGAGAGGATAGTGAGAGGAGTGGAGTCTGTGGGGAAATCAATTCCTGGGGCAGATGTTGCAGCTTATCAGTGGAAGAGTAGTTGCTCAGGGGCCAATGAGCAGGGCCCTTGTGAATATCCCTGGTGAGAGACAGGCTACAAGTAGCTAAAGAGTGGATACACACTGATACAGAGCCAATCCAGTGAGGCGAGCTCCATATTTACTCCAACAAAGCAGAAAAATTAGGTATATGCCTGCAGCCTAAACTGCTTTCCATCAGCAGTATTCTTATCAATGTTCCAGAAATAAATGTTATAGAAGAGTTCATAAAATACGGAAACAACTTTCTTTGGAAAGCAATGGGTAGTTCTGAATCAATCCACAAGACAGGCCAAATACTCAGGAAGTTACTTTGGTAGCTTTAAAAACCAACTGCATTGAACCATCTGATGAGAGCAGGGAGACTTGAACACTCTTGGAGACACTGTTAACCTAAGTGAAGATCCCTTTAAAAAAATATTCCTACTGTCTTTGTCATCACAGGAAAAGAAAAAAACATTGCCAAGCGTAATTCATTTTTAAGCTATCCTTGAGAAATAGTTAAATACATGTTACCCATGTACTCTTTCAGTCTTTGCTTTTTATTTTTTGTTCTGTAGTTTGGCCCATATGGGATTTGAATATAAAATCCATGTACATTTGCTTTCTCTTTTATAATTCACCTATCACCCGCAGTGCATCAAATCCTCTGAATTATTTAAAGTATTTTCCCATTTCCTACCACACTTTTAAGGTTAAAAAATGAAGGAAAATATTTTCCTCAAGCACTTGCTTCTCTTGGCCCTGATGGACATTGTTTTCATTTGGTTGGTTTTTGAAACAGCAAACAGGATACTAAAAAATATACTCAAGTCCTAGTTAATGCACTAAGACAAGAAAAAGAAATAGAAGGTATACAGATTGGAAAGAAAAAAAAACTGTCTTCATTTGCAGGTGACATGATCATCTAGGTAGAAAATCTGAAAGAACTGACACACACACAAAAAACCCTCCTGGAATTAATAAGCAATTATAGCAAGGTTGCAGAAGACAAAATTAATATACAAAAGTCAATCATTTTCGTATACACTGGTAATGAACAAGTGCAATTAAAATTAGAAACACAATACCATTTATATAAGCCCCCCTCAAAAATGAAATACTTAGGTATAAAGCTAACAAAATATTTATAACATCTAAGGAAAATTACGAAATTCTGATGAAAGAAATCAAAGAAGACCTAAATAAATGGAGAGACATTCCATGTTTATGGATGGAAGACTCAATACTCTCAAGATGTCAGTTCTTCCCAACTTGATCTACAGATTCAATGCAATCCCAATCAAAAACAGAGAAAGTCTTTTTTGGATATTTACAAACTGATGCTAAAGTTTATATGCAGAGGGAAAAGACCAAGAAGAGTAAACCAAATATTGAAGGAGAAGAATAAACTTAGAGAACCGATAATAGCCAACTTTAAGATTTACTATAAAGCTACACTAATCATGACACTGTGGTATTGGTGAAAGAATAGACAAAGAGATCAATGGAACAGAATAGGAAGTCCGGAAGTAGACCCATTTTAGCATAGTCAACTGACCTTTGACAAAGCACCAAAGGCAATACAATGGAGAAGAGATCGTCTTTTCAACAAAGGATGCTGGAACAACTGGACATCCACATGCAAAAAATGAATCTAGACACAGACCTTATGCCCTTCACAAAAATTAACTCAAAATGACTCACAGATCTAAATTTAAAATGTGAAACCATAAAACTCCTAGAAGATAAAATAGGAGAAAACCTAGATGACCTTGGGCATGGTGATGACTTTTTAGATACATCAAAGTCACAATCCATGAAAAAAAAAAAAGCCACCAATTGGCAGAAAATATTTGCAAAAGACACATCTGTTAAAGGACTGTTATCAAAATATACATAGAATGTGAAAACTCAACAGTAAGAAAACAAACTCAATTACAAAATGGGCCAAAGACCTTAACAGACACCTCATCAAAGAAGATATACACATGGCAAATCAGTATATGAAAAGATACTCTGCATCATACGTCATCAAGGAAATGCAAATTAAAACAACAATGAAATACTACTACATACCTATTAGGATGGCCACAATTAGAAATACTGACAACACCAAATGCTGACAAGGATGTGGAGCAACAGGAACTCTCACTCATTGCTTGTGGGAATTCAAAATGGTACAGCCACTTTGGAAGATAGTTTGGTGCTTTCCTGCAAAACTAAACATTGTCTCGCCACTTGATCCAGCAGTCATGTTCCTTGGTATTTACCCAAAAGAGCTGAAAACTTATGTCCACAAGAAAACCTGCCCATACACGTTTACAGCATCTTTATTCATAATGGTCAAAACCTGGAGGCAACCAAGATGTCCTTTAGTAAGTGAATGAATCAACTGTGCCACAACCAAACACTGGAATATTATTCAGCCTTAGAAAGAAATGAGCTATCAAGCCATGAAAAAGCATGGAGGAAACTTAAATGCATATTATAAAGTGAAAGAAGCCAATCTGAAAAGGCTACATACTGTGTGATTCCAAGCATATGACATACTAAAAGTTAGAACTATGAAGACAGCAAAAAGATCAATAGTAGCTAGGGGTAATGGTGTGGAGTGGGGTATGACTAGGAAGAGCACTTAAGATTTTTAGGGCAGTAAAAACACTTTGCATGATACTATAATGATACATACATGTCATTATACACTTGTCCAAACCCACAGAATGAACAACACCGAGAGAGCGCTAATGTAAACTATGGGCTTTGGGTGATTATGATGTGTCAATGCAGGGTCATCAGATGTAACAGTTTTACCACTGCAGTTGGGAATGTTGGTAATGAGGGAAGTTACGCATGTGTTGAGGTGGCAGGTTTATGAGAAATCTGTGTACCTTCCTCTAAAATTTGGTGTGAACCTGAAACTGCACTAAAAACAGTGTGTATGTGTATCTATCTATATTGTATATATATGATATATATGTGTGTGTATAATATATATATACCTTACATGAAAATATATTTTTATATATAGTGTACGCGTGTGTGTGTGTGTGTGTGTGTGTGTGTGTCTATTTAAATGTGTATATAATGTATTTTGATGTGGATCATGCCTTGCTTTGCTAGAGCAATGGCTTTCTCTCCTCATCCAGTAAGGGAGCTTATGAGATGGGTCCCTGACAAAGGATACGATGAACCTTTCTGTGGAGGACAGATGAAGCCACAGCTTGTAGGCTTCTAGTCTGTAAATTCTGTCTTTGGTATGACTTCTTTCTTTCTTTCTTTTTTTTTTTTTTTTTTACTCCTCAGTGACTTCCCCATTGCAGCTTCTATAAGTCCCCATGTCTCCTTACCTTCTTTCCCCATCTCCTTGTCAACACAGAAAAGAATAAGATATTCTCACATGCATCTTAGCCCAGGAATTCTCATTTTTGAACTCTTTAACTGTGAAGGGAAGGGCTTTGTCTCCTGCTAAATGTTCAGGCAGCATGTTACAATGAAGTGAAGTTGCCCCCCCACTGGAGTGCTAAGTCAGTGAGTCTTTATTGATTCCTGTAAATGCTAGAAAACGGGGGTTTTACTGCTAGAAATGACACAAACAAGCGCTGTTGGTATAGATCTTTCCGGAATTATTCTAGAGGAGCCATTGTCACTATGGTGTATGGTGGAAACCTGTTAACAAACACGTCCAGCTGCAGCCCGTGGATAACAATGCTTACATGGGCATAGCCACACAGATGGCGTAGCATAGATGGCATAGTTCATGGCCATCTACCTGGAAATCTCTTCCTGAAACCATGATGCAACTGGCACCAGGATGACATCTTGACTTGCAAATAATATTAAGTGACATGTTTTGTCTTGTTCGTTGTCTGCCTGTGGTAAATTATGTTTAGGCAATCTACAAACTTTCGACTCTTTTAATTTTATGCTTTTCACATTCCTGAAGAATGAGGTTCTCACCAGGAAGTTGCCACAAGGTTACTGGTTTAGTAAACTTTGATTTCAATGTTCTTTCTAAAAATGACTTTTGCTGCACATAGTATATAAAACTGTAATTGTGGTTTCTAAAATTTTGAAATAAGTGTTTTATCTTTAAGGACATTTTTGCTATTCTGCGGTGAAGCTGTCAACACCTTTTAATATATAAGGATTTCTTCTTTTTCCTCCAATATATAATTTCTTCCATATTTTCAGATACTGACATCATCTAAGTCAATTTGTTGGCACGTTTCACTCCATACCATAGAGAGAAGCCACGGTATGGATTTTAAGTGCCGACAGAGAAAGAACTGTTAACTTGTCTAGTCTGCAACCTGTGCAGTTTTCTACTTCTCACAAAGAGTATAAATTTCCTGATATTCATATCAATGATCGATGTTTTATTAACTATAGATATTCCTTGTAAAAAAAAGTTGGCTTTTTAAAGAGATGACTATTTCCAGTTTGTTTCCCATCAATTTAATACTCTTGATGGTGATCAATGATAGAACCTCAGTTTGGAGGCACCTGCATCTTTGAAATCTTTTCCTTTGGCACAAAAATCAAACAAAGCAAAATACTCTTCCAAGGATTCAGTTTAAATTCTAGGAATTATGTAGTCTTAAAATCTCAGTTTCCTTTTCATACATACTTTTCAAATCTCATGAGGTGGTTGCCATGGATGACTTTGAGTTCTCTATGTGCCATCCATTGGAACCATGCTCTGGAGCCCAGAATTGTCACCACTCTGCCTTTCCACCCAGCCTTACACCCATCCTTCCTCATCTATGAGGAGAATGGCACCTCCAGCCACCCAGTTGTTCCAGCCTGGCTCCAGAGTTTTCTCTGGCACCAGTCTTTCTCTTGATGCCCACATCTAATCAGGCATCAAACAGGTCAGCTCAGCTCCTTCACAGGCCTCTCTTCCCTTCCTGCCCTTCCCCACTGATATGGCTTGGTTGTATGTCCCCACCCAAATCTCATCTTGAACTATAGTTTCCATAATCCCCACGTCATGGTAGGGAACCGGTGGGAGGTAGTCGAATCATGGGGGTGGTTACCTCCGTGCTGTTCTTGTGATAGTGAGTGAGTTCTCATGAGATCTGATGGTTTTATAAGGGGCTTTTCTCCTGCTTCGCTCTTCACTTCTTGCTGCTGCCATGTGAAGAAGGATCTGTTTGCTTCCCCTCTACCATGACTGTAAGTTTCCTGAGGCCTCCCTAGCCATGCTGAACTGTGAGTCAATTAAACCTCTTTCCTTTATAAATTACCCAGTCTTGGGTATTATTTTATTAGCAGCATGAAAATGGACTAATACACCCACTTATGTCCTCATTTCAGGCTTTCAGCATCTTTTGTAGGGACCACATAAACAGTTTCACAATGCCCTTCCTGATTGTAGTCTTGTCTCTCCAATTTATTTATTTAGGAGATGGGGTTCTCCCTCTGTTGTCCAGGCTGGAGTGCAATGGCATGATCTCAGCTCACTGCAACCTCCACCTTCTGGGTTCAAGCAATTCTCCTCCCTCAGCCTCCCGAGTAACTGGGACTACAGGTGCCCACCACTATGCCCGGCTAATTTTTTGTATTTTAGTAGAGATGAGGTTTCACCATGTTGTTTGGGGTGGTCTCAAACTCCTGAGCTCAGGCAATCCGCCTGCCTTGGCCTCCCAAAGTGCTGGGATTACAGGCGTGCACCACCGCACCCGGCCTGTCTCTCCAATTTATTTTCCATGAAATTATCAAGGGGCTTTCTCTACAGTGCAAATCTGATTAAACCATTTCTTTCTTTAAACACCTTCAAGGGCCTGAGGCCTTCTGGGTAGAGTCAAAGTCCCTAGCGTGTTGTATAAAGTGCTACACATCTTGCCACTTCTTCAAATTCCATTTATGCATATAAAATTTTAGCACTTATTCTACTTGACTGAAATAATCTATAATTTGTCATTCTTCTACTCTCTTCCCAAGGTACCAGAGACTGAAAATCCCTAGAGATAAGAACTGTGTTTTATGGAAGAATACTTCCTCAGTGCTGGCTATATAGTAGTATTTATGTAAAAGTTTACTGAATGAATGAATCAATAAATGAAGACTCAACTCTCTACCTTCATGCTCATAGAACTTCAGAACAATAAACAAAATAACTCCACAGCTCGACTGCTCCAATTTCCCATGCTCACCTGAGCTGCCCAGTTAACACAAATCATGTGTTTAGTTTCTTTCATCTGAGTCTACCTTGTCTCCATCTTTTCTCTGCCCAGCTTCAGCCAGATTCCCTGTAACTTTCTTCCTATGCATAAAGTGCACTAAATCGAACTCTAATCTTCTTAAAGAGTTAATGTGCCTCCCTAAATGCCTAATTTACTGCCAGAGAGTGACTTAGGCACTGGGGAGAATCTGGCTCATTATTTAATAGCCAATAAGGCCAGCTGTTTCATTTCAAGAAATTAATGGTCTTTAAAACCTTTCCATATTGTACCAACTGCTCTTCTCGATGGAGAGCCAAGTGACTTTTATTAGTAAGGTTGATAAAAGCCAAACCCTGTTAGTCCTGCTCTAGCCTTCTTCATAATACCAACAGAGTCTTCTGGGACATCTGGTTATTTTTGTTTTACTCTCCCTGTTGATTCTTTGAGATATTTTCTTTGCTGGATTTTCTTTGCTTGCTCCCTTGGAGACTGCAAAAGGTGGTCCAACAGCTGCACTCCGTGGCCTGACGGCTTGACCCCCGGCCTTCTTGACTTCTTAAGTAAGAATGCCTTTCAGCATTAAGCCTAATTTGGCCAAGACAGTGAGCAGCTTGTTACTTTCAGGTTAGCTCATTCCATCTTCAGCCACCTGAAGTTACTCATATGTAAAAAAAATTTCACATGCAGAGGATGTTTTATGTAACCATCTTTCGCTTATTAATATCCCACCATTAGGCAAAAAGGTCAAGAAAGGGCTAGATTAGGCCACAAATCCATATTATGAGACAAAGATATAGCGGCCTTTAAATTTTTAGCCATTGATCAGTATTTTATTTGAGGACATTTGGCTGTTAAGAATAAGAATGAATAAAACACATTTGCCCTCCACCAGCAGCTAAAGTCTCTATGCTTTTCAAATATCAACTGTTGCTAGTGGCAGACGAACAGCTATATTCCAATATCCTACATATAGAAAATGGATTATTTATCTAAATTATATATGGTGGAGTGGCTATGGTTTAATATTAATATTTTACTTCCTTTGGATTTCCTGTGGTTTTATGCTGCTATAATTTATGGTGGGATCAGCATAGTACTTTTGGCTGTGATGAAGGTTGTTGTCTGCTTATTCTCACGAGTGCCTCCTCTCCCTCTCTACTTTCTGCGGATGAGAACAGGATGTTATTTTTCCAAAGCTGGGAAGATAGCAGAATGTGTAAATCCTTCTTTAGGTAGCACGGGTGAACACATACGTCTGGTCTCTAAAGCTTAACCAGGTTCTGTATTTCACATTGTGGTGCAATGGGTGGGAGCGAGGAGGATGAGTTTGATGCCATTCAACCTGCTTTGTGGGATTTCTATGCTGGGAAGGTTTTGTTCTCTTTAAAAGCAGACCAAAAGGCAGCATCCAGAATGGAAATATATATACACACTGTGCTGTGTGGAGCTGAAAGTTAGACCATAATAAGGTTTCTTGCGAAAACTATTAAATTCACTCTGATATTGAAGATACCCTTCACACAATAAACTACTGTATGGGTATTTTCTTCTCATAAGTTTTTACGAATGAAATAATCTCTGTGAAGGCATTGCTATTCTGTGAAGAAAATACCAGTCACATAGGAACTATAATGTGAGGATTTAAAAAATGACCCCTTTAAGAAGGGTTTACAGTGAATCCCTTAATTCAGTCAGTTTTCATTTTATTGGGTTACAAAATTCTCACTCACCCTTTCCCCCAGGAATATGTACAAAATATTATTCATAAACTGGCATGTAACTTCAGAGAATTTGAGGGTCCCTTGAAACTAATCACTGTCAATTTAGATATGCACAGATCCCAGATTAAGAACCGCTCCTCTCATAGTTCCTTTCGGCTTAGCCAAATTGACACACAATCTCAGGACAAGTCTCCTTCCAGCAAAACTGCATCTTTTTATCATAGAAATTAAAAGGCAACTCCCAATGTTATACATGGTTTCTCTGAGGAGCATGCTTAGAGTTCTGATCACCTAGATCTGAGGAACACAGGAAGGCATGCTCTAGGAGATGAGGGGTGTGTGTGTCAGTTCAACAGGCATGCCTTGCTAACACGGCAGAGGCTTCCAGCAGCTGGCAGAGCATCAAGGAGAAGAGCATATATTTTGCAAGAAGAAGTACCATTTTGAGAAAAAAGCCCAATTGGATGATCTTGACTATTCCCAGAACACTGAATACCTGGTGTTGTATCACATTCCAAGAACACAGGTCAGAATGCTTCAGGACACTTAGTATCCTGACATAGGGCATAATATCAGTGAGAGCAAGATGTAAATTGATTCTGGTTGACATGTGCCAATGAACTACACAGACATCTTCCACAATATTTGTCTAAAGCCATTCAGCATGGGTGTCTAGACCACCATGTGTTTTTTAGTTATAACAATATCACAGTCAGTTGATATTGCTTGAAACTATATTACAAAATCACATTACTACTTAAAATGACATGGATGTTCAAAGCATTCCTGCTGTAGAAGTGCCAAAATAATCAAATAATTAGAAGAAAGTATGGATATTTCATAATGAGAGATAACCTTTTGCATATAAAAGCAAAAAATTATAAGGCAAAAGATGAAAGATTTAACATATAAAAATTATAGATTTATATTACCATAAAGATAGCTTAAGTTAAACTAAAATAATTTTAAATATGTCAAAGTGTTAATGCCCTTAATATATGAAGGGCTCTAGGAAATCAAGAAGACAGAGATAAACACCTAGACAGAAATGACATGCAAACAGATAAGCTACAACAAACTAAAAAAAAAAAGGATTCTAATAAACATGAGAAAAATTAAACCTCGCTGAGAGTAAACGAATTACAAATTAAAACAGTTTGTGATCATAATCGTTACTTTTTAACCTATTAAATTGACATAGGTTTTCAAAAATGATTTATAGTCAGTGCTGGTGGGGGTGTAAATTGGTACAACCTTTTTGGAGGTCAATCTGGCAATATACATCAGAAACTTTAAAAATATTCACATTCTTTGACCTGGTAATTACATGCTAGGAATTTATCCTGTAGCCTGTTTGACTTATGACACATACTTTTTGTTCTAAGAAGGTGAGCCTAAGCATCTTAATTGAACTGGATGTGACTGATCCAGTTTTACAGGCTTCATAGATACAGCGCTAGTGTCTTAGCATGAAGGCCTGAGGCTAAGGTGAGACTGTGGAGACCATGGAAGACACACGACCAGGGCCATCTGACGAATCCCTGAGTTTGGCCAAGTTTTTATTGTTCATAATTGAAGCAAAGATGACATGTTGAAATCCATGTAGAACTTTACCTCGCCTGTGTGTATAGCCACGATCCTAGGTAAAGCCACAGCACACACTCAAACCATCATTGTTCATTAATGGGCATTTTTGAGTCAGGCAACTCAGTACCAAGTTTAATTTTTCCAGAGGCTTTCCTAATCCCAGGAGTGTCCCAGAGGTGCTGCTGTATTTCAGTGATGTTCTGAGCATGGGCTTGACAGAAAATGAACTTGTCAAAGACCTTACATCATTTTGATGTATTGCATATTTGAGTGAAACAAAGAGAAACTGGAAGTATCTTCTTCTAGAGTTATTCTCTTGGGTTGCTCTGTTGGTGCTATTGGCATTCACTGTGTTCCGTACAAGACATGACCAATTCACAGAGCACCTACTCCAATAATAAAGTGAAGGCATCAGGATTGTCTGGGGCATCTTACTAATCTCATATGTTTTCTCTCACGAAAGGCAACCACAACTGATCTGCTTTGAACCCTGAGCCTTCACACTTCCTTAGTTGTGGCAGCAGACTGCCCCCACACCCCCATCACTGCAGCACTTCTGTCCACTACGGTCCTTATCCAAGCATCTGTGCTGCCTGGCTTGAGGCTTCTGTTACCAGTGCACTGGACAGGAAGAAGTGCTGGGGAGTTGATATCTTAGGAACAACTCTTAACCAATGACAAATGGGACCAAAAGTTAAGTACCTCAACATGCTTGCCCCCAGGTGGGGCAAGGTGTGAGTGTCTTCCCTACCATCTCCAGAAGACCCCAGCCCTCCTTCCCTCTTGCCTGCAGTGGTAATCTGTTCATTAATGTGCTCTGTACTGGCTTTCTTCCTTTTCCTTCCTCACTCCGCTTCCAATGCTTCCTGGGATCGCTTCTCAAATAAAATCACTTGCTCTCAAATCCCTGTCTCAGAGTCTTCTTCTCGGGGGTGGGGAGAAGCCCTGCCTAGGACACCAAAATGAGGACTTTTTAAACTTTTGAATTGATACTGGAAAATTATGAGAATGTCCACTATTCCTTGTTACTGTTATTGCTAGTACAACACTAGTACAGGCCGGGCGCGGTGGCTCATGCCTGTAATCCCAGCACTTTGGGAGGCCGAGGCGGGTGGATCATGAGGTCAGGAGATCGAGACCATCCTGGCTAACATGGTGAAACCCTGTCTCCACTAAAAATACAAAAAAAAAAAAAATTAACCGGGCATGGTGGCAGGCACCTGTAGTCCCAGCTACTTGGGAGGCTGAGGCAGGAGAATGGTGTGAACCTGGGAGGCGGAGCTTGCAGTGAGCCGAGATCGTGCCACTGCACTCCATCCTGGGCGACAGAGCAAGACTCCATCTCAAAAAAAAAAAAAAAAAAAAAAAAAAAACAAGGAATGTTCTATATTCTTTATCCAAATTCATCAATTCTTTACATTTTGTCCCATTCATTATTTTTTTCCATTCTGTTCCCTTCCTCTCTATCCTCCCTCTTTCTCTCTCTATACATACATACATATTATTAAATATACACACTGATACTTCCTGAGCCATTTGAGAGTAAATTGGATACTTGTTCCTCTTTACCCTTTAATATTTTAGTGCATATTTCTGAACAAATTTATTCTGTTTTATAAGCTCAGTACAGATATCAAAACAGTTTCCACCGTTTCTTCTTACCCTCATCCTTATGCTTCATGGAGTCAGAGCTACGCTTAGTCACAGAATGCCAGATGACATTAAGTCACCAATTCTTCCTACTTGAGAAAAATATTATTTCCAGAATGAAATTACAAAGACAGTGATAGATAAGCCTTTGCTGTCGATCTAAGCAGTGAAGGCATGTCACAGCCACAGAAGGATGCCCAGGTTTTTGCAGTCTGCACTGTCGACCTGCCTTTATTTGTACTTTCTGAGTATGCGACTCTGTGGTTTATTACATCATCACCCCTGATATGCCCTGGGGTCTTTTGCTCAGTTTTCATGAATACACATTTGCTTAATATCCTGGATCAGCCATTGCAATTCCCATCCATGTCGAGACATCTCTAGGGCACATTTCAGTGGTCTCCTTTTGGAAGTCTGAAAGGTACCTCAAATCTAACATGTCCCAAAGCTTAACCATGATCTCTCCCTGCCAAACCTAGTCCTCTCTTTGCCTTGTCTCCTGGGAAGTGGGACCAGCACCCATGCTGCTGTGTGTGGATCCATTCTTAACACCTGGCTTCACTTACCCTTCAAACCCCCACATGCAATCCATCATCAAGGTTCATCAGCTCCTCCCACTTCTCTCCGATTCTGCTTTCATCACCATCACCCTGGTACATACTATCAACATCTGTCCCTGGAATGACAGCAAAATCCTCTAACTGGTCTGCTTCACTCCAGCATCTCTCCTAACAATTCTCTACCTTGCAGCTAGACAAACATTCTGGATCACAAATCCAACCATATCATCTTTCTGCTTAAAACCCCGCAAAGGTTTCTAGTCTTTGAGTAAGTTCAGATGTCCTTCACTTGACCACTCATGGTCTGACTGCTACCTCCCTTTCCTGCTCAACTCCCACAGTCTTTGTTCCAGTCACACACCTTTCTTTCAGTCTGTTCATTACGTGTTCTCCTACACAAGGCCTCTGCGTGTGCTGTTCTCTTTCTGGAATATTCCTTATTTATTGTCTTAAACCTCCTTCAGATCATAACTCATGTCTCCCTCCCTTCTTGATTTGGTGCAATTTCACATTCTATTTTCTTGGATCACATATCTCTCCTTTTTTTTTTTTTTTTTGTAATGGGCAGAGTTACAATTTTATGTTTTCTTTGTGACTGCTGAATTACTATCTTCTCCACTAGAGTATAAACTTCACAGGACAGAAACTGTGTCTATGGGGCTTATCACGCTATCCTCAGGGCCTACAGAGTGTATTGCACTTAGTAGGTCATGAATAAATAGTTGTTAAATGCAGGAATATGGAGAGTAGATGACTTTCCTAGCTCATCTGTTCAGGCTAATAAGTTGCACACATTGCTCTGACTGAACTGTTTCATTTTTTAAAAAATTGGATAAGAAAGAAGTAACCAGAAAAAGGACAAACTGAGGAATTCAAGTTGTTGACAAGATGGTAACATAAGTGACTTGTCTATAACCGACCCACAGAAGGCAGAGTCTTCACATTATCTTGGCCACATTACAGATACCACATCCAGAAATCACTCCTATAAAACACTGGCTAGAAACTGTCTTATATATGGACCTGATTTTGATGTTGGACAAAGCTGTAAAAGGGTGTTTGTTGCACATTTAACATAAATTGTCAAAGGCACCGACATATCAATGGAAAGTGACCAAGAAGCTTGATACCAACTCCATCCTGATTTTATATGACTGTTTCCAGGAAAAAAACTTCACTGTGGCAAATTCCTTCTCCAAATAGCTCAACATGCTTATTTTCC
Organism: Homo sapiens; assembly: GCF_000001405.40. NCBI lineage: Eukaryota > Metazoa > Chordata > Mammalia > Primates > Hominidae > Homo > Homo sapiens. The sequence goes on along the minus strand of NC_000002.12, from coordinate 205,565,245 downwards.
ATCTTAAACCTCTGCTGTAACAATTATAGATCTTTCCAGTGCCTTGTAAAACCCGGGCTGTCAGACACTATCATTTCTGGAAAAGGGTCTGTGTTTGCCTCAGCCACATGTAAGCAGTTAGTGGGCAGAAGTCTTATCTGGGCAGTCACCACTCTGTCTTCACTTTCAAGCAATGACCAAGTTGAAAGGGTACTAATGATGTCCCAGAGTGTACTGTTGGTGGAGAATGGCGCGTGAGAATTGCCAGGTTCCTACCTATTTAACATGTCATTCCATGTTCGGCCATAAGGGTCAGTTCTGATTGCAGAGTGGGGCAACCCTCTGGTGAGACAAGCCCTGGTCACTTCTGTCTAGGCTTAATGAGAGACTTGGAATAGAAGCAGGAACACGTTCTGGAGGCTGCTGTTTTTGTACCAACCCCTCTCACATTTGTACCACAAATGTTTGCCTTTGCTGGAAATAATGGAGCTGGACCAAGGTGTTTCTTGGCAGAATGATCGAGGTCGTGGGGCCTGTGTCACATGAGATCCAGGGCACAGATGGGCTCGGGTGGCACCACCATAGTAACTGACTGCCAAAGCTCTCTTCTCTGGACTTGAAGCAGCAGAGTCAGTAGAAGCGATGCTTCCGCAGTTGTCTGGCATTTGCGTCTCAGCCATGTCCCCTAAGGATGTGCCAGAACTACACTGTGAAAGAACCAACAATAGTTTCCTGGCTACAAAAATTGCTGAAGTGGAACCAACTGGTTTATATGTATATATATTTAACTCACTAGCATAACACAGAGGCAGTCTTTAAGCAAAAAAGCACCATTTAAAATATTTTGGCTGGAAGGAAGTGGGTGTTTGAATTTGCTAAGAGGAGTTCTGTGATTCAGTGGTTGCTGTTCTTAGTCATTCTGAAAGCCTATAAGGGGTTTATCCATTGAAATGCTCATTTTAATATACACTGCAGTGATTTAGGGTGGGATCAGAGCAGTGAGGGCTGCCTCAGGAAAGGATGGTCACGTAATGTGTCTCTCCTACCTGTTTACAACCAGCCTAGTACCAGACACCTTGATGCTGCAGAAAGCCCAGAAATTTCAGATGCAGAAAATACTGAACTGACTCCAAAACCTGTCACTAGTTCTGTGTGCAATCTTAGCCACACCTGTTTGCATCTCCCAGTCTCAGTTTCTTCATCCATAAAATAGGGATGATAATATTTATATCAGGATTGTTACAGGAAATAAATGAGGTGACATATTTAAAGTACTTGCCAGAGTTCTTGGAGCACAATACGGGCTCAACAAATGTTAACTCCTTCCCCTTGCCTTGTTCTGAGTGTTCTGTGGAGGAGTGGTGCAGAGTGCAATCTAGGGGCTGGGGACCTGGTCCATGCACATGGTCTGTGCAGCCCTAGGGGGCGCCACTCACATCTCTGTGTATGTTCCCAACAGGAACAGGGTAATTGTAAGGAAAAGGCAGGTATCTTGTTTCTACTTTGGGAAAACTTACAGTGATAAAAGAAGAAAAAGTGTGTGATTCAAAAGTGTTTTTCTTTATTTCCCATAAATTCCCTACTATTTTCTTGTATTTTATTACTTTTTTTTTTTACAACCCGTAGGTTTTGACATTTTCTATTTTCTCTGGAACCTTAAAAGATGTTCACAATGAACATGGGCTATTCTTCATATGGTCTAAGATATCTCCCATCTCATGAACTCACATTACTTATGAAAACAGATGATGTAAGCATTCCAACCTCTCCTTGACTTGCCAATGTTAGTCATGTGGGGTCAAGTGAAATTAAAAAGGCCTTGGAAACCAGAGAGTCCTGGGTTTGAATTCTGATTCTGATTCTGTGACTTCAAGGATACATTTTTTTCTTTTATTAAAGGAGCATCATATGACTCCTAGCCAGCTGGACAGTGAGGATAAAATGAGACAAGGCATGCAAAACGTACAGACATAGAAGGCACGCAATAGGTTTTACAACCTCTCCCTTGCCTTGATTGTTCTTAGTTTTATTTTCTATTTAAATACAATCAACTAGTTTAGGAATAAACATGACATCTTTGAAACAATTTGCATGCAGATCTTGGTATATAAAAATGGAAAATAAGACTAGTGATTTTACTGTTAATTACTCCTGTTGAATAATATCATGTATTCATGCATTTGGTGAGGCACTAACTTTTTATCCAAGATGGTTATGTATTTCAGTGATATAATGTCATTTTAAATAATCATAAAGCACAGGCCTCACAAACATACAAATCAGATGTTATAATAAATTAATACACTTCATTTATTCATAATGTCTCTGTCTATAGTAGGTTGATACTAAGATACCTATACACAGCAAACCCAGGAACTTGAATCAAGGGACAGTGCAAATGGCTGGAGTCAGAGAAGACAGGAGGAGGTAGGTGCAGAAAGACAGTGTGCATCATGCAAAACGGTACAGCATTATCAAGAAAATCACCACCATAATTCCAGGGCAATGAGCATTAGGAGGCAGATGGTGGAATGGCAATAAGATAGGAAAACATCAAGAACTACCAAAGATTATGAGAAATGAGATATAGAGCAATACTCTAAGCAGATGCCTAGGCACAAAACAACCTTCTTTTCTTTTGGCTGGAGAAGTAGGAAATAAATGCTAAAATTCCCTTTAATATGTGCAGGAGGGAAAACATGCAAGTCAGCTTACCAAGCTTAATAGATTTCATGTCCAAGGTAATGTCAGATTTGGCACTCTCGAAAGAGCAGGCACATACTCTTCCTCTCAAAAGAGTACTTAGCCAACAAATGTGTAGCAGTTTGGAATTTTCTATGGAAAATGAGGGAAAAAGTAAAAAACCTATAGAATTTAATGTATGTGGTTCATCAAGATTCAGTTAAAACTACTTTGGGGACATCACTACTGTATGAGTCTTAACATGTTTTAAATCACTAATATTCTAACTAAACTCATAATGGAGGCCTTTGACTGAATAATTAATATCAAATATTCTAACTGGCATCAAGGATATATTGGCTACGAGGAAATGATGAAAAGTTTGATTAAAATGGACTTTTATCTGAGGAACTAAGTGACATAAAAATGAGGTGGCAGTAGCATTAACCCCCTGATCTCAGCTGTTTGGCATCTTAAAGTGATATTACATGCTGGGGCTTTCTGCATTTTCAGGAAGTTTGAGTTGACAATGGAGACATCTTAATCTCACAAAGAATTAAATCGCTGCTAATTCATCATTTTGTCCTTGGCCTTAAGACTGAGGTGGTATCAGGGGGCCATTCAAACAGACAGCTGATCCTACTGGGAAGGGGAAGTAGAGACTAGATTTTCAGCACAGGGAACCTTAAGAGAAAGGATGAAAAAGCTTAATTTGGTGGGGTAAAAGAGCTTCACTGATTTTCAAAAGGCAGTAAACCCCGTCATATGCAGATGTGGAAGATATGACCTAGACAAGTTCTTCAGCTCATCTTAGTATTCCTGCAAAGTCAGAGCAGCAATCTTAGGGACAAACACTGCAAGGTAGCTTTTCACAGTGAGGAAGGTTCTTCGGATAGGGTTGCACCACCAGGGAAGTGTCAAAGCCACTGGCCATGATTCACAGTGTCTATTAATAAATGAAGTGTGACACCCTCAAACTCTGGTAGAACATTCCAACCGCCGGCATGACTGCGGGGAGCAGTACATATATGCTCATGAAGCATCTTATTTGACAAGCTGGCCTTGTCGCACAGAGAAGTACTTGTTGTACAGAGAAGTTGGGCAGCATGGAGACTTTGTCAGCTTTTACAGACCCAGACAGTCAAACCTCTACCCACACCCAGACAAGCACTCACACACCTGTTTACCTAATGTTCTGATTCTCAACTTTTCATTGAACTCTTTGGATTACTATCTAGATTAGCTTCAGCCAACGCCCAGTACTGTGGCATTGCTGGAAATCTGCAGAACTTGAATGTCACCGCCAGTGACTTAGTGAGCACAATAAAATAGTGCAATGCCGGCAAAGGAAAATTCAGTAACAGTGAATGAAGCAGAAGTTCATTGTAGAAGAGAACAAGAGAAATCTGAGAGGGAGAGCATCTTTAAGAAGTGAGGTAAATGACAGAAAAGGATGTTGAGGACACCCAGACAAAATACTTTTGGGATAACCAAAGATAGTAGACAGCATGCTTGTTGCAAGTTTCAAAGTTACCTGCGCACTTGTGATTGGACTCTTCCTGATGGGCATAAGTAGACGAGAAGACTGAGACCAATAAAATGAACCAACTGAAACATTAAAGTGGAAGCATGCTCTTATGGCGTATTTCTTCTGAAACGAACACAATCGTACCCAATGCGGAAACACCGGGAATGTACTTAGAAAGCAAATTCATTATGGGTTCCTAGGAAGCAAGCATTAGCTGCTTGCTCCTTCTAAAGTTGCTCTTTCTATCCACACTCAGCTCCAGTATATTGCTTCCCATTGCGCAGCCAAGTTGAAAGCTGCTTGAGATATTCAGAGAGACCTTTTTTTCTCCCAAGTAACTTATGTAACATGGATTACAGAAACATCAAGGACTGGAGGCGAACGTGGCCCAAGCAGGCCTTTGTCCCTCATCAGCCTCAGGAAAGGGAGTCTTTCTCTCCACAGGACTGCTCATGCAGCACTCCACCAGGAAATTTACTGTCACCTTTTTTCTTCCAGGGAGATATTATTTCTAATCTTAAGGAACTACAGTACCAATTTGCAGACACTGTTTTTTCAACTCTCAGGAGTGTTCTAACAGGATTCTCTTTTTGGTAGGCAAAGTATATTGCTTAATGTTCATCTAGCAATTACACACTAAACTGTTCATATTTCAAACAAAGGGCCCAAGGGAACGGAAAAAAGAATTGATTTTTATGACAGCATTACAGAGACGGTTGAAAGGCATTACTTAACCTGTATATTAGGAATGTTCTGTGTCATATACAAAGATGAAGAAGACACAGTCCCTGTCCTTAAAGGCACTTATATTTTAGTAAGAAATACAAACAGGTGAGCAAATAACAGAATATGATAGGTGCAGAGTATGGATTAAACTCTGAGCTTCATAACCTTAGTCAAGGTGGTTAAAATGAACAAACTCGCAGCCAGACTGTTTGGGTTAAAAACCCAGCTCTGCCACATTTTAGCTGTTGGACTTGGGCAAGTTTATTTAACCTCTCTCTGCGTGTGACCTTCCCTATGAAATGGGGATAATTATCAGGTTGCTGCTGAGTCACAGGGTTGCTGTGAGCATTGTCAGTCAGGAGATGCAAAGCATTTAGAACTGTGTCTTGTACATAGTAAGTGCTCACTAGGGATGAACTATTTAGAAATCTGGGCTGGGTGCGGTGGCTCACGCCTGTAATCCTAGCACTTTGGGAGGCCAAGACGGGTGGATCACTTGAGGTCAGAAGTTCAAGACCACCCTGGCCAACATGGTGAAACCTCGTCTCTACTAAAAATACAAAAATTAGCCGGGCATGGTGGTGCGTGCCTGTAATCCTAGCTACTTGGGAGGCTGAGGCAGGAGAATCGCTTGAACTTGGGAGGCGGAAGTTGCGGTGAGCCGAGATCACACCACTGCACTCCAGCCTGGGCAACAGAGTGAGACTCTGTCTCAAAAAAAAAAAAAAAAAAAAGTCTGGACTTCTATTGATTTCAGAGAAAAGATACATCCTCATGAAAAATCATTTCTTATATTGCAAAACAGCAATCTAAAACCAACTGTCAAAAAAGCTTTGGGGGATTTCTTTCCCATAACTTCCTTGTATATAAAGAAAATCTATTCTTGGCTAGGTATAGTGGCTCATGCCTATAATCCCGGCACTTTGGGAGGCTGAGGCAAGCTGATTGTTTAAGCTCAGGAGTTCGAGACCAGCCTGGGCAACTTGGCAAAACCTTGTCTTTACAAAAAAATGCAAAATTTAGCTGGGCATCGTGGTGCGTGCCTGTAGTCCCAGCTACTCTGGAGGCTGAGGATGGAAAATGCTTGAGCCTGGGAGGCAGACGTTGCAGTGAGCTGAGATTGTACCACTGTACTCCAACGTGGGCAACAGATGAGATCAGACCATCCAGCAACACTTGGGTGCAGGAGTAGGTATTGCTCCAGTGGTGGAGCCCATACTTAGGCCTCCACCTGGGTAGAGGAAACAAAACAAAAACCAAAAAAACTATTCTCATCTGTATAGCAATGTATTAAGACTCTACTGTATACATGGCCTTATGTTAGGTTCTGGGTGTAACAAATGATGGGTATAAAACAAAGTCTCTTATTTCAAGGAATTTATATTTCAATGGGGTGGAAAGGGGCAGTGGAGAATAATCCAATTCAGGGTGTTTTTAGGGCACTGGGAAGGTGCTAAGTAAATGCTATGGAAGTTTAAAAGAAGAAGAGCAAAGGAAGATGGCATGGGTTTTGGCAGGGGGACTTGGAGGCGTCTTGGAGGCAGAAGGAGGAGTATATCAAACGGGGTCACAAGAGTGGGACATGAATGTTAGGCAGGTACTTTTGGAATCATCATAGAGACGGGCATTGAATTGGCAGGAATGGAGGAGACGGCACAGAGAGAATCCATGTGGAGCAAAAGGCGGGAAGCAGAGTCTGGTGGAAGTATCAGTGGTGTGGGCAGAAGCCTGGGGCAAGAGGCTATAGTGTGAGTGGGTTGAGTGGAAATAGAACCAACAGGTATAGCCCACTTTTTCTTAGGAAATGTGGGAAAAGGAGGGTTGAGCCAAGGGTCTTTGTTTTTCTCTGACATACAAGAGTCAATTTAATGGGGTAGACCTGCCACACGAGTCCTGCTCAGGTATAAGTCTGGTAGTTGCATGTTCAGCACTGCCCGGTCCTGAGATAATAGGAGTATCTTAGCAGTATCTCTGGATCTCTCCCACCTGCGAATAGGGTGCTGCTGTCATGCCATGTCTGCCCTGGGAGCTAGAGCATCATGCTCCACCTTCCTGGTTAACTCGCCCTGGGTATGGCCTCTACCACTGGAGCAATGCCTACTCCTGCACCCAAGTCTTGCTGGACAGGAGCCCTGGCCTCTTGCCTAGAGCCAAGTCAGCATGCTGTATCTGTTATAAACCCCCTCTCCATAGCACTGCTGTCTACTATCATGTCCATTAGCTCAGCTTATCACTCAGATCACAGTAGATTGCTATGTTCTCTTGCACTTGACCATCCAGACCACTGGTCTTTCCTGAGTCGGCGAATCCTTCAGCTTCAGTGAGTTCCCCCAGCATATCCCCATGCAGGTGCTGCTTCCTCTTCTCCACACAGTGGGGGATCCTGGCAAACTGTGCCCCTGAAGTTGTGCATCTATGATAGTAGGCAGGGGGAGGAAAGCAACGCCAAAAGGATTAAAGATGCTGCCGAGAGAGGGTAGTTGGTGGCTCAAGGTCCCCAAGAAGCCAGGGAAAATGAGCTCTGGTGTGTGGGTTTGCCTCATTACAGGAAGGCACATTTCTTCCCCTGAGATAAAATAAAAAAAGAGCTAACAATAAAAAATCCTTCAATGCACTACACAGGCTCTTCGCTGAGGGTTTTGCTTGTATTATTGTATTTAATACTCATACCGGCACTATTACCGAGGCTCTAATATCATCCCCAATTTGCAGATTAGAAAACAGAGCCTGAAGCAATTCCATCACTGCCCAAGGCCACACAGGTGGTAAGTGATGAAACTGGGGCTATAATCATGGCCTGACTCCGAGCTCAGGCCCTCAGTGCATCCCCTTGGGAAGCGTGTGTGAGCTAAGATGCAGGACTCTGAGCTGCAGGAGCAGAAGTTGAGGGGCTAACGTTGAATGCCTCAAGGTCATAAAGCAAAGGAAGTGAGATCACCTCCAGAGACTGGGCTTGGGGAGTTTAGTCATCTTCGTAGAACTTAACGGGAGTAGAAAGGGTTGGAATGGCCACTGTGGGATAGTCAGGGGAGTTGACAACATGACTACAAAAAAAGCTGGACGGCAGCAAGGGACCCAGCTGGTGCTGCATAATGTGAATCTTGTAGTGGAACCCATGAATGCAGTTTTACGAGTCTCTCCAGCAACCTTTTGCCGCCCACGCATGTAGGACCACAGAAGAGCTGCAGTGCCTTTTGCTCACTCCCTAGGACTCCACACTTGATTCTAAGTCCGGAAGAGCAATATCATGCGCCGATGCACAGAGCCATCTGCAGAGAGGGGGATAATGGGATCCCATGGGGCCAGGGATGGGCCAGGTGGGAATGATGGAGGCTTGAGATGGGAAGAGTGGAGAGTTCAGTGCTGAAGGGACTGACCACAAGGAGGCCTGCGAAATCAGAATGGGACCTGGGAGAATTGCGAGCGGCTGGCAGGCTGGAGTGAAAAAGGAGCCGTTTGCAAAAACACATACGTTGATGTTCGCACATCATAGCAGCCTAGGAAACAGCCACTTCCCTACTCACCTAGGGTGTCAGGCAAGAATAAAGGAATGCTGATTTCATTCTGTTTACTACCAAGAAAACTGGGGGCTGTTGAGGCTGGTAAAACATTGGCCCTGGTACAGGTCTGGTGTTTACTAACGAGGTTGTATTACAACCACACTCCGCTTTCCAAAACAGCACCCTCAGGAGAAAAGAAGTAAAGTCATTTTTCTTAGGAGGCAGGAGATTTAACATTGCTTAACAATAACACTTAACATGGCTTAGCCCTTAGCCTTAGGCAACCTCATAACTACCAAGTGCTGGGAATTGTCTTTTTCCTGTGCTGGCCAGCGCTCTGGCTTTATTTCGTGAAATGTCATTTAGCCTGGCAGTGGGCTGCATGGGCCTGCTTTAAAGATGACCGAGTTCCATGAAAGCACTTGACCAGAGCTCCTCACCTACTCCATGTGCTGTGGAGCATTTTCTCTCTGTGTCGATGGCTCCAAATTTGGCATAGAAATCAATGTTATTGAATTGTTCCTAAAAACTACTGTGAAGCATTGCACAAACAACATAGGAACCCAATCAGTCAGTAGCATATTAAGTTCTCCATAAGGTTGGCCACCGACTTCCTACAGATGGATTTATTCCTGTTTTTAATTAAAAATTTAACTCCATAAATATTTCAAAGCTCCCGGCCTCTGTGATGAAGAGGGATCCGGTGCCTACCGAGATGTGCTCGCCTCACTCTCCTGGCAAAAGGAGACAGCGGTGGAGCTGGCGTGATTCAATTAAGTGGACAGCAAAATCTCCAGGGGGAAAGACAAGAAAACCAGGGTAAATGTCACTGGCACTCAGAGCAGCATCTGCATACCTTTTCAGAAGCCAGCAGTACGTCTCTGGCCTCTGCTTTCTGCATCTCATTAGTTTAATTTGGAGCCCCCCACCCATGGACCAGGGTGCAATGCCTGGGAGGGAGCTTTGCATCTCCTCTTTAGATGTTGGGATGCAGCATCCCCATTTAAAAGCCACTGCCAGGGGTCCCCCTTGCATTTATCTGAGCCCTATTTATTCTCCACCATGGCTGCCTCTGGTTGCCAGGTAGCTGCAAAGGTCTGTTTGCACATGCAACTAATTGCTCTTACCATTGTGTACGTGGGTGAGTGAACTTTTTGCCAGAATTATTTCCAGTTTGAGATGCTTCCCTTTCAGCTACAGTTTTATTCTGGGGCTGGCGGGATTTTGTCAATTCATACATTCATAAAGAGCCATAAACAGCATAAATGTATTATCTTTGACAGAAAACCCCCACCACAGTGTTTAATCCTAAAATATACTTGTTTAGAGTCAGCCATGAGTGAGTATTTCGGGGATTAGCGAAAATAAACAAGAGTTGGAAATTCAGAAGACTTTAATAATTACAAACAGAAGCATTGGTTGTACTACTGTAAAAGGCTGATTTGCTTGACTCCTTTGCTAACAGTAGAGTCCTGAGGATGGACTGGGACTGTGCCTCCAGTTTCCATATTCTCAGGGCCTGGTACATACTAGGTGATCACCAGATACAAGGTGAATGAATGAATGAATGAGTGAAATTTATAGAATTTTAAATGCTATTTCTGTGCCTCTGAATTGTACCCAAACACTCCATTTCTGCACTCTGAGTGCAGATTGGTCAGGAAGATTTTAAACTGTTTCCAGTTTTCCTTTTTTTACTCCCTCTCATAAGAACATTCTATTTTCCATCTGCCTTAACCACAATTTCCATATACTTCAACAGTGAAAGCCGGAAATCTTATATGTAAAACAAATTTTTGGAAACTGCCTCCATTTTTAAAATGAAACAAAATGTAACTGTCCCTTGGGGATGATTCCCCATTCCTTGGGGGAATGGTTCCAGGACTGCACCTCCCGCACCCCAGCCCCCGACCTCAGATACCAGAATCCACAGATGCTCAAGTCCTTGATATAAAATGGAATCGTATTAGTATATAACCTATGCACATCTTCCCATACACGTTATATCATCCCTAGATTACTTATAATACTGAGTACAATGTAAAGACTATGCAAATAGTTGTTATACTGTGCTGTTTAGGGAATAATGACATGGAAAAAAAGTTTGTACATAATCAGTACCATTGTGACTGTCTTTGTTTTCTTGGATATTTTCGATCTGAGATTGATCGAATCCATGGATGTGAAACCCATAGATACTGAGGGCCAGTTGTACTAAGCCAAGGAAAATAGAAACAGGAAGCTAATCACAAATAAGAAAAACTTATTAGACAACATCTATTAAAGAAAAGAAAACAGGAAGATAAATAAAATATAACTTTATAAAAGTTTTAAAATATTGTATTTTGGGTGTCCTGCCTAATCAGGACAAAACAGCTTCTCTGCTAGATTTCAGATTTTATTACTTTTGAAAATAACATACTATTTATAAAAGCAGATGGTCACTTTGGCTTTGCCCATTGTAATGTTCAGGGTGTTTGTTTTGTAAAATCACACAGAGGTACAGTCAACATACAATGTCAAACAGTCACTCCATCTCTGAGTTGGCACTTTAACAGCTCAGTTTTGATAAAAAAACTCTGCTTGGGGTCTTTCCCCCACCCCTTTAAAAGGCAATATTTGAAAACACTGCAACTTTCTGCGTGGCATTAACCTTACTTTGTTTCTCTTTTGGATGCATTAATTCTCATACTCTCACCTCACCTAACTCCAATCGTAGCTGGACTGCATGTACTCTTGGAAAAGCTGTTTCTTTGTCATGTGCTACTGATAGCAAACTAAAATTCCTCTTCATCTCACCAATAACAGCACAAGTTTTGAGAATTGTATCTCATTTTCAAGGGTGTTGAGTTACAGTATGAGTGGATCATGTCAGGCCAGGGTGGCCCAGCAAACTTTTCCCATGCAGTTGTTTCTTTCCCCCGTTGGGTCTGTGCCTCTCAGCAATATTTGCTTATTGCCTTGAGAACAAGGTCAGATTCTAAATCAGGCAAAGAACACCTTCCTAAGTTCACATTTCTTTCCTGCTTCTTAACACCCACATGAAACTCCAAGCTTAAGACTGGCCCGCCATTCCTCGTGCGTAACTCCTAGGACAGAGGATTTACTATTTGATTGTCTCTAAGCTTGGTGCGGGATGTTCGATACCAGTTTTATAGCAATGGCTTAGGATTTCCATTTAGTATCCAATGTTCTTGCTGACACGTTCAATTGCAATGATATACTATTTTCTCCCCTTAAAAATAACCCACAAGTGTTTCAATTATTAGCACATTTGTGAAGATGGAACTAGGGCTACAGCAGACGGCAGCAAGGCAAAATTATAACATATTCCCTATTTCAAAGCCAGAATTTCTATTTCATGTAGACTTCTCTAAAGACTTCATTTGTAGGTGAGCTGGAGATGGGAGACCTCTCCGTGATCTACCTGGGTAAGGATGCGTACTGCCTCTCCATCCCTTCAAAGCGGAGGTTGTGTGCATTCCCATCTGGACCCCTTCCAGGCACCTGTGGAGAGAAAAGCAATTAGAGATGAAGATCCATTATACACCTTGGTTACTGACAATGCATCTCGAAATTATAATCAGTGCACAAATGCTGTTACTGCCTGCCAAAAATCAACCATGGAAAAGCAAGCAAGAACTCCACATTGCTATAGGAATTGATGATCAAGCCACAAACATGGCATTTAACAACAAAGTCACTTCTTTCAAAAAAGGGTCACTGTCAAACTGACTCCCTCATGTCCCCATGCCAGGAATATTCTGTAGGATGCTAGACTATTTTCTTCTTCTTCTTCTTCTTCTTTTTTTAAAACCGACTTTAGTTTTTAGAATAGTTTTAGGTTTACAGAAACATTGAACAGGTAGTATAGAGACTTCCCATACATCCTGTACCCAGTTTCCCTCTTATCGCTAGCTAACGTTAGTATGGCACATTTCTTACAATTAATCCATATTGATACATTATTGTTAACTAAAGTCTATAGTTTATTTAGATTTTTAACTAATGCTATTTTTCTGTCCCTGGATCCCATCCAGTATGTTACATTTAGTTTTCACGCCATTATAGCTCTTCTTGGCTGTGAAAAGACCATATTTTTAAAAGCACCGTTTCTGGCTGGGTTCGGTGGCTCATGCCTGCAATCCCAGCACTTTGTTCGGAGGTCAAGAGGCGGGTGGATTGCCTGAGGTCTGGAGTCTGAGACCAGACTGGCCAACATAGTGAAACCCCATCTCTGCTGAAGATACAAAAATTAGCCGGGTGTGGTGGTGCACGCCTGTAGTCCCAGTTACTCAGGAGGCTGAGGCAGGAGAATCACTTGAACCCGGGAGGCAGAGGTTGCAGTGAGCCCACATCACGCCACTGCACTCCAGTTTGGCTGACATAGTGAGACTTTGTCTCAAAATAAATAAATAAATAAACAAATAAATAAAAGCACCTTTTCTATAAAACCTTTCTTTACTAACAAGGGTTGCTGACAATCAACTGTCTACTCCACAGCATCCATGATGCCCCCCGACCACCCTGAACCTCAGTTCTCTCTCTTACGAATGGCCACCCATAAGTGATGAACTGTTTTCTATCTAGTGTTGGTCTTTACTGTTTTTGTCCCTTCCTCTGTACGTCCTGTGTTTACCTCTCTTGGAGTCTTTTCCATCAGCCTCTGAAATCCTAAAGGGCAGTGACTGGCCCCAGTAGGTTTTCAATACTGTGTGTTGGTTTCTTAATGACAAGATATTGTATCTCATTGTTCTGTAGCTATCATGCCAACTAAAAACAGGATGAACACGTAACACGTATTTAAAAGTACTTGATTACTGATTGATTCCCCACCTGTTCACCTCAACGCACTTGGTATCACATGGACCACTCATGTGCTTCCTTTTGCTCTTGGATATCCCTCACACATGGGCATGGAAGGAGTAAATAGAAAACTTGGACTATCAGGTGGGAAGGAAGAGATTTTGCCAGTAAGCACAGGAAGGAACTAACAGTGTCAAGGTCAGTAGGGAAAATTTTTCTAGGCGGTAATCAACCACCTGGAAGTTATTTTCTTCTTACCAAAAGTCCCGGCTCTCCATAAAACTACCATTCCATCCCAGCTTGTGCAGACTGTGTATATGGGGTTGGGGATATGGGGAGAGATGTTGCAAAACAAGTATACACTTGCACTTAGATTAAGAAAGACTATTCTTGGTGTTTAATTATTGTGGGAGGACCTTTAGAGTGTGTCCTATAAAACCTCTTTATATTTCATCAATAGGTGGAACAGGAGACACTGGGGTTATCTGAGAGGGCAAGAGTCCAGTGAGCTACTACGTAGGTAGGGACGAAGACTTCACATCTTTAAAGCAATCACAGACAGAGAGATTGAGAATTCTCTGCAGTAGGATAAAAGCCTTGGTTTAAATTTCTGAACTTTCTACCAAAACCAGAGGCAAGGATGGTGACAGACAGGGGATAAAAAAAAAAAAAAGAAAAGGAAGAAGTGAAGGACAGAAACATTGTCCTCACCCATTCCTACCTAAGGTTTGCTTTCTTGTGTTTTTAAACTATTTCTTATGGAAAGAGAATTCCTGCAAATATCAATACTATGCTGAAGGTTATTAATTGTGATTGTTGGAAAATCACTATGCTTATGTATCCATAGTATAGCTCTGGATATTCCAACTGAACTTTTTCTTGTAGCTATAAAATTCCAAGTTAATAGTTTCAGCACCGTTATCCAGAACTGTCCTGGCATAATGATAATAGCAGTCAGTATTCTGTTGCCTTGAGGAGACCACATGCCTGTTACTGTTCTGGTGCCTCGAGGAACAGATTATGTGTGTGTGTGTGTGTGTGTGTGTGTATATATATATATATATATATACACATATATATATACACACACACACACACACATAATTATATGTATTTATAACATGATTATGTATATATACATACAAATATACATATATACATACAAATATACATATAAAATATTCAAATATACATAAAATATACATATATACATATAAATATGCATATATTTGTATATTTGCATGTATATACATATATGTATTTATATATAGTATACATACACACACCTATGAAATATACCCAACAGCATATAAGATTGTATGAAATGTAAGGTGATCCTTATTCTTAAGGGATTTTCTGTCTTGTTGGGAAAACAGCATTCAAACTGAAATAACCAAAGAATGAAATAGGATAATGTATTTTCAAGTGCCATTCAGGATGTTATCAGCAGTAGCACAGGTGAGGCCTGGAGGTGTCAGGAAAAACTTCATGGAAGTACCAGAACTTGGGCCAGTCTTCAAAAGATAGGCAGCAAGCTTGCACATAAGAAATTATTCTGTCCTTCACTAATTGTGTATATCTTTGTATGTTTCTCCATTGATACTGCAACATCATTAATGCAGTCATTCACTGTATTCAAAGCAATGAAGAAATCCAGCGGGTCTCCTCATGGAAACAGGCCTGCAAACAATTGTGGTACAATGAGATCACTGTGGAAGTCTGAGGAAGGAGGCAGTGGGAGTCCGCAGGAAGAAATTCCAAAGTCCACCTGGGAGAGTTGAAGACAGCGTCATACGGGTGTTGAAGCGTCATCTCAAACCTGAATATGGATGAGGAGGAGTTTTTCTGGGGCAGAAGGGTGTAGGAGTAGTAGGATAAGCCATTCAAGTAAAGAGCACAAAAGTGAAAAACCATGGAGGCATATCGAAAGCACTGTGTCTTCAGGGAATTTGAAGATTTTGCAAAGGTAGAAACAAGGTATGAAGAAAAGAATACTACTAACTAGCAACTATACTACTGTTGCTCCTACTGTGGCTATTGCTGTTACCACCACCACTGCAATTTTTAAAAAGAAACTAGTTTTTAGAGCAGTTTTAGGTTCACAAAAAAATTTAGGCGGCATACAGATTTCCATATAGTCCCACCCCTACACATGCATAACCTCCTTCATTACCCGCATGCCCACCAGTGTGCTACAACTGTTACAACTCATTAACTTACATTGACACATTATAATCACTCATAGCCCATAGTTTACATTAGGGCTCTCTCTAGGTGTTACTCATTCTATGGGTTTGGACAAATGTATAATGGCATGTATTCATCATTTCTGTACCATACAGAGAATTTTCATGGCCCTAAACATCTTAAGTGCTCTGCCTATTCATCACTCCTTCCCCCAGGTCCTGGTAACCAATGATCTTTTTACTCTTTTCATAGTCAATTCCAGAGTGTCATATAGTTGGTATCACACAGTACGCAGTCTTTTCAGATTGGCTTCTTTTACTTGGTCATATGCATTTAAGTTTGCTCCATGCTTTTTCATGGCTTGATAGCTCATTTCTTTCCAAGGCTAAGTAATATTCCAGGGTCCAGATGTAGCACAGTTTATTTAGTCATTCACCTACTAAAATACATCTTAGTTGCCTCCAAATTTTGGCAATTATGAATAAAGACGTAAACATTTATGTGCAGGTTTTTGTGTGGATGTCAGTTTTCAACTCCTTTGGGTAAATACTAAGGAAGGCGATTGCTGGATCATATGGTGAGACTATGTTTAGTTTCGCAAGAAACCACCAAATTGTCTTCTAAAGTAGTGATACCATTTTGAATTCCCACCAGAATTCAACAAATGAGAGTTCCTGGTGAATGAGAGTTCCCCGTGTTCCACTTCCTTGTCAGCATTTGGTGTGGTCAGTGTTCCCAATTGTAGCCATTCTAATAGGTGTGTAGTCATATCTCATTGCTGTTTTGCCATTTCCTTGATGACATGTGATGTAGAACATCTTTTCACAGTCTTATTTGCCATATGTATATCTTCTTTGCTTCTTTGGTGAGGGATCCATTGAGGTCTTTGGCCCATTTTTTTATTTAGGTTGTTTTCTTGTTGAGTTTTAAGATTTCTTTCTGTATTTTGGATACTTCATTATCAGATGTGTGTTTTGCAAACGTTTTTCTCCCAATCTGTAGCTTCTCTCCTCATTCTCTTGGCAGTGTCTTCCACAGAGCAACATTTTTTAATTTTAATAAAGTTCAACGTATTAATTTTATCTTTCACAGATCATGCCTTTGGTCTTATATCAAAAAAATCACCATCAAACCCTAGGTCATCTAGATTTTCTTGTATTTTATCTCCTGGGAATTTATAGTTTTTAAGATTATTCTTACCATAACTTGGAGAGTTCAGCAAAGGTCTGAGCCAGAGATTGTAAGAGCATAAACCTGAGGGTTTTTCAAAGGATGAAGACAAGAGAGTGTCATTAGGATTTCAAAGAGGTAAGAGCAATAGGATTGACTGTGGATTAAAGGGAGTGAGGTATTTAGAATAATGCCCAAGTTTCTGAGCTCAGCAACTACATGGTTTTGGTAATACTCACCAAAACAGGAATAAATGAAGGACAGATTTTGGAGTAGAGGTGGGAGGAGGGAATATCTAGACATGTTAAACTGACTTGAGACATGTCAATGGAGATGTCTGATCGTTGAGTATAATGGTTTGCAACTTAGAGAAGTCTGGACTAGAGATGTAGTATTGGGAAACGTTCAGCATACAGATGGTACCAGAAAGCTTGGAAAAGAATGCCCAGGAAGAGTCTGTAGGGACCAAATAAAAGAAAAGACAAATGAGAAGAGAGAGGAACACTAATACTATTCTTAGGAACACCATCATTTAAAGGGCAGGCCAAAAACACTGAACCCAGGAGGAAGTCTGAGAAAAAGTAGTTGGTTCAGAAGAAAACCAGGAAAATGTTTTATTGTAGAAACCAAGAAAAGAATTCCATGAAGGGAGTGTTCCACAGTGCCAAAACAGTGAAAAGCTTCAGTAAGACAGGGACTGTGTGTTAGTGCACTTCATCCAATCCACCCTTCTTGTAGAGTGTCACCTTCAATTCCAGAGCCTGGAAAGCTAAAAACTACCTTTCTCTGGATTCCCTTGCAGCCAATGTACTGGCATGATTTAAGTTAGGCCATAACATTTGGAAAATAGAATTGAGGCAGTGGCCATACTTCCGCTGTTTATTATGGCAAGACTGACTAAATGAGAGGTATGCTTGGTTTTCCTGTGGCAGCTTTAGCAGCTGTAACATTGCTAGTTTGGGGAGTGAAATGTAACTTTTATAGTTGGTCTTAGAATTGGTGGCAGGAGAGGTGGCTTTCTGATTGTGGCATCTTCCTAATCATGGTGGCTCCTGATATGAGCATTGTGTGGCTCTGCAGTCTAAAACTTCCTACATAGAAATAGCAACAGCTCCCCCAGTAGCTCAGTTCTGGAGTGTGGCTTGGAAAAATCATTCCTGAAAGCTTATCCAAGAAGTTTTTTCTTTAACATCCCTTATGGTTCTATAAGCTCATTACTATGGTATAATAAATTTATTCTTTCTTAAGCTACAGTGGATGTTGCTCTCTACAACTGAACAGAGACCACTATAAAGTCTGCAAAAATATTGTTTGGAATCGGCAATGAGATGGTGATTGGTGGTTTATTGAGAGTGATTTCGGTGGATTGATGGGGAGAGAAAGCCAGACTCTCTGGTGCTGAAAACCTTTCTAGTTTTCTAATAAATAAACACTGATTGTACTGTCTTATGCTGTCATGCTTATGGAATGGGATTAATACTTTCAAATATGTAAACATGTATTAGTGTCTCCTAGGTAGAGTAACATGTGAAGTACCATAAGACATAGAGATGAGAAAAAGTCCTCTCCCTCAGGGATACAATGTTAGTTAATGAAAATGGTGGGGATACATTTCTGTTCCATTATCCAAAAAAACAGATTTAATCATTTTTTTCTCCATTAAATGATTATTGTGGAAAACCACCCCAAAATGACCTCTGTTAACATTTATAAACACATACATATTTTAATGGCATATAGAGCTGTTTTCTCATCTGTTTATTATTGACAATTTTGTATGCTATTGGATATATTTTAAAACATGATTTTTAATGGCTATATAATATCCCATTATATG
Source organism: Homo sapiens (assembly GCF_000001405.40). NCBI lineage: Eukaryota > Metazoa > Chordata > Mammalia > Primates > Hominidae > Homo > Homo sapiens. Next base: position 205,546,830 of record NC_000002.12, on the reverse strand, counting down.
GAGAAATCATAATTCATGTAATCTCCTATAATTTGATCAATTTTTAATACTCGGTTAGAAATGGTGGCAATATAGATTAGTGTGTTGGGTACAAATATTCTTACAAGAGCTGCAAATAGAGGATAGGAAATTGCAGATAGAGGGTTGCTAAAGGGAAGCCAATTTTAAGAAGTTGTGGTTAAGTCCTTAGGAAGTAAGATGACTTGAAGAGGGAGTGAGGGAGAGAAAAGAGACACAGGCATTTATAAGCTCACTTCTCATTTTTCTCTGTGCTCAACAAGGCTCAGAAATATTCCTGCTTGAAGAACTCCTTATTAGGTAATTTTCCTCATCACAAAAAAATAAGGTCAGCAGCTTCAATCCAATTAATTTTTTTTAAATCCCTTTATCTTACTTGGTATCATGCAGGTTTTTTTTTTCTTTTTAATGTAGTGACCTAAATATATGTCTGACAGAAACAATCTTGACTTAAGCCATAACAGAAATCTAGCCTTTTACACAACAGTGTAACGTTAGAACTTACGCCTGGATTTGGGGCATATTTATCTTTCCTTTACTGATATAGCTCAGGAAGTGAAACTTCAGAGAGCTTATTCAAAACAATTTAAAGCGCTCATACCTTGGTGCGCCTTGCACGTGGTGACCCTCTTTGGCTGGATTATGACAGCCTGTGACAAGCCTATCAGGAGGGCTTGGTGTTTGGAAGGAATGTTGAATTAAGGTGCTTTTAGTCCATGGGAGTTCTCCCAGTTTCATTCACTCAATGCCTGCTGCCGGCTGGGGTGTTAGGAGCCTTGTTAAAATAAAGCTATTAGTCTTTTCTTTACAAAAGCAAAGAGCTTGCTGCTTACATTCATGGTTCCTTAAATTAGTATGTATTTCTAGCCTGGCATTGCTAGAATCAGCAGTTTCATAAAGCAATATCCTAAAGAGGCCATTTAACCTCCCAATATTCCCCATTTGTAGATTAATGGCAGAGGAGAAGATATAATGCCTTTTCAAACATTTTTTAACAATTCATTGAAAATAAAAGAATAAATTACACAAGATTTTTCTGCAAATGTCTGCTGATGAAAAGCGGAAACAATTCAAAATTAACATGTTTTCCAGTTTCTATAGGTTAGGACACATTTTTTGCCAATCTTGTAATTTATGTCCTCCAAGCCAATTTTCCTGAGGAAATTAAAAAGCTGCTGTGATGGAGAGGCCAAGCAAAGTTGCAATACGGCTTATTCACCTATATATAACATCCTCATTTACAAATATGTCTTACTTAGATCCATTACAAAAAAATGAGTTTCATGCTGCCAGACACATCATAAGATTAAGATGCAAAGTATAAAAATTTAGATGCCATTTTAGGAAATGTGCCTTTCATTTCAAGTTGGTATCATGACAGATATTTTGGAGAAGTGTTCCACATTTCCAAAAGCTTTCTTCTAATTCCATTGCTCTTACCTAGTTACAGATTTGGCTGGAAGATGTTTAAAGGAATCAACACAATAAAAACTTCTAAAAGTTATAAACTTGGCTTTCAGCATCTTCTAATATTAAGACTTTTGCTAAAATGCTATATGTTTCTAGGGGAACTAAGGGAAATGCTCTATTTAAACAAAATGAAACTCATCAAAATAGGATGTTTAATTATTCATCTTCAGCAATATGTGGTATAATATGCCTGAGCTACGTATTTACAAATATGCCATCCAGAGAGGCGAAAGAACACACACTCATTCAAACTATTGTTTCTGAAGTGTTTGTTTTCCACAATTTGATTTCAGTAATTTTGTGAAATAACTGGGTATTCAGCTTATAGACTAGTCTAGAACATCTGCTAGTTTAAAAAATACAGCAAATAAAATATTTTAAAAGGAACTCTTGGATAAGTCTTTTAACCACACTGTGCCTACATTTTCCTTCCTTGCAACATGTCAGGGTTAAAACAGACATCCTGGAAGTCCCTTCTAACCTGTGCACATTTATAAAAGTTATCTTGCATCATTTCCACATTTATGTTGACCACTAACACCTCATTAATATAGTAACTGTGTGCAGGCACATGATGATTTTATAGCAGAATGACAGAGAAAAGCAACCTGCAAATTATGAAATTATAAAGTATTTATTGGGATTTAAGCATGAAATCTTATGGTAGCACCATCCAAGTACTAGCTGCATGTACACTGGGCTATGGCATCTTAATAACCTGAACTGTCTCTGTTATGATTGTCTTAGCAGAAAATAAAATCAGACATCTCCTGCCAGCTCTGTTTGTGTCTGGGCCTAAGATACAGTTACCATAGAAACTATGATTGTGGATACAATTTTACAAATTTGGCTTCATCTATCAGATGCACTTTGTGTGTGTATGTGTGTGTATGTGCACGTGTGCGTATGTGCCTTGCCAACAAGCTTGAAGAGCAAACTCTGGCTCTGTGTCTTTAATTAAAGAGCCAGACATCATTCCTCATTTCCTATCCCCCATCTGTCTACCTACAAATAGAGATATTGTAACACTGGCTAAAAAGTAAACTCATACTTGAAAAAAGACAAAGGTCTGATGAAAAGAAAAAAAAAAGGCATTAGGAAAAGCATTTCCTAAGAAATCTGTCACCTGTCTTGTATTCTCCAGGAGCAGAGTACACAGGAATTTGATGTAATCTTAGTGACATCAATCACTAGATGCTAATATCTAGTACTTACTAAATTCAGTTTCTGTTTCATGGATGTATTCCATGAGTCATTTACTCCTTGCTGTTTTGTTTTATTGTACACTCTGTGACAGTGTTATTCACTCACCCCAAAACAGACAATGCTAACCCTCAAAATATGTTCAATTCTTAAATGATATACTAGTTCATATTATTTCTTATACTATCCCTTTTAGCTGATAAACTCTATAAAGCATATTCCTTGACCAAGCTCTCTAGCATATTTTAGGTATACTTCCATTTATAAAGACCAAACATAGAAAAAAGAAACATTTGGAAAAGCTGAATATTTTGTATCTATTTCAGCCAGTTGGCAAGTTCTGGTCACTTCCATTTACAATTACCAAAAGAAAGGACTCTCTAGAACACTCCACTATCAGTATCATGAGTTGCAATCGTGCTACCATTTCCATCTCTGCCTCATTTCACACATGAGGAAATGAAAGTTCAGAGATCATCAAGAGACTTGCCTAAGGGTCACACAGTGGCAAAGCCAGGATTTGAACTGAGATGTGTCTGACCCCAAAGCAACATTTCTCCCCCGACAATGCTGCTCGTATGTTGGCAGTGATCACATAATTACTGTCACTCTGTTTCCTAAATGAAGAACTGAGATGAAGGACTGGAAAGTTCAAATGAACCCATGGTGGTGATGCGATGGGACGTGTAAAATAGTCTGTGACTGTCTGCAAGTATTCTCAGTGGTTTGTGGTCTTCTTAGCCATATCACTGAACTCCAAAGGCCTAGTAATATTTATTTCTTATAGCTGGAGGCATTAATATTTGTATATATTCTAATTTTTTGGTATAGCAAAAGTGTTTCCTAATAAGGAGATATGTGTTATAAAAATAGCCTGGTTTATGTACAGTTTTTTTTTCAGTTATTCATACATGGTATCAGTCTATTAATTTGGTTTACCTAAGATCTCAGATTGTAAGCTTCCTGAGTGCTAACACAATGCCTCCTTTTGGCACCATTGCATTCTCAAGGCCTGGCATATCATCTTTGTATCAGTCCGTTCATTAATATTTACTGAGCCAATGAAATAGATGTCTCAGACATCTACGCAGTGGAAGTTAACAGAAAGAATGAATCAGATTCCATGCTAGATTTTTGGTCCAAACCTGTTAAATCAGAGAAAACATACTATCAAAATGTTTTAAAGGGAGCTTTACCCTCATGACATCTGTTTTATGGTTATGCCTTATTAAGACTGCCACATTTCTTTTGTTTACACAGTCCTGGCTTTTCATATTCCTTACAAAATAAAAAATAAACTATAAATAGTCTAACAATTTAGATTTGAACTCAGATCTGGAGTATAAATCGAAACCATTTGGAATCTAAATTATGTAACTGCTTAGCGTGAGGAAAGATTCCTATAAGCTCAGAGTAACAGTGGACTAGGAGAGGAACCGTATACAATAAGATGAATTACTGAGCACACAACTACTGTTGGATGGAATGGCTATGTCATTATGCAGTGTTTACTGGAGTCACAACATTATCAGACCTGTCCTACCATTCATGCTGGAATCAGACAGGCATTTTCCTCAAATTTATATTAACCAAGTTATTTTGTGATGACTGCAGCAGCTGAGTTCAAGTTCTAGGAAGATGAATGAAGTTGAGGAGAAAGGAAGAACTGAAGGGATAACCTTCTGAAAACTGATGTTCTTATGTCAAAACCTGGTTTGGAAAACCAAACCAAATAAGCACACATACATACATACATACACACACACACACACACACACACACACAAACACAAACTACTGAATAGTTTCCTGTTAACTAGAGAAAAAAAACTCAGCCTCTTAGTCTGGTATGCAAGGCCTTTAGTAACCCATAGCAACCTAACTTTCCAGGTTTATCTTGTCCTTCTTATGCATGCTCAATGATCTTATTGATCTTATTAAAAATTTTATGGATCCCAAACATATACTTTTTTTTTTTTTTTTTTTTTTTTTTTTTGGAGACGGAGTTTCACTCTTGTTGCCCAGGCTGGAGTGCAGTGGCGTGATCTCAGCTTACTGCAACCTCCGCCTCCTGGGTTCAAGCTATTCTCCTGCCTCAGCTTCCCGAGTAGCTGAGATTATAGGCATGAACCATCATGCCTAGCTAATTTTATATTTTTAGTAAAGATGAGGTTTCACCATGTTGGTCACGCTGGCCTGGAACTCCTGATCTCAAGTGATCCACCCACCTCGGCCTCCCAAAGTGCTGGGATTACAGGTGTGAGCCACCGTGTCTGGCCAGCCAAACATGTGCTTTTTTGCCTATGGCAGGATATCTGTTTCTTCAGTTTTGGTAGCTCTGCCTATCATCAGGTTAGTGCCATAAACTTGGCAGGGGCTTAGTAAATGCTGATTGACTGAATGAATGAAACAAAGAATATTGCTCTGATTGGCTGTACTCATTGCCACGAAGGGAAAAAAACAGGTGGATAAAGTAGTAGATAAAAAAAAATAGGCCGGGCACGGTGGCTCACGCCTGTAATCCCAGCACTTTGGGAGGCTGAGGCGGGCAATCACTTGAGGCCAGGAATTTGAGACCAGCCTGGCCAACATGGCAAAACCCCGTCTCTACTAAAAATACAAAAATTATCTGGGCGTGGTGGTACATGCTTGTAATTCCAGCTACTTGGGAGGCTGAGACAGGAGAATTGCTTGAAGCCAGGAGGTAGAGGTTTTAGTGAACCAAGATCACGCCATTGCATTCCAGCCTGGGCAACAAGAGCGAAACTCTGTCTCAAAAAAAAAAAAAAAAAACAAAGTTTCTGTGAGCATTAAAACTCTCAAACAGAGAAGGGAGCCTGGAAAAAGGGGTGTAGACAGGGAAAGAGAAAAAAACCCAGAGAAACAGAGAAAAGCTGCAAAAGAGAATGGAAACTATGAAAACAAGCTAGATTATGGCAGTCTACTCTAAATCTTAGCGTACAGGTAATTCCTGTCCTAAATTTCTTTCCATTAATCAAATTCATGGATCAATCAGAATACTTCATTCCTCTACCAGCATGGGTAACACAGACTTTGCTCTTCTGATTACATGTATATATAGCATCTTACTTTCAATGTCTTTAAAATATGATTATTTTAAGTCAACATTTAAAGGTAGATTTGATATAATCATTTAATTGAGCATTGATTCATCTACACAGAACTCATTACTGAATTCTTCAATTTCACCAACATAATTTCCTTCCAAATTATCTTTTATCTAGAAGCTGGAAGTGCAAGTCCTGTGAAAACTTTGCCAAAATTAAAAGCTTTTAGATTTCTAATGCTGGCTGAACACAAACCCATGGAAGATTGTTGAAGAATAATGCATGCTTGCCAACTGCCAGATATGACTGCTTTTCGCATAATTAATGTCATTCTTGCTGCTCAAGTACCATTTCCATCGTCTAATAATTTGCACTAATAGAGGAAGTTTCTGCAATGATTTTTGCATCCTGAAAATCCACCGTGGCTTCTACACACCTTTTTAATCAAAATAATGACAATGGACAAAGGAAGCTGGTTAGAAATATTACTGCAACCCTGGGTAGAATTTGCTTTGTCATTGTTTTCAGTCTCAAAAACCTGTCCGAAGGGCTCATTGCATTGAATGTTTTGATTTCAATAGCATTGAACCATATGAATTTATACCCAGAAGAGAAAAATACATAAAATGAATGTGTTGGACAATTTTGCCACCAAAAAATGTGAAAAGAGAGTATTTTTTAAAAAAGAAAACCAAAAGATGAGCAGATGCAAATATAGGCCCAGGTCCCGTGAAATATGATAATTGTAAAATACTTTAAGCTGCAGCTTCCAGGAAGAGGAAGTGATAGACCAGCTGCAAATCATAACCTCAAACCTGCCAATTCACAGTGTTTTTTTTTTTTATTATGCTCTTGCAAAATCAAGAACTCTGCTCGGGATATAAAATTATGCAAATATACAGCAAGCAACAACAACAACAACAAAAAATCAGCCCAAGTGTCTCACATGAGCCAAGACATGGATGTAGCATGACGGTGCCGCACAACTCACATGCTGTGGAGGACACAGAGTCCGTGGTTAGTTGGGTTTCTAGGAACCCTCTCCCAGACTTCCCTGCAAGCTGAGTAGTGATACTAAAATGAGGAAAGTTTGGATATTAGGAGAGAACTGCTGAGTCTTTTCCCCTCTGTTCCTGAGTTACTTTCGAACTAGTGAAAGGCTACATCAAAGCCTCATACTTCTTTGGCTAAGAGGGCTTTGAAAAAACTTCACCTGAGTCACATCTAACCGTACTTGGCTGCTCTGTGAAGTCCACCTAGTGGAGATCTGAGGATGCCACTTGAGCAGAACACGTTTGCTCTGTGCAATGACCTGGGGGAGGGGTGGGGTTCGGGTCTGGAGAACTGTGTTCAGTGATCTGATCAAAGCTTCAGAACCGGATATCTAAACTACTGAGGAAATAATACAAAGGATACTTCAGTGTGGGTTTTAGTAGCCATTGTTAAAATAAAAAACAGCTGGTCATCAGTTGTGACAGCTGGGCTGCTACTTCGTGAACAGTCTGGCAGGCACTGGGGAAAGGATAGAGTGACCAGCAATGGCTGGCTTTGAAGCTTGGATGCTGATGGGCCCCTGACCACGGCCTTGGAGGGGCTGTGCACATACCTGCTCTAGAGGATGATACCTAAAAGGTTAAACCGATTTTCAAACTACCTGTCCTGTTTTTAAAATGTGCTTGCTGTCTAGTTCCTACATACATATTAAATGAGTGATATATTGTCAGATACTATATTCATACAGGGTTTTGCAATGATCAAAGCATGTTCTCAGACATCATCTGACTCAATCTGCAACACTACCCTGACCAGGACAAAGGCAGGTGTTGTGAATTCCTCATAAGACTATTTCACTCAAAGAGAATGACACGGCAGGGAGGGTAGGTCAGACAATCCTAAAAGCACCATCACTCCTAATGCGTGTCTGATTCCAGCATTAATTAATTCTAACTGGAAACTGCATGAAGAGTCTCTAATTGAACACCCAGAGGCAGTGGTCTCAGGCCTGCACACAGTGTGCCATAGTGGTTGGGTTTGAATTCTGGCTCTACCACTTACTGACTTTGTGATTTTGGGTAAGTTAACTTTTGAGCCTCATTTCTCTCATCTGTAAATGCGATTAGTAATACCCACTCAGATGACTGTTATGAGCATTAAATGATATGATGCATATAAATCACATAGTACATCTCACACATAGTCTACTACATGTCAGTAAATATTCATTCTTACTATTGCAGTTACATTGAATCTGACCTTTCTATTGGTTAAAAAACAAAACAAAATAAAAAAACAAAAACACTTGGAGAGGATTTCTTCCCTGCCCTGTAGAGTTCATTTCCATGAGCCCCCTGAGCAGATCTGGCTTACAGAGCTAACGGAAGCTTCTTCACCGATACTATTCCGAAAACGGTATTGGGAAAGAGAGTGACGAGAGAGAAAGGAGAGACAGATAGACAGAAAGAGAGGGAATTATAGAGAGAGAACTCTTACTTTCTCTTATGAAAGTGTCTTTTTTTACACTATATGTATACAAGATGAGTGGCTGGAATAATATGACACATTTAGAAGGATGATATGCATGTGTGTGTGTGTGTGTGTGTACACACACGTGACCATCTTATTGTTGTTTACAGAAACAATGCCTAGAGAAGTCTAATTCTTGAGCATGGCATCCAAGCCTTTCACAATCTACAGTCATCATTGTCATCCTCATCAGTATCACCATCCTTCATCCCTGTAAACTCTCACATTTCCTTACGTTGGTTCAAGCTTTTTCCTCTCCCCCTCTCTTCCATCACCAGGTCCTCTGGGAAGCCTGTCAGACAGAACTATTCTCTTTTTATTTTCTGAGAGCCTTCAGTATGTCTTTGTAAATAATACTTACCTAGACTGTTATAAGGAGATGGTTTGTGTTTTTGTTTTTCCTTCTCTGTTGGATCATCAGTGCTTTGAGGACAAATAATCCTGCTTTATTCATCTTTGTAATACTTCTTATCTAACACATGCTCAATAAATGATTAAAAGAATAAAGCATCAACTAAATGAAAAAAGTAATCTTGAAGGAGAGACATAACATAGGCAAGCAGAGAAACACGTAATCCTCAACTACCCACAGAAAACAGACTTGGATTATCCTAGCTGGGTTACCTCAAGGTGCTATTAGCAACTGAATGCAATGCTCTAATTCATGTGGCAACATTAATTCTACTGAATGAAATCAAGAAACAGTATTTGTGATTTAGGCATTTAACAGTGCAAATATGAAATATGCATTTTATTACATTATTGAACAGTTTGGGATCACATATAAATGCCAGGACCATGTGTGTGTAGTTCTAGTGACTGGATGAGGAGAGAATGACAGCTGGCTTCCTTCCCAGGGTACAACAGGTTGTGTGCGCAGGTAGAGAGTGAGTCCATCTCCAACTACTGACCTCAGCCATTTTGCTATCGGTCCATTGATGGGTTTTCCTAAATGAGTGCAACTCCCAGATTTAGCCCTGCCGACTGGTGGAAGGCCCCTTCATTGTGTTTTCAAGTCTGAAAGCATCCTCAGTGTCTGTGTTCAGAGAGATGCTCACCTAAGTGCAGTTCTTCCAGAGAAACAAAGGTACAGAGTCTGAAGGGGAAGCATCATGTAGCAAGGGGTCAGCAGACAGGAGAACCAGAGAAAAAAAGAAAAAGAAACCAACACTTGCCATGATTATTTCTATGCAAAGAAGCCAAATCCCAACTTTGGCAGCTAAGCAATTGAAATTCTGGTTGAGTGCCATTTATATGATTTCCCATCTTTAAGGAGAAGAATGTTTATCTACTTACTTAAGGGTCTATTCATTATGCCCCAGTATAGCATGAATGTTGAGCAGAATCAACACCTATTTATTATCTAGTACTGTTTTGCATTGCTTTAGTGGGCTCAGTTGGAGAATTGTGAGGTGATTTACAAGCATTAGCCTAATACTCTTAACATCCCTAAGAGGTAGGCAAAAGAATATATAAGGAACTCTACTCATCAATGTAATGAAATTAAGAAAAGTGAAAATTTAGGATGAATATTGCAAAGAACTTCTTATGGTATAATCCATTAGGATGAAGGATAATTTCCCAGGGGGAGTTGATTTATATGTTAGAAAATGTACAACGCCAATTCATAATGTATTTGTGACAGATGTAATGCCATGTCCATCTATAAATCAGATTTACCTTCTGTTTGAAGCCCCAGAACTCTTCCTACTGAAGGCTATCCCCAGGGGCACTGACCTGAGATGTTTCAGATCCAAAGGGCCCAATTACTGAAAATCTTCCATCTTGTAATTGGGTTTTGGTATGGAAAATAGCACCAACATTAATCCAAGTCACTTGGAAGGAAGTAGAGAGAGTTACATTCCTGAATTTGTTCATTGGCCCAATATAGTTTAGGGACAGGTCTCTCCGAGTATCTTCCTCAAGGGTCATGAGAAACTCACTTTTACTTTGCAGACAAGCAACAGTGCATAAATTACACTAACAACCCACAAGTGAGTTACTGATCAGGTGATGATCCCTGAGTTTAAATTTACAACATTCACAAGGGAAACATCACTTTCAATTTGAGGGTCAACCGTGGGGAACAACCCATCCAAAGAGTGGGTAGAATCATCTTTCCTTAGGAGCAGAGATCAAATACCATAATTCACAGAGCGGCAAAACTCAAATGAGTGGGAGCAGGAGAATGCAATGCTGTGGAAAGAACAGGAATAGAGCCTATTTCACGATATTCCTGGGGACACAGGAGCAGGTGGTTCAAAAGTTAATCGAATCATTTCTTAAAAAATCAAAAGTCAATTCAGCCTCCATCATTTCCAATAGCACACAACTCAGCTAAGAGACACCACACGCTTGTTCCACCTCACAATTCTCAATCAGAATTCAAATACCTGCTCATAGCTAATACCTGTAAAGGACCCCACTCCCTGCCATTTCTCAGATACTCAGGAAAACCAAACTGCAAGAACCTATGAAAAGAGAGTGAGCTTATTCAAGGTTTTTAGATCCATTCCAATTTTCATTAGGCCTGCTGCCACATTTTTATTAGGCTCACCTTGATTACGTCTCAATCCTACCCCAGGTGAATGCAATACAGCACCATTGGCATGTTTATAACCAGAAAGGAGAAAACACCAGGAAATGAAATTTGGGGTACAATTCTCTACTAGTAAAGCCCCTAAGAAAAATGATCCAACACTTTAATGTGTTTCTAATTACTAATTTCTGTGAGTTATTGAAATCAGGGATTCTCACAATGGGAGAGCTTGGCTATTGCCTGAGGAATTGCAGCAAAGCAGAGAGCACAGAGCCACTTTGCACAGGAAGAGGAAATTATAAAGGTGGCAGAATGAACTCACTGCCTCATAGGGAAGAGAAACCTTTTACTGGATAATGTCTTCCAATACCTTGTTCTTTAAGTGGGCTATTATTTAAATACTGTGATTTAAAGAGACCCATTACATCAATATTTTCAGAAGGAAATATATTTCTTATGCTACAAACAAATATCATATTAATGGTATTATTACTGTGTGGAGTTTGAACTAGAATATTCACATGCAGATTACAATGAAGAACAGTGGCCCTGCTGTTTTGTGTATCCCATAACAGAGTTGCAAACTGCTGTTAGTACACATCTCTAAGGATGGTTTAGTTTTGAAATGTCCTATGACATCTTCTTTTGGCATGGAGAAAGGAACCAAATAAAGAGTCTGAGTACCACCACTCTGCTCCCTCCCTACCTATTGACTGGGGCCAACTCTAAGGCACAGCTGCACAAGGACGGAGTGTGTGTTAAAGGAAAGACCGGGCTTAGATGTCTGTGATGTACATGATTAGTGGCTGTTGTTACTTCCTCTTTCCATTCATGCAGAGTTCGCAGGTGGGAATAAGCCATGGTATCCTCTGGTGGAAACATGAGAAAGGGGCAGAGCAGATTTGATTATGGGGGCAATATGTCTACACAGTAGATGTAGAGCTAAGAGAGATGCAAAAAAGAACTCCATTTTACTCTGTATACACCCCTCTGTAGACTGGAAACTCATGTGTCCCGATTTTGAACAAATTTGTGAATATAATAGCCTCTGGTTTTGGCAGTCTGGAATGAAATAATTGGCCATCTCTCCTGAAAATCACTCTCTAGAGCTAGGCCATGAGAAAAACATAGCAAGCTAGACCAATGCCAATCGTTTTTACTCTTTTCTAAGCATGAGGAATACGTATCATCATCTATGCATCTTAGAAAATTAGAAATAACCACTATGGGTAAGAATGGTTAGGCTGGGTGCAGTGGCTCAAGCCTGTAATTCCAGCACTTTGGGAGGCCAACGTGGGTGGATCACTTGAGGTCAGGAGTTCAAGACCAGCTTGGCCAACATGGTGAAACCCTGTTTCTGCTAACAATACAAAAATTAACCGGGTGTGGTTGCGGGCACCTGTAATCCCAGTTTCTTGGGAGGCTGAGGCAGGAGAATAGCTTGAACCCAGGAGGTGGAGGTTGCAGTGAGCTGAGATCATGCCACTACACTTTAGCACTCTAGCCTAGGCGACACAGTAAGACTCTGTCTCCAAAAAAAAAAAGTGGACTCCATAAGACTCCACAGTTCTGATCCTCCCACCTCTCTGGCCTCCGTCCATTCTCCTTCTCACTCACTCTCCTCTCTGCTCCTCCAGCTTCCCAAGCATCTTGCTCCCTTAGCCTTCTCCGACCACTTTGTAGAAAACAGCATGCTTGCCCAGCCCCTTAGCCCAGCTTGATATTTCTTCCTGGTCATTATCATGGCCTGATATTTACTCTTTACTTGTTTATTGTCTATCTCTTTTCACAAACATAAACTCTATGAGAACAGGGACTTTGTTTTCTTTCCTAGCACCAGGACCAGTCCCTTGAAAATATTCAACAAATCAACATTTATTTGATCAAGTGAAATAATAGTTATAAACCACTTTCCTAAACATGCATGTCTCTTCTTGTCCCTTTTTTTTTTTTTTGGCTTTTTCACTTTTTCTTTTATCTCTTTTCCTTCTCAAAGACAAAACATTAATGCACAGAGTAACCCAGAATGGGAAGTCTTTGTAAATGCTTTTACTAGACTCTATTAGAGGTGGCTGGCTGCCTAGTGATTTTCTTCATCTCTTAAAACACTGAACGATTAGCCCCATGTGGTGGCGTGGGCCTGTAGTTCCAGATACTTGGGAGGCCGAGGTGGAAGGATTGCTTGAGCCCCGGAGGTTGAGGCTGCAGTGACCTGTTTGCACCCCTGCACTCTAGCCTGGGTGACAAAGCAAGACCCTGTCTCAAAAAACAAACAAACAAACAAAAAACCCCCAAAACCATTGAATGTTAAAATCTATGTCTTTTTGTAAGTTTAGTATTTATTTTTATAAATTTGAGAATAATTCTGGTTACACAGGGGTGATTTCATTATTTAATGAACACTTATGTTTCCTGTTACTGATGTTTAAACTCGATGATAAAAAAACTTTTTAAAATTTGTATTTTAAAATTAGCCTGAAAAAATATACTTTGCCTCAAGTGTAATTGTTATGAATAAAGGTATAGGGGTAAGAAAATGGATTTTTATTTTCCAAATTCATTATTTTGAATTAACCCATGAAAATTTTCACATACAAGAAAATCTGGTGGATAGGAGAATAAAATAAGCCATCTTCAAGTTCTGTACAGAATATGAACTTCATTATTTGTCTTCTGTCATCACGGTATAAAACAGCTTATCTGGGCACTGGGGTGTTCCTCCTACCAGTCTCACTGCTAAATTGTTTTATTTATGATCATTATTTTCCTTCTGCCTTCCTTTGGGAGAAGAGAATACAAAAATTAAAATTTATAAATTCAAAACATCCACATCTTAAAGAAAATATGTCTAATATTTTCCTTGAGTGAAAAAAGAGGGATGGCCATATTTTGCTTTCTTTTCTTTGCAATGAAAGTTGAAACAGTGATTTTGTGTTATTATAACACTCATCATTTCTCCCTCTAATTTGGATGGTTTTTAATAAAGCTCCATTGATTCCACTGAAAGGAATTCCTCCTGGCAAAAGCAGAACACACACACTGATTGCTAAATATGCAGCAATTATCATATTCAGCAGCACACTTTAATATCTTATTTATAGATGTATCTATCTATAATTTGCTTTAATTAAGTTGCATTGATTTTAATGACAGGAATGATTCGCAGAGAAGGGGCTGGTGTCATATGCTCCTATGAGTCCTGGTCTATCACACTTTTTAAAGATGTGGTCTGATGCCTTAGTGATCTTCCTTAGGCTCCAGGCAAACTCATCCTAACTTAGCGAAGTTTAAGGGAAATTTCCAGTGTGTTGGCACCTCAGATTTTGCCCTCCTGATCACAGGATGGTGTGAATTAATATGTAGCTTTGTGGAATGAGAGTGGCAACCAAATTTCAAAATAGTTTCATTGTGTATAATTGCATCACTAGCCAAATGTTGCACTATTAATTTAGACAACTGCCCTATGTAAGGTGTGGCTTGTAACAGTGTTTTGCCACTCCAGCAACTCTGAACCATTTCCCCCCCAAGCACTGCCAATAACAATAGTTGGCTTTGAGAAGGATATTGGGGCTTGAGCTATTTTAAAATTCTTGATTATTTTCCACACCCCTTCTGGAGTAAGTCTGAGAAAACTGAAACAAAGAACTTATAACAGTTTTGCCTTTTATGACACCTGTGTTCAAAAATGATGGGACTAGGTGACTAAACATAACACAAAGAAACATGACAATATCAAGTATATTTTTAAAGCCTCTAAAATATGACTCATCATGACCAGAAACAATTTCTCTTCGTTTTTTAACGGATGAAGAAGTAAGCACTGCTTCTATGAATCTTTGCACCTCAGAAGGTGTCAACATTAATTTTGTATAAATTATCCATGTTCGAATGCCAAGGCATGATCACAAAGGAACACTCAGAAGACAGTTATGCCAGCGCATTCGCAGATTCTGGTCACCATTTTTCACTCACTGATTATTGCTACAAGTGTTGATTAATAGCGGTGTTCACGCTGCTAGAATGCATTTCCCTGGAGGTGAAGAAAACATTCAAGGAAAAAAAAAACAGAAAGAAGGAAAGATAATAAATAATCAACCCATCCTTCCACTTCTCTGTAATAACTCTGCGGAGAGCGTGCAAATCATGGTTCCTGATGATCTGTTAGCAGCTTCTGAACCATTTCACTAAAAAGATCATCCATATGCATCAGATCACCAATTTGTCAATCAGTTTATAAGGCAATTAAATGTTCCCTAATCTCCTCCCTCTCTCTTTGGAAGACGATAAAATGATATAAGCAGCAGGGGTCTGAGAGTGGTGTTAGGACATTTCATATCCAGTCTCTCTCCTGTGTCTCGGTGCCCTGTCTGAATGCTACATAAAGCTTCAATGACAATAACATGCAAGACTGGAATTTACCAAGGCTGATTAGCTTAGTACTTATTTTTCTCTCAGCAGTAATGCCATCCCTCTTATCCATGGAGGGAAACTAATGAATTGGATTTAGAGAGCAAGAACATTTCTTAATAAATGCAATATGACAGGAGATATGAAAAATACAGATGAGAATACAGCAGGGGAAGGCTTGCATGCCCAGGCGATTCTTCTTTAGACTGTTTAGACCTCAGCTCCAAGAGCCTCTGATCTTGCAGGCTATCAGTTTCCTTTGTCCAGCTCAATAAGATCATTTCCTGCTTCATGTTTCTCTCTCTGGGTGGCTTTTCTCATCATTAATCCTATGATGTGTTTTTGTTCCTCTAACTCTTAATTGTCTCTAATGAGGAGCAGACCATCAATGGCCACATTTGCAGTTCCCCTCTTGATTTAAGTGGAAAGACTAATTAGTATAAATTATGGTGAAAAAAACCTGAGTCCCTTCCATACGTTGGAAGAAGAAAAAGCAAGTGAATTTACAATATTATATCTTCTTGCAGAGAGTATGCACTTCAGTTCTTCCACAGCAATCACGTTTAGGCTCTTGTTGGCTTTTCCATAAAGTCTTTTGCAAAGGTCACAGTCTACATACAGATATTGAAATCTTACCTTTCAGATCACAACCCCTCTCCTTTGACATCTCATCTTTCACTCACCTCCCACTCTGGCATTTTCTAATGGTCCTGCACTACATAATTCCTTTACAACAATTCTTATCCAGGTGGGTCATGCCTCTAGAGTCATCGTTTCTTTCTTCCCCATTTCATCTTCTTGAATCGTCCAGCATGAGTATCTGTGTGGCCAATCCAGGAAGATATTTTTCATTGCTTTAGTCCTCAGTGGAAGCATGTGCAACACTTTGTAGGGGATTATGAAAGAAAGGAATCCAAGTTAGCTCTTACCCTGCTAACCACACACACGCCAGAGACATTTTGCCCCTCTCTGAATCTCGGATTCTCTAGCTCCTCAGGATGGAAGGGTGTTACCCGAAGAGGGCAAATCTCTGGCAGTTGTAGTAATAGATTCTGAACCCTTAGCTATTGTACTAACCAGAGCACGCTGTATTCTGGAAGAAAGCAGACAAAGCAGAAAAGGAGAAAATAAAAACAAAAAGACAATAACGAATCAACAAACATTTAAATTATTTTCCAGCAACCATAAAACCCTTATTTTTGCTACAATTGAACTGACTACAAAGTGGCATTACATGTAAATTACATCAACATCCTTATGATGTTGGCATCTACTCCTCACCTAAAAGTCCTCAAGTCTTGTTTAACCCTGTTGTGGGTGGTAGTGGGTAGCAAAAGACAGGTCTCAAGCATATTAGGATAATACGTTTTCTCCAAACTTCACTAGAAACATAAATGTGGCGGAGAGAACTTTTGGTTTACTATTTCACGAGTTGCAGCTGTAAGGTTAGATGTGCATATTATTTCCTTTCCACATGCTCCTGTGTGCCACTCTTTTGCATCTTGTGGTGGGAATGTGCATACCCTACGGATAGCATTTCTTACTCTTCACAGCATTGTTGGGTGGCACCTTTCTTTGCCTGCCTATACCAAGGTGGCAGTTGGTATAGTTTCTCTATGATCTGTTATGATTTTTCGTTCATGCTACCAGATGGAGACCAGGTGGGTAATTGCTCTAAGTCCACACCAGAGCCCACGGGCATGGACCTGTCAGTGAGCTGACTCTAAAAAGGCGCTTCAAAGAAATACTTCTCAAAACTGTATGCATCTGTTCTCTACTCAAATGAACCTTAAAAAATGAAAAAAGAAAACCCTCGTAGATCAGCTTTTCTTTAAGTAGATATTACATCCATAAGAAAAAGGGAAAATAACCAGCAGATAACCAGATAGTGGCTTGTGGATGTCAAACTCATTTCTACCTAATGGCATGTCCAAAAAGCTACTAACTCAAACAGCCGTGTCAGTAAAGAAAGTGAAGTATAATCAATCAATAGGTTTCTTTTTGGTGATAGCCTCACAATGTAGAGTCTCAATTCCCAAAGGGCAGCTTTTACGTAACGTTTTCTGAAGTTAAAAAGGAAAAAAAGTAAGCAAAGAAAAAAAAATCTAAGAGCTCTGAAAGGCCTAGTGATTCCTACAGAAGAACACAGAGTACAGAAAAAAAATGAGTGAAATGGTGGCAAAGACCTGCTGTAAGATCTCTTCCCTAATCTGTTTCTCTTAAACTGATGACTTGGTTGTCACACCCGACAAATTACATTTTAAAAAATATCCTGATGGATCATCTGGTTGTTTCAAGTGTGTATTTCAGCAGTTCATTATGAAAGTTTATTTTCTAAATTAACTACAAATAAAGTGGGATCTTCTAACCATTTTCTCACACAATGCTGTCAGCTATTTTCTTTCAGCAGACATCAAAGCAGATCCCCAGTCCATGCCAAGCTCTTTTCCTGGAGAAGTTCTGATAAACAGTTATGTGTTCCCTTAGGTTACTATGGAAACACTTTCTTTTCAGGTCATCCACTTACAAAGGTAACATTTGCATTAAAATATGTTGGAAGTTAATTTTTTTTTTTAATGCTCAAGTAGGGTCATGCCACCATAGCCATATCCATTATTTCAAAATTCATAAACATAGATTGACTTAATCTACAAAAATACTTAAATGAGGTACTCACCCTATAGGCATAATTGCCAGCATGTTAGGTAGCCACTTGGAACATTGTCAAAGAAAGACACCAAAAGAGATGTTAGCAATGACCTATTTGCTGGCATTCCTCGTTAGGCTAGCTTGTTGAGTATTTAAGATTGTGTTGGCCAGGCACGGTGGCTCACGCCTGTAATCACAGCACTTTGGGAGGCTGAGGTGGGCTGATCACGAGGTCAAGAGATTGAGACCATCCTGGCCAACATGGTCAAACCCTGTCTCTACTAAAAATACAAAAATTAGCTGGGTGTGGTGGCACATGTCTGTAATCCCAACTACTTGGGAGGCTGAGGCAGAAGAATCGCTTGAACCTGGGAGGTAGAGGTAGCAGTGAGCAGAGACTGTGCCACTGCACTCCAGCCTGGCAACAGAGCAAGACTCTGTTTCAAAAAAAAAAAAAAGATTGTGTCATGTCTGACACGAAGAGAAGAGGCTGGAGATGAGAATACAGCACAGGTCTCAATTTATATGTGCTTTCCCTTTGGAGACTCATAGATGTTTCTGCCTCAGTTACCCATCTGGGCCATCAAGAATTCAAACATTTGTTGAGGGGCAGCAAAGTACTCAGCATGAGGTTGGGCACAACGTAGGGCTCAAATGTGCATGACTTCTTAAATAAGTTGTTTGCTGGTACCAGGTAGGATGTGGTTAAGTTTTACTTCCTGGTGTAGACTGGAAGTGCTGACAGGGAGAGGGAGATGAGGCTGGAGCAGCTGGAGAAGGCTTCATGAGAGGCTACTGTGACTGTACAGATGTATGAAATGTGAGCACAACCTCTTACCAGGAAGACCAATGGGATGCTGTCTAACCTAGCTTCTGGATCACTCACATAGACCATTGGCTGCTGACTATAATAGCTGGCTGTTTGCAGGGGACTGTGGATGAGTAAGAATCCTGATGCATGATGGACCATGAGTAACTTCTCAAAAGCAGCCAATCCATCTATCCATCTCTGATGCATCATGTAGGTGTCATCAGCTAATTGAAAAATGTAGTGAGATGAGGACTAGGCTTTACAGTAGAGAGAATTGGACCTTGTATCTGGGGAAACTTCTGTGTTACTCCTAAGATGAATATGGTATGTCTTGATCCTCCTCCTTTTCCTGAGAGAGACCTAGAAACAATGCTGCCCAATTCAACAAGCATTTATCAGGTATGTACTCTCTATGATAATGGCATCATCGGATACGAAGAATGAAAGGAGGCTGCAGGGGAGGTTGAGACAGACCCTGATGAAGGTTATTGCCTTTGCCTGGCCTTACACTACTGACATAGAAACAGTAGGGGTCTAATGGTTGACCTCTGGGAGGTTTTCTATGGCAGAGGAGAACTTGAGGTAGCCACATCTTTAACTGCCCCTTGTCACTTGTCACCACAGAAAAGACTACTTAGTATGCTGTAGCCAACTGAAACTCAAACATTAGTGATTTATCATCAACCTCGAACCATAGTCCACTTATATAAAAGAAGTAAGAGCTAAGCTCTTTTCTCTTTTACTGATGTTGGTCACGTACCACAGAATTTTTATAAAAAATCCTTACTGCAGTAAAAAAAATGACTTTTTCTATTTTTTTCCCCTTGTCAAAGGCCTGGTCTACAGAAGGTCATTAGGTTGTACTGACAAGATTTGTGCTAACCCACACTCCCTGCAGTGTGTATGTGTCTGTGTTTGTGTTTCCAAATAGAGTGTTTAATTATCTGCTCCATTATCTTTCTGGAAGCCATACTTCACTGCATCAAGCATATTTAACAATAAGAAATGAATGCTATCCTGGGAACTGATTTGTTCAAGGTAACTTTCATTATAGTTACACTTGCTGTGTCTGATGATGCTTCTACACTTGTGCTATTTTATTTATACCTGCAAACCTCTCATTTGACTTCTTCACTGTCTAAAAGCCAAGTGGTATCTCAGTGACCACTTGTGTCCCCACATAGAATTTACCTGGAAAGGGGGTTTGAACATATGTGAGTACAAAAATCATTTTAAATGATTTTAAAATTACTACCCATTATTGATAAAGATTGGTCTCCTCTACTCCCTTCCACCCCCAGAGGCCATTTCTAAACAGCAAAATAAAGGCAATAAAATTGTGCTTTGGCCATTGCATACCTTAAGCGTTAACTATACAAAAATGCAATAATTACTAAAGACAAAGCACTAAGCAGAAGTGGTAATCTTGTACATTTAATTTTTTTTCATGTCAATTAATTCACCATCTTACATTATTTTCTTCACTAGAACTAAAAAAGGTAGTGGTATGGAATGTGGCATCTGCCTTGTTGTTTCCAAGTCAAAAATGAAAACGTGGCCAGGCAGTAAGTGCCATAAACAGCAGACGAGCAGTTGGAGATCAAGGTTGAGCTTGCTATCAAGTTAGAGTTGTGCTTATGTTACTGAGGCCCCAGAGCTGCTGCAGACTTTCTGGCTGGCATACTTCTGGGTATATCTGCTTACCAAAATTTTAGAAAAAGGGGCCACAAAGGCAAGTACTCTTTGTAAAACTCTACCTGGCAATACTGGAATCACCTTTGTATCTTTTGATTTTGAAGGCAAGGTTCTGTCACTACAGATATCAGGGGAGCAGTTGAGTGGGCCAGACCTGTGATAGCTGCTTACAGTGGGTAGAAGTGCACATCCACAATCCCACCACAGACACCCAGATGTGACTATGGGTACACAGAGGGACAGGGATAAAAAGATGGATCTGAGAAGAAAGAGATTAGGACAAACTGTGAAACAGAATCTATGTTCAAGATTGTCCATGACCAGTTGTCAAGCAGTTGGGTCTAGTTGAAATGGATGAGCAATGTAGTTTAGGGAATTCCAGTAGAAACTATAATCCTAGTGTTCTGGGGGTACTGGAGACAGCAGCCTCAGTGGAAGTCTGATACTGATAAGGACATGGAGCCCCAGACCCTGCGAGAAGCAAGGGCAGGGTGGGGGTGTCATGAAAATCAGAGTAAGACTGGTTCGATTCTAAGATGATTTTTGAAAAAGGATCAGATTTTCTTGCACCTTCCCGGGACTGGGTACACAACGTGGACCCATAGGCAGAATCCAAGTAATCATATCTGCTGTAGCGAAGGGGCTGGAAGGGGAGAGAGTCAGGCCCTTTGTCGAGATTCTCATTGAGCTGGACTTGTCACCAAAATGAAGGGTGAGTATTAGTTCAGTGTGAGAAAGGATAAGCCTTCGATAATGCTGGGTCTCATGTGTACTGTTCTGAACCTGCAGAGAGAATTTCCTACTGTATTATAAATATGATTCTGTTATTAGATTAGCATCCGCACAATAGACCTCAGTCTAGGAGCTAATAAAGTCATGCAACCAATACCCCTATGTTTATAGCAGGAACTTTGTTTTTTATCTTTAATAATTACAACAATGCACGTTGACAGAAAAAATTAAACCTTTTTGTGTTCATAGGTAACTGTGCATACATAACACCCAGCATTATATTGTAATTATTTTTTACATCTTCAATGTAAAAACAAAAACAAAAAAACCTCTTAATCCTCCGAATTTCTTTGGCCTTTCCAGCTTAGCCCTACTGAAGTTATGGTGACATGTGACTAGAAAACCAGCTTTGTTACTATATTTTCCAGAGACCCCACTCTTGGAGTGGTAAGGAAACCAATTTGGAAGTTTTACATACCATGTCTCTTGTTTTCAGGACCATTTAAAGGAAAATTAGGAGTTAACCATGTAGGAGGGGAAAAAAGCCCTAGTATTTTCCAGTCATACCATGAGCTAGGCATTGCTTTACTGTGTGTGAATAAGAAAGTTGCAGCTAAGAAAATAGCCTTTGTGAGGCAATAAAACTGTCCTGGTTCTTGCCATGGTTCATCACTAAGAAATCTCTTATTCTGGCGAGGTTTAAGTGTTTTGATGGGTATCAAATTCTGAATAAAAATGGCAATGTGAGCATAGACAATTTACTACTGATCTCCCAGATTCTGGCTGAAATGACCAACCGCATATAAAACAGGTGAAACTTGCACCAGTGTGAGTCATTGAGGAGTATGTATTGGAAATAGTGCCATGGGTTGGGCGGAAAGGAGGGCATGGTGCCAGCTCAAAACCAACCCTCCTGGGGAGCAGGCAGAGGAGGCTAAGCCTTTCATTAGAAGGGTGAGGCTGGAGGAGAGGTTATGAGACTGATGAGATTAACATGGGGCTTTTTGTTATGTTGGAAGTGGCAGCATTCTGAACAGCACACCTGGAAAGTCTTGGATTCTCCAAGTAGCTGTAACAGCGGAAAAAATCTAAAAGATAGAAAGTGCTCTCTCTTCTAATTAGATGGGCAATAGTATGAAGGTGAAGGGCAGACACAGCCACAGGCAATAGAGGACGAGACGGCTGGGCCAAAAAGAAGTCAGGGCATAGAAAGCTCTCCCCTTATCCAGTGATTTCAGCAAAAGCACCTGCAAAACTAAGCAGATGCAAAGTTCTCCTCCAAGTATTGTTGAGGGTTTTGGCTCCACTCCTGTCCTCTCAGCTGCTGAACTTCTAAACAGGAGGTGTAGTTAATATCAGACAGTCCTGATGTTGAGGTTTGAGGGGACTCTTCTACAAATCTTCAGATGTAAGGTGATGAGAATCAAGGAGACTTCAATCACCTCATTTAAGGTGCTTTCAAGCAAGAAAACAGCAGAAACCAACATGAAGCCATCAATAAAAAGAACACAAAAAAGGCTTGGCAAAATGAATGCAGAGACCAAAACCCTGACAAATGTAGGTAAAACATTGGAATATCGTGAATAAAGAAGCCCCTAAGATCCAGATAGAGAAAACAAGTTACTTAGAGAAAGAAAAGTTAGATAAGCCTCAGATTTCTCCTTCATCAATATTAAAAACCTAAAGATAATAGAATTTTCAGGAAAAAAACCTTGGGAAGCAGTCAAGTCATTGAGGTAAAAAAAAATTTGTTACGTACTTCAAACTTCAAACCACCAGACATCCTTATAAGAAGTATTTAGATTTATATATAAAGAATATTATCATCAGATTTTAAGGATTTAAAAATATACTGCCTATTCTTCCTGAACTAAAATTACTCAAAAAAAAAAAAAAAAAAAGGTTATCAGAGAGATGAATCAAAATAAAGAACTGAGCAATGGAGCTGTCATAGCAAGGAAGGACTGGCATTAAACACTGCATATAATCCCTAGATAGTAGGATCTATGTCACATTAAAAATATTTTAAAAATATACACCTTCTTTAGAAACACAACTGTATATTAAATACCACAGGTTAAAAAGTATAAAGGAAAGTTTTGATAACACAGTCACGTTACTTTGTTTCTTTAACATGTAAGGTACTCAAAAGATTATTTATTTTTGATGTTGACTGATAGAGAAAATAGGCTAAATAATATTTATAAAGCCAGTATGACTGAAATTACTAAAAATCATCAAAGAAAATATGGTACGACCAGCCTGGCCAAGATGGTGAAACCCCGTCTCTATTAAAAAGACAAAAATTAGTTGGGCATGGTGGTGGGCGCCTGTAATCCCAGCTACTCAGGAGGCCGAGGCAAAGAATTGCTAGAACCTGGGAGGCGGAGGTTGCAGTGAGCCGAGATTGCACCACTGCACTGCATCCTGGGCAACAGAGCGAGACTCCATCTCAAAAATATATATATATATAAATATATATATATATATACACACACACACACACATATAGTACACGGGGGTAAGAAAACAGAAAAGGGTATATAAAACAGGAAGCCTAAAACAAGATGACAGAAAGGACAAGAATCCCAGTTATCATAACAGATAGAAATGAGTTAAACATTTCTTTGGAAGAAAAAGCCTCAGAATGAATCAAATGGCACAATTCAACTTTTATAATAAGTGATAGACCTAAGAAAAAAGGGATACTGAAAGCCCTCAGAACCAAACAGTATATGGGAATTTTAACCTAATATCTGTGTTTAACAGATAAAAAGTGACAAATAAGTATTTACAATATCAAAAACAATATAATTAATAAGATTGTTTTACCATATTTTCTCAATAGTAAGAAACACATTTCTCATACCTAAATATTTGTAAAATTGAAATGTCTTTTAATGGAAAAGTTTACATTTAATATGATGGTTTCCTCTTTTTTGTTCTCCTCTTGAAAAGCTGTTAGTAAAAATTTATTGTGTGTATAATAATCGGTGCTGACTCATATTTAAGGAAATATGGTATGCATATATTTATCATCTACTAGTGTGCCAGTACCACAAGCCAAGATATTTTTGTCTGTTGTGCTCTTTGCTATCCTCCAGCACCTTCATGGTGCCTGGAATTATAATACTATAGGAACTCAGTAAGTATTTATTAGAGAATACATATTTACAGAAAAATCATTATTTTGATTTTAATTAATTTAATTTTTTTTAACGACAATAGTTACCATATATTATGCCAACTTTTAATAAATGCCACCAGGCAAAAATGGGAGACGTCGCTGTCCTTGACTACAGAGCTTAAAACCATACATTAATAATAAAAACTTAAATAAAAAACCTAATTCCTTGATTTAAAGATCATATAAATCATTCTTGATCAAAGGAAAAATAAAGTCTTTAATATTTTAGAATACTTAGAAAAAAAAAGAACATTAGCTTATTATCACTTCCAGAAGTATACCTAAACTAAGTTCAAAAGCAAAATTAAATAGCTGAATAATTCAAAAAATAGGTTTCATTTGTTTTTAAGGAAACAATAATTAAGTAAAAATAAATGTAAAAATAATGAAGTAAAAATAAATGAAAACAAAAAATAATTATTAAATATATTATTTGGTAAAGATAAAATACACTAAAAACTTAAAAATCTCAAAGAGATATAATTTTACAGAAAAGGCAGATTTCCAAAATTCAGTAAAGGAAAAAAATAATCTCCTTTTCCAAATATCTGTATCTATCAGAAAAGCTGAAAAAGGTGTCAAAGAATTACCCAGGAAAGAGGATCAAGTTAGATATTTTTATGGATGAGTTATTTAAAATCTTTACAAAGAGATAATTCCTACATTATAGACATTGTTACAAAGCATAGAAACAGATGAAAAGCTAGCCAGATCATTTGGCAAAGGTAATGTAACCCTTCTGTATAAAACAGCTAAAGTTAGAAACAAACAAACAAAAAAACAAACGTACTTATCAATTTCACTTACAAATAAGATACAAAATCACAAATGAAATATTAGCAATCCATGCCCAGGTCTCTCTAAAGGACAAAACAGACAGCATGTAAGTGTAGACTTATTTTTTCAGAACTGCAAGGGCTATTCAACATTAGAGTCTATTCATATGAACTCTCACATTAATAGAAAAAGAAAAAAAATCATATAATCATCTTGATAGATGTTTAAATGGTATGTGAAAAAACTAGTCAATATCCCAGGTTTGTTTACACAAAAATAAAAGTCCTTAAGCTCTAAGGTATCACAAAGTTAAAGAGTCTATTGACGAAGTTAGAAAAAAAACCCTGAATGAAATTTGACAGTAAAGGCTTAATATTCTTTCCACATCAAGAACTTTAACAAGTTAGGAGTGACAGAGGCAAACATTGTAATAGAAAAAATAAAAAATTCATAAAAAGAAGAAATATACATGGCCAATAAACCTATGAAATGTTTATTCTCAGTTGTAATTAAGAAATGAAAACAACATAATTGATATTTGCCATCAAATTGGTAATACTAGGAAAAATACAAACACTCAATTTTAATAGGGTTGCTCTAAAAGCTGTATAAAACAGACCATTAGTATTTGTTCAGTGTATTAATGAATATGCTGCTGGCAAGAATATAAACTTAACAACTTTCATAGGAAAGATGAGTAATATGTGCCAAATTTTAAATAAATTTCATCGCCTCATACTAGATAATTAGTATCTTATATTGATTTATGATAAAGAACTAATAATACAAATGCTTATTTGTAAGGCTAATTGCTATTTCATTACTTATGATAAGAAACAATGAATACAACTTAAACGTCCAATAATGGTAAAGTGATTAACCAATTACTTAATATCCTTTCTAGAAAATACTATGCATTAAACATTAAATTCACAGTTTTGAAGATTGTTTAATGTCATGAGAAATTTTCAAAATATAACAAAGTAAAAAAATATGACTTAAATATAGTATATTCAGAAGGTTCCCAATTTAATTACTACATGTTATGCATATGTGTGTGTGTGTGTATAGAAAGAAAATACTCCAAAGCATAAACAGTGTTCATTTCTTGGGTGGTCAGATAATGAATAATTTACATTTTCATTTTAACACTTTTACCAATTACCTAAGCATTTTAGAGCATGTATTAATTTATGATAAAAACTTGTTGTCTTCCAGGCCTAAGCCTCCAGCCACCCCCGGCCCGAGCTATTGAGCCAGTAGCAACTCGGCAACTCCCTGGACAGAGAGCCTCCAGGAGCAACTGAAAGCCTCTCTGCCACTGCCTCTGCAGTGGAACCACCCTTGCTACCCTTAGACTGATGAAGGAGCAAAGAACCCAAGTGCTTTATCACACCTCCAACAAGCTGTAGTCGACCCAAGGAGAGGAGGACAGTCCATCTCCCATGTTTCCCACATATCCACCACTACTTATCACCAGACAAGGAATCCCTGGCTTGGGCTTGCAGCACAGACCCTCCCCATCCTGGGCTGATTGCACTGAGGGATTACTGACCTGCATCTCTCTGGAGCAGAGGCTTCGGGACACAAACAAACAAAAGACCCTTGGCCACAATCACTACTAAGGTCCCTTCCTTTTTTGCCTCTAAGTTAGGGGAGGAACAAAAACACTGAGATCTCTCCAGAGCAGCAGTGGGCAGTCCAGGAGTGCCAAGCCATTATCTACAGCCAGCACTGAAAGGGGAGAGAACCCAAACTTTCAGAGCATTGAGAGGGAACATAGCTGCAATGATGAGGAAACACAGGGGAAGCCACAAAACCAAGCAAGAGTCTACCAACTGACTAATAAGCCTAAGTGCCACCTACTGGATCACACCCCAAAGCTTCAACACCAAAAATGCCCTGCTAACATACCCACCTCTGAAACCAGAGATAAGAAGTCAGCTTCAAATAAAGACCCTGCACAAAGCCTTAGTCCAGTGAAAACATCCAGAAAAGAAGTCTACTGACTGTACTCAATCTACACTGCAGTAAATGGAACACCCACATGTAAAGATAAGAAAGAAGCAACAAAAGAACTCCAGTAACTCAAATGGCCAGAGTACCATATGTCCTCCAAACAACCTCATCAGCTCTCTAACAAGAGTTCTTAACCAGGTTGAATTGGCTAGAATGACACAAATAGAATTCAGAATATGGATAGGAATGAAGATCATCGAGATTCAGTAGGATGGCAATACCCAATTCAAGGAATGTAAGAATCACAACAAAGTGATAGAGGAGCTGAAGGATGAAATAGCCAGTCCAAAAAAAGAACATAATGGGTCTGACAGAGCTGAATAACACAATACAAGAATTTCACAATGCAATCACAAGTATTAACAGCAGAATAAACAAAGATCAGGAAAGAATCTCAGAGCTTGAAGACTGATTCTTGAAATAAGACAGTCAGACAAAAGTAGAGAAAAAACAATTTAAAAAATGAACAAAACCTCTGGAAAGTATGGGATTATGAAAAGAGACCAAATCAGTTATCCCTGAAAGGGAGGGGGAGAAAGCAAACAACTTGGAAAACGTATTTCAGGATATTGTCCATGAAAACTTCCCCAACCTTGCTAGACAGGCCAACGGTCAAACTCAGGAAATACAGATAACTCCTGCAAGATTCTACATAAGAAAATCATCCCCAAGACACACAATCATCAGATTTTCCAAGGTTGAAATGAAAGAAAGAATGTTAAAAGCAGCTAGAGAGAAAGGACAGGTCACCCACAAAGGGAACACCATCGAGGCTAATGGCAGACCTCTCGGCTGAAATCCTACAAGCCAGAAGAGTTTGGCAGCCTATATTCAAGTGTCTGAAAGAAAAAAATCTTCAACCAAGAATTTTATATCCAGCTAAACTAAACTAAGGTTCCTAAGCAAAGGAGAAATAAGATCCTTTTCAGATAAGCAAACGTTGAGGGAATTCACTACGACCAGACCTGCCTTACAAGAAATCTTGAAAGAAGCTTTAAATATAGAAAGGGAAGACTGCTACCAGCTAACACAAAAACACACTTAAACATACAGACCAGTGTCACTATAAAGCAACCCCACAAACAAGCCAACATAATAACCAGCTAAAACATGATGACAGG
This sequence comes from Homo sapiens, assembly GCF_000001405.40. Lineage (NCBI taxonomy): Eukaryota > Metazoa > Chordata > Mammalia > Primates > Hominidae > Homo > Homo sapiens. Next base: position 205,518,612 of record NC_000002.12, on the reverse strand, counting down.
ATCAAATCCACACATATCAATATTAACCTTGAATGTAAACAGGCTAAATGCCTCACTTAAAAAGGCACAGAATGGTAAGCTGTATAAAAAAGTAAGACCGAATGACAGCTGTCTTCAAGAGACCCATTTCACATGAAATGACACCTGTAGGCTCAAAATAAAGGGACAGAGGAAAATCTACCAAGCAAATAGAAAACAGAAAACAGTAGAGGCTGCAATCCTAATTTAACACAAAACAGACTTCAAACCAACAAAGATCAAAAAGATAAGATAAAGACGGGCATTACATAATGGTAAAGGGTTCAATTCAACAAGGCCTAACTATCCTAAATATATATAAACCCAGTACAGTAGCAGCCAGATTCATAAAGCAAGTTCTTAGAGACCTACAAAGACACATAGACTCCCACACAATAATAGTAGGAGACTCCTACACTCCACTGACATTATTAGATCATCGAGGCAGAAAATTTACAAAGATATTCAGGACCTGAACTCAACACTGGACCAAATGGAACTGACAGGGCTCTATACAACTCTCCACCCAAAAACAACAGAATATACATTCATCTCATCACCACATGGCACATACTGTAAAACTGTCCACATAATGGGATATGAATCAATCCTCAGCAAATGCAAAACAACCAAAATCATAACAAACACACTCTCAGACCACAGCGCAATAAAAATACAACTCAAGACTAAGACATCACTCAAAAACTTGCAATTAGATGGATATTAAACAACATGCTCCTGAGTGACTTCTTGGCAAATAATGAAGTTAAGGCAGAAATCAAAAAGTTCTTTAAAACTAATGAGAACAAAACACAACATACCAGAATCTCTGGAACACAGCTAAGGCAGTGTTAAAAGGGAAATTCACAGCAATAACTGCTCACATCCAAAAGTCAGAAAGATCTCAAATTAACAAACTAACAAACATCACAACTGAAAGAATCAGAGAAGCAAGAACGAATCAACCCCAAAGCTAGCAGAAGATAAGAAATAACAAAAATCAGAGCTGACATGAAGGAAATTGAGACATGAAAAACCAGTCACAAGATCAATGATTCCAGAAGTTGTTTTTTTGAAAAAAATTAGTAAGATAGATAGGCTGGTAGCTAGACTAATAAAGAAGAAAAAGGAGAAGATCCAAATAAACACAATTACAAATGATGAAGGTAATATTAGCACTGACCCCACAGAAATAAAAATAACCATCAGAAGCTACTATGAACACCTCTATGTACACAAACTAGAAAACCTAGAAGAGATGGGTAGATTCCTGGACACATATACCCTCTCAAGAGAAACTCCTCCCCACCTCATTCTATGAGGCTGGCATCATTCTGATACTAAAACTAGGCAGAGACACAACAACAACAAAGCTTAAAGCCAATATCCTTGATGAACACTGATGCAAAAATCCTCAACAAAATACTTGCAAACAGAACCCAGCAGCACATCAAAAAGCTTATCCATCATTATCAAGTAGGCTTCATCCTTGAGATGCAAGGTTGATTCGACGTATGAAAATCAATAAATGTGATTCATCACATAAACAGAACTAAAGACAAAAACCACATGATTATCTCAATAGACGCAGAAAAGGTTTATGATAAAATTCAGTACCCCTTCATGTTAAAAACTCTCAATAAACTAGGTACTGAAGGAATATACCTCAAAATAATAAGAGCCATCTATGACAAACATACAACCAATATTATACTAAATGGGCAAAAACTGGAAGCATTTCTCTTGAAATCTGTCACAAGACAAGAATGCTCTCTCTCACCACTCCTGATCAACAGAGTATTGGAAGTCCCAGCCAGAGCAATCAAGCAAAAGAAAGAAAGAAAGGGCATCCAAATAGAGAGGAAGTCAAACTATCTCTGTTTGCAGACGATATGATTTTATACCTAGAGAACCCTATAGTCTCAACCCAAAAGCTCCTTCAGCTGATAAACTGCAGCAAAGTTTCAGGATACAAAATCAGGGTACAAAAATCACTAGCATTCCTTTATGCCAACAACAGCTAAGATGAGAGCCAAATCAGAAAGGCAATCCCATTCACAACTGCCACCAAAAGAATAAAATACCTAGAAATACAGCTAACCAGGGAGGTGAAAGATCTCTACAATGAGAATTACAAAACAGATTACAATTACAATTACAAAGGAATCAGAGATGACACAAACAAATGGAAAAACATTCCATGCTCATGAATAGGAAGAATCAGTATCATTAAAATGGCCATACTGGCCAAAGCAATTTACAGATCCATATGGAATTTACAGATCCATTTTACCATTCATATGGAACCAAAAAGAGACCAAATAGCAAAGGCAATCATAAGCAAAAATAACAAAGCAGGAGGTATCATGTTACCTAACTTCAAACTATACTACAGGGCCATGGTAACCAAAACAGCATGGTACTGGTACAAAACCAGGCACACAGACCAATGGAACAGAAGAGAGAGCCCAGAAATAAGGGTGCACACCTATGACCACCTGATCTTTCATAAAGCTGACAAAAACGAGCAATGGAGAAAAGACTCCCTCTTCAATAAATGGTGCTGGGATAACTAGCTAGCCATATGCAGAAGACTGAAGCCAGACCCCTTCCTTATATACAAAAATCATCAACTCAAAATGGATTAAAGACTTAAATGTAAAACCCAAAACTACAAAAACCCTGGAGGACAACCCAGGCAATACCATCCTGGACATAGGAACAGTCAAAGGTTTCATGACAAAGACAGCAAAAGCAATCACAACGAAAGCAAAAATTGACAAATGAGATCTAAATAAACTTAAGAGCTTCTGCACAGCAAAAGAAGCTATCAACAGAGTAAACATACAACCTACAGAATGGGAGAAAATATTTGCAAACTATGCATCTGACAAATGTTTAATATCCAGCATCTATAAGGAACTTACTTAAATTTACAAGAGAAAAACAACCCCATTAAAAAGGACATGAATAGATACTTTTCAAAAAAAGACATACATGCAGCCAACAAGCACATTAAAAAAAACTCAATATCGCGATACCATCTCACACCCATCAGAATGGCTATTATTAAAAAATAAAAAAGTAATAGATGCTGGCAAAGTTGTGGAGAAAAGGGAACACTCATACACTGTTGGTGAGAGTGTAAATTAGTTCAACCATTGTGGAAAGCAGTATGGTGATTTCTCAAGAAGCTAAAAGCAGAACCACCATTTCAAACAACAATCTCATTACTGGGTATATACCCAAAGGAATAGAAATCATTCTACCATAAAGACACATGCACGCAAATGTTTATTGCAGCACTATTCACAATAGTAAAGACATGGAATCAACCTAAATCTCCACCAATAACAGATTGGATAAAGATAACGTGGCACATATACAGCATGGAATACTATGCAGCCGTAAAAAAGAATGAGATCATGTCTTTTGTGCAAACAAACATGGATGGAGCTGGAGGCCATTACCCTCAACAAACTAATGCAGGAACAGAAAACCAAGTACTGTATGTTCTCACTTAAAAGTGGGAGCTAAATGATGAGCACTTAGGAAAACAAAGAAAGAAACAACAGACACTGGGGTCTATTTGAGGGTGGAAGGTCGGGGGAGGGAGAGGAGCAGAAAAGGTAACTGTTGGGTACTGGGCTTAACTCCTGGGTGATGAAATAATCTGTCCAACAAACCCCCGTGACATGAGTTTACCTATGTAACAAACCTTCGCATGTACCCTCAAACCTTAAAGTAAAAAAAAAAAAAAAGAACTGTAAGAAAAATAATAAAAACATAAAAACTTGTTAAATATAAAATAAAAGAAGTAATTTTCAGGAGAATAAAGAAAGCCTGGAGTATGCCAAGTATATCCACATATTTCTGGCTGTAGTTGTAACTTCTTGCAATATGTTTATTTAAGAGTTTCATAAATCATTGACTATTAAACTAAAATTCATTTAAATATATGCAAATTGTGTCTGTATCTATCTTTATATTTCTATCCATATGTATCTATCTGTATTGATATGTAGATATAAACAAGAAAAGCAAACTATGTGCCATTCATTATGTGTTTCAGATAAGATTTATTAATAATGTTTATTTAAAAATGTCTTTTTTAGTTCCTAATGTGAAATAGCACCATGTGGGTTCTTATAAGTGAAACAGTAAATAAGCAGATATGAAACTTAAATTCTAAACCAGAGTTTTTCAGCCTCCTAAAATCATAACTCATAGGAAGACTTATAATTTACATCATGACCAAACGTAAGTGTGTGTGTTCCTGCATTGGATGTGAAACAAAAACTGTACCAATACCCACCTTGACTACCTGCTATGCCCTTTGATATATCCTATGCAAAATCATTTAGAAATGATAAGAGTGACCAACTAATTGATGGTATTATCATCTAATAAGTTGTGACACACAGTTGTTAGAAAATCTACTCTCTCGGGCTGATCTTGGTTGGTAATTGGGACAGTGTGATGCAGAAATGCTCAGATCCTCAAAAGGAGAGGTTGGGCATAAAGAAAAGTATCATCATGAAACATATGATAAAAGCCACTTTACATTTGTTTTGAAATTACAAAGGGCAATTGTTTAGATTTAGTAGCTTACTTTGGAGGCGGACAGACAGCCCTAAATGCAGACAAAAGGGAAGACTGAACACACAAGGGAAAACTTCACAGGGATAAAAGCAAATCTATCTCGTTAATTCTTGGTTAGTCTCTCTTTCCTATGCATTCGCTTATCAATTTATTCCTGCATAACTACTCCTAAATATCTCATTATATTTGAAATTATGTTTCCTGTCTGCCTTTCCCAGCAGACATGAACCCCTTATTCACTTTCGATTCCTCAGAGTCAAGTAAATGTCTGGCAAAAGGTTGCCACTGAGTAAAGGTCTACCACATTAATTAATAAATGAATGCATGACTAAGGAACCACACATTTTGAAATTCTGTTCTCCAATCCTGGGGCCAAAGTGACAGAACATACGTGAAAATGACTATTCTTTTCCTTAATTGATGATAGGATATTAACAGGTTTTCTTCTTATTTTGCAGATAAAATCTTTAAGAAAGCTAGGAAACTCTTAAGTTTCTAAATGGGAAGGTACTCAAATTTTCTTATGAACCAACAAAGGGGAAAATTTGAATGCTTGATAAAAAATGTCAGTTCTTTCCTGTTTGCCTGTCATCTGTTCCCCGCATCATCATGTATTTAGGGATTAGATTTTTTAACCTTATATATATATATCCATACATAGAAAGGAGAAAGCTATCCATTTTCTTAAATTGGGAAAAGGCAACATAGTTCTGGAACCACACGAAAGCCACAACCTCCTAAAGCCCATAGCGATTTGTTCTGTTTTGTTTTTTTCTGATCATCAATTCAAGTACTACTTTAAAGATTGCTTCCTGCTATCATTCACATTAATTGTGAGAGCACGATTTCCTCCTCTGAAATGAGAGTCTCTGATTCCCTTATAACCACATACACATATTGTACATTGCTGCTGAAGCACGCCTGGCAATTGAAATCTGGGAAATTACTGCAAAGGGAATTGCATAGAAAACAGGAAACTTGGTTCATACTAAAAAAAAAAAAAGAAGGAAAAAAAGTAGATGATAGATATAAAAACTTTAAAATAAATTTGCTACTGAGAAACAAGCTGTGGCTCTGCCAATTAGTGATCATGGGAAAACAAAAGAGAAAAAAGGAGGTGTCTCCACATGGTTTGGGGGTATCTAATACTATAGAGTGGGCCAGAAGGTTCATTAAAGAAAAGACACCAGGTCATGATGGGGATTGTCTTTCTCATACAACATTTCCTTCTGTTTCTGTAAAGGAGAAACTTCAAATCACACAACTTTATGCACACACACAGGCTTAAAGATACACACATACACCAAACAAGTTTTCTTTCCTTGTAGGTAAGTGTTGATGATACAACTGTCAGGCTCGATGTACATTTTCCTAGGCATTCATAAATTGCTGAGTATTCACTGAATGAAAAAAACCAACGAAGGAATGGAAAATTGCAGAAAATACGTTTCTCTCATGTGCAACTTTGACTTTGCTGCTTAGGGAATGGAGCTATGTCTGTGAGTGAGAGATGACACGGAATGATCATTTGAAGGAAGCTTCATGGAGATAAAATCTAAATACTCCACTGCTTCACAGAAGCCTTATCTGGAAAGTAGAAAAGAGACTATTTCTCAGTGGTTTATAACAGCAACATTATATTCTTTCTTCTTAGATCATTTACTAAAGTAAATGGGAAGTTTTCCTGTTAGCCTCGCTAAAATTCAGTGGTATCAACTTTTGCACTCTTTCATAAACACTCCGAAAATTTAGCACTGTGATTTCAAGGCTCAGAATGAAATACAAAGACATTAATGAGATTCACAGGAGGGCTGGAAAGTCATAGACGTTAGTATGTGTCGTTACAATCGTATTCAAAAGTGGTCATTTTTCTTGTGGAGAATGGCAATTCCAATATTACCGTAGTGATCATTCTCATTTTAGGGTTTTCTTTGATTCAAGTGTGCTTTCTGTCTTCCTTTCAGAGGTAAGCTTTCTGTGAATTTTCTTTTTCCCATCACAACACCAGACTAGTTACTACTTAATAAGAACCAAATGATGTTAAATCTCAGAACGACTCTCAGTCAAAAATTTCCTTAAACTGAAAGAACAAGATGGCCGCTGTAGTGACCTGATTGGTTGGTTATAGTCAGGAAGCTGTGTGAGGGGACATCCCAGGCCACAGGATCTGAACACAAACATGGCTTATGTGGAGTTTTAATTGTTGTCAAATTTAAGTGATACATGTGCTATAAATACCAGTTAGATAGATATTCATATCTTCGACTCCAGACATCTTCACTTTTTAATTTAGTACCCAAAGTTTATTTTAGAACATTTAAGCACTGCTAAAATAAAATGTACCCAACTGATTTTAAACAGCTTTGAGAACAGTTTAAGAAATCTGGAATTCATAGGGGTTTCTGCTATAGGTTTTCTTATGTTACATAAAATGGTCATTTCTCCCATTGCAGTAGAAGAAAAGAATGTTATTATTGTAGAAGTTGGAATTTGGGGTTTTAACCATGATCCAACACAAACGGCTGTGGTTTGGGGGAAGTTAACCTATTCTAAACTCGACATCCTGGACTGGAATTAATTGCTCATTAAAAGCAGAAAGAGTTCTTTTTTTCACTCTAATGGAAGTATAGCATAGGGTTTTTTGACATACTATGGAAAAATCATGTGTTCCTGAACTTCCTTTTTCTGCTCTTTGCTATTTAGGTTTGGGTTTGAGCCAGAGATGGGTAACTTATTTGATTACAGCATAAAAAGAATGATTTCATTTAGACTTTGAAAGAGGACTGATAAAACAACACCACACTTTGATTTTGGTTCAATATTATTGGGTTCAAAAACAAATTAAGAGGAGTGATAATTCAAGAGTAGTTCAACAAAGATAGAAGACAGTTTTCATAGTGCTTATAGATGAATATTCACACATTTTCTTTCTTTCAAACATCTTATATTAAGAAGTATCTCAACACCAGCCATAGGAGCTTTCCTTTCTCTTTTCACCGGGAGTCAGTAGAGATTTGGAAATCAGCTTTGCTAATGATTGTGTGGCCATGAGGCAAGGTCTTGGAACCTTTGTTTTCTCATCTATAAAACTGGATTAAAGATATCTACCTCACAGAGCTAGTATATGGAATAGCTTATATAAGGCAGAGTCAGCACTGAGTAAATGATGCCATTTTTATTAACGATCTGGTTGTAGTATAATTTATTGAGTAAATAATTTGTATATATTCTCTTTGTATCTCACCCTCCTATTTTAAGCGCTTAACTGGACCCTGGTATTTCTTTGCTTCAGGGTTTTTTGCAGAGCTGCAGGCAGAAGCTGCTAGAAGTCAACTTTCTTCTGGTCTTTGATTTTAGCATAAGCTCATTAAAGAGATTAGGTGTGCCCCCAGGGTCAGGGATGAAAGGAATGTACTTTTGAAGGAAAAGTATGTGTGTGGGAGAGAGGGAAATAGATATTGACCTTTGGACCAATGGAATTTGCTAAAAGTGCCTGATGACCAAGCTTGACAGTTACCACCTGAAGTGACCCTGGGCATCTCAGTGGTAACCAGAGGGAGCAGGATGTGAAGGCCACCCTCAAGGCTTTGTGTGCTATATAATGTCCAAGGGCTCTGGAATAACCGAAGAGGCTAAGGAGCTCCAATAATAACTAAGATAGAAGGGTTGTCTGGCCAATTGAATGTGTTATTTCAAAACTTGATATGTGTACCATTTAAAAATTCTTGTTTATTGACACTTCCTACATGTTTAGACACTATTCTAAGTACTTTACATGTAATCATGTGTGTGTCATAGTACTTCAAGGAGACAGTACTATTCTCTCACTTTTAAAGGAGACAGGTAAAATAAATTGCCCAAATTTACCTAGTGAGTAATGGGTACAGCCTGGATGTGAACTCAGGCAGCCTAGCTTCAGAGTCTCCTGTGCTAAAATGCTTCCCATATCTGCTAAATTACTAGTTCTAAAACTCTGGACATCTGTGTGTTTCAAAAGACAGGATGAGTGGACAGGAGTAGTTTAGAAGAGCTATCTTATCAGGGCAGATTTTTAAGCAGAGCTGAGGCATCCTGGCCCATGTTAGTTGTAGCGACTGGCCCTTGGGCCACAGAGGGCAGACCCAGAAACAAAAGGCTTCCTTTGGAGAAAGGGCCAGTTTGCTGGAGAAATCGGATCCACTCTTGGGATCAGGTCACTGCCCACAGGCAGTGTCAGACAGGGAGCTCTGTGTAAGCTTGGGCTCCATACGTGGAAACAGAAGCGCTGGAGAATCCAGAGGCTAGTGTAGTAGCAACAGAGCATCAGGAATAGCTCTAACACTACTGTTTGGGAGTACATTCCATTAGCCCCTCTCCTGTTCCCTCCTCCTTCACTATCCCTACAACCTTTATGGATCAGATTTGTCCCCCAGAGTATTGCTGAGACTATCTGTACTGAGAATGGTAACTCTGTTGAGGGACAGGGCAGAGAAGTAACTGAATGCCTGAATGCTTTAGGGGAGGAGTGGGCTTAAGTGGGGTGCCATGATGCGGAGGTAGGGGAATTAATGGTCAGGGAATCTGGAGCAACAGACTTAAAGACCGGTAGATGGGAAGGGCCCAGAGAGTATCCCAAAAAAATGTGTCCAGAAAAGAAGGGAGGGGGTTAGATAGCTCCCTGTTTCTGCTTCAAGGTTATTGTTCTGGGATTAGCACAAGGTTACTGGATTTTAGTGGGTTTTTGTAGGCTGGTTTGGGATCCTAACAAACAATATATATATATTTTTTCCCTATGGGAAAAATCAATTCCTAGTTCTAAATTGCCAGCTTCTAAATGGACTTCTGGAACAGTTTATTTCTATGTTGGGGACTGCCTGTAAACATGTTGCTTCCTTTCAAAAATGATTTATGCTATATTTAAAGGCTAGAAATTCACTCACATGTTGTATAGTCCAGATCTTCTCCCATATAGCTTATATGTCAACAAATTCCTGTGAAAGACACACTGAAATATAAAAGGGCCAAAGCCACTAACCAAAAAAAAAAAAAAATTCAGTTTATTTTGTCCTCTTCTTTTCTCAATTTTTTTTCTTTTTGTTTTACTACTTGCTGAAATCTAAGTGAGCAAAATCTCAACTCTTCCAGTGGCATTGATGTTTCACCAGTATCAAGTTCAATAAAACTTCAGGCCTTTCTAAAACCCACGCAATGTATAGACATGGTTTTTTCTCTCTTTTTTTCTCTGCCTTGGTATTGCTTCCAATCCTCAGTTCCACTGTTTTTGGAAATCAAAAGATGTGTTGATAAAGTCAGCCACTGGGAGGGAACCATTGGGATAGAGCTCAAGAAGGTTCATCAACTGAGAAGGGATTGCCCATCGTGTGGCAGCAGCCCAACTGCAGGAGTCTATGGACACATACTTTTTTTTTTTTTTTTTTCTTGGAGAAAGGGTCTTGCTCTGTTGCCCGAGCTGGAATGCAGTGGCATGATTATGGCTCTCTGCAGCCTTGACCTCCTGGACTCAAGCAGTCCTCCTGTCTCAGCCTCTCATGTAGCTGGGACCACAGATGCATGCCACCACACCCCCATAATTTTGGTATTTTTCATAGAGAAAGGTTTGACTATGTTGCCCAGGCTGGTCTCCAACTCTTGGGCTCAAGTGATCCTCTCATCTCGGCCTCCCAAAGTGCTGAAATTACAAGCATGGGCCACCCCTCCTGGCCTGGATACAAACATTTAATGGCTCTAATTCTTTACCCCATCTCACCTTCTAAAGGTTTTAAGAACAGACTATGTGCTTGTCACAAGACAATAATCCATGAAGATATAAACAGAGCAACTCTATGTAAAGAAAGAGAGCAACTTTAGTCCTTTCAAATAATTCTACTGCTTCTCCTGGGGTGAATTGTTCCCTCCTCTTTCACTATCCCTACAACCTTTATGGATCAGATTTGTCCCCAGAGTATTGCTGAGACAATCTGTACTCAGATCGTTCTGGGGTGAATTGCTAGGTCCGAGGTGAACTAAAATGTCATTTGCCTATATAAATAAATTCCAGAGGTCTGATAATTTCTCATGAATAATTCAGTGACATCATCTGGGTTCCTGGGATAGTTCAAAGATGCTGAACCAATAGACAAAGTGAATTTTCTTTCTCCTTTTACATAACAAATAATGGCAGCAAATTTAAGTTTGATAATAGATCTATTCTTTCTAACGATAAACAGGAGAATACACAAAGGGAAGGCTTTTCTTTCTCTTTCCCTGGAAATCTAAGAAGATGAAGAAAGTTTATATCATTATTAGAACTCGAAGTTGTCGTAGACAGTTTGTAATTGTGCCTACCATCTACATTCTCTTTCCCTGTTAACAGCACCTTGATTTTCCTTTGAGGACTCTCTCTTCACCTATCCTTATTTATGGAGTCTGGGTGGACTTGACTTCACTGTCTAGTTCCAGGGGTGGTCTTGTGGCCTAGTTTTAGTCTATAAGAATATTGTGGCCGGGTGCGGTGGCTCAAGCCTGTAATCCCAGCACTTTGGGAGGCCGAGGCAGGCAGATCACGAGGTCAGGAGATCGAGACCATTCTGGCTAACACGGTGAAACCCCGTCTCTACTAAAAATACAAAAAATTAGCCGGGCGTGGTGGTGGGTGCCTGTAGTCCCAGTTACTTGGGAGGCTGAGGCAGGAGAATGCCGTGAACCCCGGAGGTGGAGCTTGCAGTGAGCAGAGATCGTGCCACTGCACTCCAGCCTGCGTGACAGAGCAAGACTCTGTCTCAAAAAAAAAAAAAAAAAAAAAAAAAAAAAAAAAAAATACTGCACCTGTCTGGCCATGAAGGTTGGTTCAGAAGTGGACACGTGATCCAGGCTGAATCAATCAGCGCTACTGAGAATTGTGCTGAACATCCACTCCAGGATGTTTCCTGATCTACAGAGAGACTATCTCCTCCTTCAGAGTTGTTGTGTTAGAGCTGCAGATGGCTGTCTTTCTACCTCAGGTAGCCCCTTGAGAATGGTGCCTGCAGAGAGAATAGCAAAGCTGACAGATGAAAAAAGAGACTCCTAATGGCCTGTCTGGAGGAGTTGGATCCAGCTTTGCCTGAAGTCAAGATATGGTTATGGACTTCTTTTAAATAAGTCAACAAAATTTCCTTTATGAATCAGGTCAGTTTGATTTAGGTCTCTGTTCTTTGGAATATAAGAGCTATTGCCTAAACCAGAATTGTTCATCAATGTACTTAGTTTTTATCAGATGCTTTTAAGGAGGAGACAAGGAAAATACATAGAAATCTCCACTCTGGTATTGGACCATTGATGGCACTTGTCCTCTTTTCTCCTGGTGTTTATGAAAAACCTTCTGATGGCTTTTATACTTCTTTGGCTATTGCACATTCCATCTTAAATCCTTTCCTTAAGATGGTTAGCATGATCTCAGCATTGTGTTTTCTCTTTCCTCCAAGTGTGGAATTCACCAGATTTGTCTCTTGTCATCCAGATCAGCGGCCAAGTACGTTTCTTCAAGTTGGCTTCTAGACCATCTTCACAACAGAATGAACAAATCTTTCAGATGTTTACATTTATTCACCCAACCATCTCATTGTTCCAACTATGATCTACCTGAGCCAACCCCTGTGCCAGAGAGATATAGCACAATTTTTGTTTTTGTTTTTGTTTTTTTTGAGACAGAGTCTCACTCTGTCACCAGGCTAGAGGGCAGTGGTGCGATCTCAGCTCACTGCAACTTCCGCCTCCCGGGTTCAAGTGATTTTCCTGCCTCAGCCTCCCAAGTAGCTGGGACTACAGGTGTGCACCACCATGCCCAGCTAATTTTTGTATTTTTAGTAAAGACAGGGTTTCACCATGTTGGCCAGGTTAGTCTCAATCTCTTGACCTCATGATCCACCTTCCTCAGCCTCCCAAAGTGCTGGGGTTACAGGCGTGAGCCACTGTGCCCGGCCAGCACCATGTTTTTAATGACAGTGGTAACAGGTATATCATGCTAGTTTAAGATGTTTTAACTCCCACTTTTTTTTCCATATATAAACAAATGTACTCCCTTCCCAACCATGTGTCTACAAACCTCTTTTATAAATAAACTTTCTTCTAATTTAGCCAAAGAATTTTTTTTTAAAAAGGTTGGGCGGGGGGATAATGATACTGCTATTCAGCTCTTGAAAAAGACAATAATAAAGGCACTAATATTTTTAGAAAACTTCAGAGGCATCTCATTGCTAAAATTATTTACAGGATATTCATGCTGCTGTTAAATAAGCAGATCAGCTTTATCTGCTAAGAAAAAAGCAGCCCGTTGTCAGAGGACTATCTTAAGTTTTACAAAAAATAAAATACCAGCAGATAACAGGTATTATGTTTTCCTCTGGCAAATATTAACACTTCACAGCTAGTATATCTTGCTTACTTAATTGGGCCTATAAAAACTCACCAGACTGTTTTACTTGCAGCCACTGAAGTTCTTTCAACTTGTTCTTTACAGCTTTTCAGAGCTAAGACGGGAAAACAGTTACACAACAGAACAGCTGAAAAGATTTTAAGGTCTCAAGTCCATATTTACAAACCTTACAGTGTGTGTGTATTCATTTATTTTATTTTATTTTATTTTTTTATTATTTAAGTTTTAGGGTACACGTGCACAGCGTGCAGGTTTGTTACATATGTATACATGTGCCATGTTCGTGTGCTGCACCCAGCAACTCGTCATTTAACATTAGGTATATCTCCTAATGCTATCCCTCCCCACTCCCCCCACCCCACAACAGGCCCCAGTGTGTCATGTTCCCCTTCCTGTGTCCATGTGTTCTCATTGTTCAATTCCCACCTACGGGTGAGAACATGCGGTGTTTGGTTTTCTGTCCTTGCGATAGTTTGCTGAGAATGATGGTTTCCAGCTTCATCCATGTCCCTACAAACGACATGAACTCATCATTTTTTATGGCTGCATAGTTTTCCATGGTGTATATGTGCCACATTTTCTTAATCCAGTCTATCATTGTTGGACATTTGGCTTGGTTCCAAGTCTTTGCTATTGTGAATAGTGCCACAATAAACATACGCGTGCATGTGTCTTTATAGCAGCATGATTTATAATCCTTTGGGTATATACCCAGTAATGGGATGGCTGGGTCAAATGGTATTTCTAGTTCTAGATCCCTGAGGAATCGCCACACTGACTTCCACAATGCTTGAACTGGTTTACAGTCCCACCAACAGTGTAAAAGTGTTCCTATTTCTCCACATCCTTTCCAGCACCTGTTGTTTCCTGACTTTTTAATGATCGCCATTCTAACTGGTGTGAGATGGCATCTCATTGTGGTTTTGATTGGCATTTCTCTGATGGCAAGTGATGATGACCATTTTTTCATGTGTCTTTTGGCTGCATAAATGTCTTCTTTTGAGAAGTGTCTGTTCATATCCTTCACCCACTTTTTGATGGGGTTGTTTTTTTCTTGTAAATGTGTTGGAGTTCATTGTAGATTCTGGATATTAGCTCTTTGTCAGATGAGTAGATTGCAAAAATTTTCTCCCATTCTGTAGGTTGCCTGTTCACTCTGATGGTAGTTTCTTTTGCTGTGCAGAAGCTCTTTAGTTTAATTAGATCCCATTTGTCAATGTTGGCTTTTGTTGCCATTGCTTTTGGTGTTTTAGACATGAAGTCCTTGCCCCTGCCTATGTCCTGAATGGTATTGCCTAGGTTTTCTTCTAGGGTTTTTATGGTTTTAGGACTAACATTTAAGTCTTTAATCCATCTTGAATTAATTTTTGTATAAGGTGTAAGGAAGGGATCCATTTTCAGCCTTCTCCATATGGCTGGCCAGTTTTCCCAGCACCATTTATTAAATAGGGAATTATTTCCCCATTTCTTGTTTTTGTTAGGTTTGTGAAAGATCAGATGGTTGTAGATATGTGGCATCGTTTCAGCCCAAAATCTTCTTAAGCTGATAGGCAACTTCAGCAAAGTCTCAGGATATAAAATCAATGTGCAAAAATCACAAGCATTCTTATACACCAATAACAGACAAACAGAGAGCCAAATCATGAGTGAACTCCCATTCACAATTGCTTCAAAGAGAATAAAATACCTAGGAATCCAACTTACAAGAGATGTGAAGGACCTCTTCAAGGAGAACTACAAACCACTGCTCAATGAAATAAAAGAGGATACAAACAAATGGAAGAACATTCCATGCTCATGGGTAGGAAGAATCAATATCGTGAAAATGGCCATACTGCCCAAGGTAATTTATAGATTCAATGCCATCCCCATCAAGCTACCAATGACTTTCTTCACAGAATTGGAAAAAAACTACTTTAAAGTTCATATGGAACCAAAAAAGAGCCCGCATTGCCAAGTCAATCCTAAGACAAAAGAACAAAGCTGGAGGCATCATGCTACCTGACTTCAAACTATACTACAAGGCTACAGTAACCAAAACAGCATGGTACTGGTACCAAAACAGAGATATAGACCAATGGAACAGAACAGAGCCCTCAGAAGTATTCATTTATTTTAAAACAAAGCGAATAAATCAGGAGATCTTTTGCAAAAGGGGAAAAAAATCCAACAAATTTGAGAATAAAAGAACAAAGTATGAAAAAAAAAAAGAACAAAGTATGTCAGCTGAGGCAACTCCCAAAATGTCTCTATAGTTTTCCTAGCACTCTGTCTCCAACTATGCACCTCCAGCAGAATGAACTACTCTCTCTCAGTACATATAGAAGCTAATACCTCTCTATACTACAGCATTTATCACATATATTATTGTTCCATTTTGTTTGGGCTTAGATCTATTCCTGGCTGGATCCTGAGTTCCTCCAAGGTGGAAGTAATGTCATATTCTTGTTATCAGCACCTGGTCTACACTAAGATTTAGCAAATATTTGTTAAAATGTAATAGGAGTCAGGGGAGAGGAGAAGGGAGGAAAAAGGGGAGAGGGGAAGAGGGAAGAGGGAAGAGAGAAGAGAGAGGGGAGAGGGGAGAGGGGAGAGGGGAGGGGATAAGGGAGAGGGGAGAGAAGACAGGCATGAAACCAAGTGAGAACCCTAGGGAGGAGTAAGAGAAAGCTTAGACTTCAGGCCACTGGGCAGGTGCAATAGTGGTAGAGAACTACATACAAGTTGGTCTGAGAAGATCTAGAAAGTCCAGGGCCAGCCAAAGAAAAAGTATTAGTCATATATATTTATATATATATTTTAAAATATTCATAGACCCTAATAAACTTTCAAGTGATTATTCTCATTATTTTGGCTTTGAAGACTTCAGTGAGCATACTTTCATTCTTGCTAGCCTATTTTGAAATGGGTTTACGAGTAGTTGTTAGGTAACTTATCTTTGTAATTTCCTTCTCCATAGTTCAGAAGTTCCCCAGTATAGAATGACTCCAGAAAACACTCATCGGGCCTTTCAACCAGAGACTCTGGACTTGGGGGAGTTCTAAGTTCATAACAATATTTCTGATGATGCTGGTCCACAGTGGTTTTGCTAGAGAAGTTGGACCGCTTTCGTGTTTACTCAAGGGATTGAAGTCAATGTCCTATTTTCAGAATTGTGGATCAGAATCCTTGATGACCACGTGGCGCATCCCTTGAGGGTCTCTCCTGGGCCCATTCTTCCCCTTCACGCGACTGTGATCTGATTTTAGCTAGTGCCCTGGTGATGATGCTAAAGACCTGCCTTTCTAGGAACCACAGTCTCATAAAAGCTGCCTTGTTGGGTCTGGCCGCTTGACAGGAATGAAATGTTAACTTTCTTAACTTGCTTTCCTAGATCTCTCCAAAAGTGGCAAGACAACAGTGTAATTTCTCAGGCCTACGCTGAACAAAAGACACTCAGGAAAGGAAACCTGCCTTAATACAAAACACTAGTGTTTTTCCTTGGCGTGGGGAGAGGAGAGGAAAGGATGCTGAGATTCTAATCCCTGGCTTGGAGTATCTCAGGCAGTCACAAAGAACACTCGTGTTTTACGGCAGTGCATTTCCCAAGCATCCCTTTGGGAAGCCTCAGACCCCGATTGTCTGGGAAACATAAAATCAGTCACTTTTGGCAGAGCTCAACACACCGGAGCATGGGAAACACAAATTAAACTAGAGATACTTCTTTACTCACTAGATGGTCTGGTTACACGTTTACTTGGCATAAAAATAGAATCATTAAAAAAGGGAGCACCCAAGGGTATAGTTATCTAGCTCAGGTTTGGTGAGGGTCAGAGGAAACTTCAAGTCTCTTGAAAGTTAAGCACCTTCATCCTTTCAGCTTGATGTAAGGAAATCATATAAAATAAGGTCAAAACAACCAGGACTACTTTGTCTAAAATTATTTGTCTTATTTTGCTCATAGGAATTCATAGAGGTTTTGAGATAGAGCACTTTTCAATGCGCTGGACACGGTGTTCTGTTTTGGGTACAGTGGAAATGACTTTCCTTTATTTTATTGCTTGTTTGGCTTATCGAGGGAGCTGAGCCTTACCTAACAAGTAGCTCACATCTCTTGTCAGAGGCAGTAAATCGATCTCGATCAAGTTTGAAACTGAGTGAATTGTTATCTAATCTGTTATTCTGTGGAAATCTTTCTCTTCTGCTACAGAGAAGCTAAGAGACAAGTTTTCCCATCACTCTAGGTGTCATTCTGTTTAATCCTAACATCTATAATAAGACCAATAAATAGCTGTTTGTTCCGATCCATAGTCTCAGGCTGCCTCTCTCCAAAGAGGCTGAAGCCACTTGGCCTTGAGATCGCCCATCTGCACTGTGCACTTCTGATTAGTGTTTTGGAACTCCATTATACAGGTGCAATCTTCTGGGCTCAGCAGTTCCGGTTGCTCTGCCCAACAGTGGTGGATCCTGAAACTGATTTTCACACCCCAGTGTAGAGATGAACGCATGACAGGCCCCCCACACAGATGTAAGAACTAGAGGGAATCAGCTCAGTCGCCAGACTCTATTCTCCCCACTCTGACCTTATGAGCATAAACCTGAGTGTGAAACTCAGGAAAGGAAACCTGCCTTAACAGATCTGCCTTTCAAAGGAGCCGGTGTCTTTCATGGGCACCGGGGATAACAGAGTCCCCTACCTGGTTCTCAGAGCAGCTCTAAAAGGCGCAGTAGAAGGCAGAAATCATTAGAGGGTGAGTGAGAACTGAACCCCAGCAAGGACACTGCTATTACCATGTTCAGCTCTGCTCTGATAATAATGCCAGTAACAAGAACTAACAATTACTGAGCACCAGCTCTATGTCAGCCACTGTTCTATGTATCTGATGTGCATGCACATTTCATGCAATTCTAAGCATCCTCTTCCTGGGCATTTTTGTAGATGCTGAAGAGTTAAGTACATCTTGTAGGCACAGACTTGCTTCTTGAAAACAAGAGAGTGAATCGTGCCACTCTGAAAAAACCCAATGAGTTTTTCTTCAGTGGTCACTGTATTCTTTTCTGTTCCCTGAATGTCAAAGGATTGAGCAAAAAGAATCCTCTAATACAAAAACTGCCCTTATCTCAAAACAAATCCATCCTAGTATGCCGGTAAGATCAGCAGAATGTGAAGTGCTCAGATCCAATAAACAAACAACTGACATCTCTGACAATAACCCTTTTGAAATTTACTTCTAATCACCATTTTCCAAAGGAGAGATGGCTTGTGTTGCAAGAATCAAAGCTCAGTGGATGGTGACAAAGATCCCTTGCCCTCTTTAAAGTAGCTAACTTCTGCTTCCCCCAAACCAGTTGGCATATAACAGGAAGTATGAGAGCAATCAGAATGAACTACTGCACGTTCACGGCGTTTGATTTCCATAAACAGCTTCTGTGGGAGAATATGCCTGTGGTTTGGGTAATGTTCCTGTCTATGAAGCCCAAGAAACCTAAATAGAATCTGGTATGTACAGAACATTCTTGACCGTGTTCTTCTGCTCTAAACATTCTTAGAAAAGATGAATTCAACGATTGAAATCATGCATGCGCTTACCCAGAGTAGGTCATACTCAGATGGCCTTGCTCTTCCTTCGTCGTCTTCATATAAAGGGAAACCTTCCCTCCGAGCCTGATAATACTCTTTCCGCAACTTCTGGATACGGTCAGTGCTTCCACCCGTAGGACGGCCACTACAGGATATAGACAAATAATCAGATTCACACAGTGTACATCATCTTTGAAATCACTTTTGGATCTTCTTGTTAAAGGAGTTGACATCTAAATTTGGAAGATTCAATAATGTAATTCAAATATGCCAGGAAAATGGTGAAATCAGTCATAAATATGAACAAAAAGTGGTCTTTACGTGCCTACCTTTAGTTCCAAGGGTCAAATGTCTGACTTGGGATGAATAAATGCCTTTTGAATGAGAAGGTAAGATAGAGTCTTTACCTTTTAGAGCAATTAAAAGGCCCACCACTTTTTTCTTATAATCACACACACAGAGTTTTGTCACATTTTAATATGGATATCTCATTTTCTCAATAAGTATTGCTAATTTGGGACAAAGCTCCAGTTGTTTGACCTGAAGGCTGGATATGAGACAGGGCTGGAATATGTTAGCATTCATTTCCATGAGGCTCATGAACTTTGGGAGTGGGGGTTGGGGATGGGATACATGTCAATATATGGGTACAGTTAGGACACGTGTAAAAAAGGTGACAGTAAAAAAACAAAACAAAACAGTAAGAAAGTTTTTTTTTTTTTTTAAGGTGGGGGAAGCTGGTGTAGAGTAGAACGTGCTAATCCAAGTTCTTCTCTCTGTACTTTAGCCAGTATTTCCTCTTATGAATTATAGCTTTTCCAGTAACTCATCTGCCCAACCCCAAACTGCTCAGCTAGCACCTCCCTTGTAGCTTAGATTAGGTTATTGTAGTTATTTTAGTGGAACCAGTATCACATGATATTATACAGGGCTAGGGAGCAAAAGAATGACAGGCAGATCTGAACAGCCATTCTACTTATCTGGTTCATTTGAGGCATAACTGAGTGCCCCATTGCACCAGACGTTAAAATCTGGGAATGGAAAAAGGAACACTTCACAGTCCTTACCTGCAAAAACAAATAGTCTGGGAGGTAGGGGACAGAGAGGGATACAGAAGACTACAGTCCATTATGACTTGTGCTCTTACAGAGATTTGCATGGGGTCATGGGAACGCAGAGTGCTTAAACTTTGACAAGGTGAGAGCAGGGCCATTGAAGAAAATCACAGAAGGCTCCATGGAGGAGGTGACACTTCAGCTGAGCCCTGAAGGATACAAAGGTGCTCAACAGCTAGACAAGTGAGAGGAGGATATTCCAGGTAGAGGGAAGGGCAGTGAGTGCAAAGTAAAGCAATGAGAAAGCATCTTGCTTTAGAGACATGCAAGTCGATCACTTTGGTTAAGCACTGGTCCTCAACTTCTTTTGTCCTGCCTTACACACATACCAGGTGTATGGTGTATGTTCCCTTTCCACTCTCATTTACAAAGCAAATTCGAATAAAAGTGAGTTCTGGTGACTTTAAAGTTCTTTTTTTTTTTTGAGATGGAGTCTTGCTCTGTAGCCCAGGCTGGAGTGCTATGGCACTATCTTGGCTCACTGCACCCTCTGCCTCCTAGGTTCAAGCAATTCTCCTGTCTCAGCCTCTCCAGTAGCTAGGACTACAGGTGCATACCACCACACCTGGCTAATTTTTGTATTTTTAGTAGAGACAGGATTTCACCACATTGATCTGGCTGGTCTTGAACTCCTGACCTCAGGTGATCCACTCGCCTCGGCCTCCCAAAGTACTGGGATTACAGGCGTGAGCCACCACGCCTGGCCTGTTTTTTTTTTTTTTTTTTTAGTCAGAGTCTTACTCTGTCACCCAGGGTAGAGTGCAGTGGTGCGATCTTGGCTCACTGCAACCTCTGCCTCCTGCGTTCAAGCGATTCTCCTGTCTCAGCATCCAAAATAGCTGAGATTACAGGCGCCTGCCACCACGCCCAGCAAATTCTTTGTGTGTGTGTGTGTGTGTGTGTGTGTGTTTAGTAGAGACGAGGTTTCACCATGTTGGCCAGGCTGGTCTAGTACTCCTGACCTCAAGTGATCTGCCTGCCTTGGCCTCCCAAAGTGCTAGGATTACAGGCATGAGCCATTACACCCAGCCATAGTTTGGGGGTATTTTGAATTTACTCTAATAATGACAGAAGCATATCACTTACAAATTTTGGTACTTTAACTCAATTGATAACATCTTATCAATCATGACACTTATGTTTCACGGGTATGTGAGGATCACTACTGTAGCATTTGGGGAATAAACACAGGAAAAAAGTCCAGAAAGTCATGAACTAAGTGTAAAACATGCTGTATCTTCTCTCTTGTGTGAGTATTTTAAAGAAATATAGGAGGATCAAAGAGAAGAGGGACAAGTGAGGCTTGGAAAGGTAGGTAGAGCCCCAGCGTGAAGAGCTTTGCATGTCAAAAAGAACCCCAAATATTACAGTTGGGTTCCAAGTTTAAATGAGATATCTGATAATATGAGGTACCTAAAAGCAACAGAAAGAGGTCATCTATTTTTAAAAAATATTTTACAACTGTGTTTGTAAATTACAAAAAAAAAAAAAAAAAAAATGGTGAGTAAACACCTTTTGGAGGAAAAGCATTCTTCTCAAACTAGATGGTAAGTTAATTGCAAACTGGATGATGTACCTCTGTCTTGTGGCTGCTCCCTGACAGTTCGCACAGGGTTCTGGGCTTCCTGGGTGCTCGACAGACACTCAGCAGCTGATGCCTTTGGTTCAGAAAAGACAAACCCTTGGGAATCACGTACCTTTCTTTCTTTTTTTTTTTTTTTTCAATATGTATGTTGAAACTCTCATAATAGTTCTAATTCTCTTTCTTTACTATACTTAAAAAAAGTTTTCTTTGAGCACTTGAAAAAGATAGTAAGAACAAATTAAAAGTCTTGATAAGCTTTTCTGAACCATGGGCAGGCAGGAAAAGCAGCACAGTCTATTTTCAACAGCTTCCCTAGCTCTTGAGTAATACGAGATGACCATGGTGTCTGTATCCAACGCACAGGCTTCTGTCGATTACGGAAATTCATGAGCTGCGTTCAAACTCACCAGATGAGTTCAATCAACATGGTGCAAACATCGCATACATAATCTATTAGTTTACCCCAAAGAAACTGAAGCCTTGAATTCAAGTAGAATGAAGTCATCAGTAATAAAGAAAAAAAAAAAAGAAACTGATAAAGCACTGTTTTCTAAGAACACACTTTTCTTCCATTTGTGGTGGAAAAAAAAAATTGTACTGAGACTGTAAACTATTCTTCCATATGCCTATAAATGCATAAATTTAAAAATATGGGTTTGATCAGATTGCTGTTCTCAAATAAGGGAATGGGGCAGGAATACAAAATCAGCTGTTCAGGATTCAGAAAGTCCCCTGTGGCTGACAGGAGCATGGCTATTTACCCAGAAAAGAAATCTGGCCCAAGAGAAAAAACAGGAAAACAGCCCAGAAAGTCATGGACCATCTAAGTGCAAAACATGCTGTATCTTCTCCCTTGTGTGAATATTTTTTAAAAATATGGAACACTGTGCAAACCTTTTGTGGTAACCTGGGACGATGTCTCAATATCATCTCTTCTTTTTTCCTCTCAACCCTCATTCTACTTTTAGAAATGGTATCAGACTTTTCCTAAATAGGTATTTAAGGTGGTAAGATTAGGGACAGCAAATTCCAATTTCTGATTTGTAGCTCTTCTCAGCAGATAATACACATATGCTTACCACCAAATTAATAAAAATAATATACGCCACTATTATAACCAAAGCAATTAATTGATTCCATATTGCACTGAAGATGTAGAAACTTAGCAAATTTTAGAGGGACATACACCTTTGTGATAGTGGCAATCATCATAATGGTTATAATTTATTGAACACTTATATAGCAAATATATCTATATATACTTTTACTTACTCCACTCTCTGTCCACAGCAGACATCACGAATCAATTAGAGCATTCTTTCTCAATGCTGTAATTGGGAAAGAATTCTCAGAATTCTTTTAGCCTAGAACCTCAGAAAGCCACTACTAATCTATAGGAATTGTACATGAGTTTATTTACAATTCCTGTGTGACAGGTGCTGTCAATATCTTAAAACCTCAAAAAATACTGATGGATTTATTATTCTGCTCAATAAAGATGAAGAATATGAAGCTCCTAGCAAATAGATGATTAACAAGTGTTTTCTCATTTCAAAGACTGCTCTTCCACTATGGCTTACTGCCTTCCAACCTACTTCCCTTCCTTCATCTCATTTTATGTTTTAGAGACTGGGTCCTCTAGCAAGATACTGAACAAGAATGGAAGTGAAGGCTAGCCTACAGGATTTACTTTCTGAGGATTCCCATTTTCCTTCCCTATTTATATGTCGTTTGTTCTATATTCCTTGCTTCATGGAATTTAGCAGCACTGATTCTAGAAATAGCTTCAGAAGTGACATCAGATCATGATGTAATTCAAATACTATTGAAACCATATAAAACTAGTAAAAGTGTCAATAACCTCATCTCCACATTGTTAGTTTAACAATTAGGCTTTCCTAATTATTTATTCACTGAATGAAGTAAAGCCCTGGCCATCCTTACAAAAAGTTTCTATTACAGCTGTATCCCTATATAGGTGATCAATGACAGTCTTACACTTTCGATGTGCTGGAATTTTATGTGAAATTAATTCAAGCAGTATAATAACATGATGTATATTGTAATGATTTTAAAAATAAATTACATTGCTTATGCCTTTAAAGGCAGATGTATCATTAAACAGGCCCTTTCTTATAACACTTTAGAGCTGGACAGAGCTTAAAGTTGTAATGGATTTCAGAAACCATGTCATTTTCTTCATGGCCACCTACAGCAACAAATTCCCACATGTCATAAACATCACACTAAGGCATTTGGAATCTAGCCTTAAAAATGACCTCAACTGTAGTACTTTTTAAAATGAGTGTTCATCTGTGCATGCCTTCATCTCCTCCTATGACTGCTGCAGGCTGAAAAAAATTAACATTTATCAAGCTCCTATGATGTCCTAAAGACAACATTTGTGCTTTACATACCTCATCTCATTTAAGCCTCAGTCAAATCTGTGAAGATGACATTGTTGTTGACATTTTACACACGAGCACACTGAGGCTCAGAGACGTTAAGGAACACAACTGGTGAATGGTGGGCCAGGATTTGTGTGACTCCCAACCAGCGCTGTTTCTACTATATCATGTTGCCTCGCAAGAAAGGCATTAAAATGCAGCAGGCATTCTGTGGCTGCGGTTCACAGGCATTTCAAGGCAGAGGGAATTTAGCAGAGCACATTTATAGCCGTACCTTTTGATATTCTTTTATTTGCACAGATCTTTGCAATAAAAATAGAAGTAACCAAAGTAATAGAAATACATGCAATGAAGTCCGTATTCATTAAAAAATGATGTTGGAGCCACTGCAGGCTGAGATTTCTGGGCAATTAATATTATATCTCTAACAGGCTTATGTAGAGAGCTGGTATAAAACGGAATGGGGTGCAAAGGAGAATCAACATATGACAAAGATCCTACATGAAAGACACATTCTGGATCAGGACCAGGATTGAGAGGCAGACAGAACTGCTGGGGAAGTTCACCACTAACTGAATGAGAGGGAGGTGGTCACTACCACCAAACCCTGGCCACTGTGGGACCTGGGAATTATCTGTGATTACATATGTATAAGTGGGCATCTATGTAAATATATGCATCCTAACCAGGATTCAGTTGTATATAGTTGATTTCAAACAGCTGTTTCTGTTTTCGTGTTGTTTTCATACAGCCTCAAGATGTAGCTCTTCATTTGGAAGGAGAGGTGTTGGCCTTTGGTGAGCACTGCCCTTATTTGTGGGTACCAGCCTGGTGTCCAGATTTGATGATGCAGTTAAGAAATGGTCTTTATAAGGTCAGGTGAGGTGGCTCACGCCTGTAATCCCAGCACTTGGGAGGCTGAGGTGGGCAGATCACCTGAGGTCAGGAGTTCGAGACTAGCCTGGCCAACATGGTGAAACCCCATCTCTACTAAAAATACAAAAAAAAATTAGCTGGTATGGTGGCATGCACCTGTAATCCCAGCTACTAGGGAGGCTGAGGCAGGATAATCACTTGAACTCAGGAGGCAGAGGTTGCAGTGAGCTGAGATCATGCCACTGTACTCCAGGCTGGGCAACAGAGCAAGACTCTGCCTCAAAAATAAATAAATAAATAAATAAATAAATAAATAAATAAATAAATAAATACATACATAAATGAAAAGAAATGGCTTTTATAGCCTGTAACTTTAACAGGAATATTCCTATCTGGAGGTGATAATCCTTACGAACTCTCTGAATAAAACCCTTTAAATTGGATGTATGCGTGTCAACAACAGTGAGTAGGATAGGGAGTGTTTTTGAGTTTAGTGTTTTACAGAGTCTTTAATTTTTTATGAAGTTACTATAAAATGTTATTTTGATGCTTCCTTTAAGATTGTTAATTATGTAAGTATGGTGTTAATTTTTGTATACTCACAAAAGGGTGGAATTTCAATGGTTTTCTCAAAAAGGGTTTAAAGACATGGAATAAAGAAAAACACCTTGGTACCCTTTAAGAACGCCAAGATACTATTATTTTCCTGACTTCTTCCACAGGGGGAGTGTTCTTTGTTTTTGTCTTTTGGCATGTAAGAAGCTAAAAATCATCCCAGCTTTATTTTTAAACTTAAAACTTAACAGTACCATAGTTCTGTCTTAGAAAACAGGGCAGATTTTTTTTTCCATAGTGGGAACAGAACTTCTAAAACACCTGAGATTCTATGGCATTCACACTCTCAATAACATAACTATAATATAATTAAACAGGCTATATGCACGCTTATTTTGCTAATTTTTCTCAAATCCCAAGAAAAGATTCTGGAAAAGAATATTCAGCTGAAGACAGATAGTCATGGACATAAGTATTATTTATTTTCAGTTGGTAATAAAGATTTCTGTCAAATAAAACTTTGAGAGACTCTTGTACATGCATTTAGGATTCTTAATTGAAGAGCATTTAAGATTTAAAGAAACTACACCCCCAACACCACTTACACTCATACTCTCCAGATTTAACATCTCATAATGAAAATACATTTATATAGTGTGCCCATATATACTAATTTAATAATAAATAATTGCTTTTTAAGGAACTTAATTCCATAGCATTCTTCAAATGACATTTAAGTCTAGAACAGCTCTGAAAATTATCCAGTGTAAATATCCAGGTAAAGTTATGATTGTGTAAATCCTCTATTTTCCCCGTTTCCCATTTCTTATAAAGCATCTCTATTTTTTTCAAAGGTGCATTGACAAATAAGATTTTTCACTGTTTAGCCCGGTGAAATTTTAGGACTGATAGCTGACTATCCATGGACAACTTTGGGGATACTTCTTTCTAATTTCTTCCCAAATTTACTGTCACTATTAATGAAGGTAGCCCCCATTTCAAATTATTTTTGCCAAAAGATTCCCCCCAAATAACAAGACTATGTCTTAGCTTATATGGACATTTAATTTCTACCAGATTTAAGTTATCTTGTTGATTAAAACAATTACTCTACTCTAAATTAAGGGGTCTTTGTTTACTATAATTGCCTATAATATTCTATGTTAAGAATAATGAATTTAGGGAAAGGGTGAATAATATTAAACAGACAACACAAACCTTCCAAATGTAAAATCTGCTTTTATTTCTAAGGGCTTCTTCTGTCCATTATCTCTGACATGATACCTCTTAGTAGGTGAGGAAACAATGCTTCAGCATCTTAAGAGAGTATTTAATGTCACATAAAACGGCAGCAGAATCTGATGAAAAACTATGCTCTACACTAACATAAAACTTTGAAAAGTGTGTCTTTGCATGAATTTTCAAGGGTTCAACAAAATTACTCATCCTTATGTCAGGATCCTGTGGGCAACCTGAGAAACTGGTCCAGAGAGGTTAACATGCAAGTTAGGGTCATAAGGTAGAGGAAACCTGAAAATCACAATAATACATCAGCTCAGACTATAATCCTGAACTGCGGTCCTCCCCCCAGCCATCCTGATGCTGCCTGTGGCATTTTGACCTGGATGCAACAATCTGACAACTTGGCTTGGCTTATCTGGGCTCCCGACCTCACCATGGCAACCTGAGGCTGACCTTTTGTCTTTCTCAATATGTGTCCTGCTTTCAGCATCTGCCTCCTTTGAGATCCTTGTCTTAG
Source organism: Homo sapiens (assembly GCF_000001405.40). Classification (NCBI taxonomy): domain Eukaryota; kingdom Metazoa; phylum Chordata; class Mammalia; order Primates; family Hominidae; genus Homo; species Homo sapiens. The sequence goes on along the minus strand of NC_000002.12, from coordinate 205,491,742 downwards.
TATTTCCATCCCTAGCTTGGTAAACTGATCCTTTGACTCCTATAGCTCGAAGACTTGTCTTGGAAATCTTAACCCTGGGCTGGACCTTGACCCAATGAATCAAGCCATAGTGGTGGAGCATAAAGAAACAAAGGCCGGAACCAAAAAAGAGCCCGCATTGCCAAGTCAATCCTAAGCAAAAAGAACAAAGCTGGAGGCATCACACTACCTGACTTCAAACTATGCTACAAGGCTACAGTAAACAAAACAGTATGGTACTGGTACCAAAACAGAGATATAGACCAATAGAACAGAACAGAACCCTCAGAAATAATGCTGCATATCTACAACCATCTGATCTTTCACAAACCTGACAAAAACAAGAAATGGGGAAACAATTCCCTATTTAATAAATGGTGCTGGGAAAACTGGCTAGCCATATGGAGAAAGCTGAAACTGGATCCCTTCCTTACACCTTATACAAAAATTAATTCAAGATGGATTAAAGACTTAAATGTTAAGACTTAAAACCATAGAAACCCTAGAAGAAAACCTAGGCAATACCATTCAGGACATAGGCAGGGGCAAGGACTTCATGTCTAAAACACCAAAAGCAATGGCAACAAAAGCCAACATTGACAAATGGGATCTAATTAAACTAAAGAGCTTCTGCACAGCAAAAGAAACTACCATCAGAGTGAACAGGCAACCTACAGAATGGGAGGAAATTTTTGCAATCTACTCATCTGACAAAGGTCTAATATCCAGAATCTACAATGAACTCCAACACATTTACAAGAAAAAAACAACCCCATCAAAAAGTGGGCGAAGGATATGAACAGACACTTCTCAAAAGACATTTATTCAGCCAAAAGACACATGAAAAAATGGTCATCATCACTGGCCATCAGAGAAATGCAAATCAAAAACCACAATGAGATACCATCTCACACCAGTTAGAATGGCGATCACTAAAAAGTCAGGAAACAACAGGTGCTGGAGAGGATGTGGAGAAATAGGAACACTTTTATACTGTTGGTGGGACTGTAAACTAGTTCAAGCATTGTGGAAGTCAGTGTGGCGATTCCTCAGGGATCTAGAACTAGAAATACCATTTGACCCAGCCATCCCATTACTGGGTATATACCTGAAGGATTATAAATCATGCTGCTATAAAGACACATGCACACGTATGTTTATTACAGCACTTCACAATAGCAAAGACTTGGAACCAAGCCAAATGTCCAACAATGATAGACTGGATTAAGAAAATGTGGCACATATACACCACAGAATACTATGCAGCCATAAAAAATGATGAATTCATGTCCTTTGTAGGGACATGGATGAAGCTGGAAACCATAATTCTCAGCAAACTATTGCCAGGACAGAAAACTAAACACCGCACGTTCTCGCTCATAGGTGGGAATTGAACAATGAGAACACATGGACACAGGAAGGGGAACATCACACACTGGGGCCTGTTGTGGGGTGGGGGGAGTGGGGAGGGATAGCATTAGGAGATACACCTAATGTTAAATGACGAGTTAACGGGTGCAGCACACGAACATGGCACATGTATACATATGTAACTAACCTGCACGTTGTGCACATGTACCCTAAAACTTAAAGTATATATATATAAAAAAGAAATAAAGGCCCACTTCCCTTGGCAATTTTGAAATGGTAAGCTCTTTCACACACACCATGAACCACAGCTACCATTTACCACTGAAAGTAATCCATTGATTCACGAAGGCAACTTCCTCCTATGTGATTGATTGTTGTGACTGAGAATCGTCACCAGATCAATGTCATCTCCTCTTCTGATAAAAGGCATTGCTCTACCTTTGCTCTTTATCACTTGGGGCAATGCAAGGCTGGCTTCTAATCAGAACATTCTGCTTCTGTATCTCCATTTCTCACAAAGGGAGAAATACCTTAGGAGTGACCCCGACAGTGTAACTCAAAATTCAACAACATGCCAGTTATTATTTATGGCTTCAGTTCACCATAATAAGCCAGTAACAAATAACTGCCTTATTCTAATACTGTACAATGACCTCCTGACTGTGTTCAAATTTTAGAAGTCAGTTTTGCCATCAGTCATAAAATACCCATTTGAGTTATTTATATTTTGAATAGTATTCTAATACAGTTCTTCCAACACAGTGCCATATATATGTGTGTGTGTGTATATATATGTATATATATACATATATATGCCATATATATGTGTGTATATATATATACGTATATATATATACACACATATATATGTATATTTAGAGGCAGAGTCTTATACTGTTGCCCAGGCTGGAGTACATGGTGTGATAATAGCTGATTGTAACCTCGAACTCCTGAGCTCAAGCTATCCTCCTGTCTCGGCCTCCTAAAGCACTGGGATTATAGGTGTGAGCCACTGTAAGCCACTGCACCCAGCCCCCAGTGCAATATTTTTGAGCCTTAAGTAATTTACACAAATACTGGACACTTCAAAGTTATGTGTAAGTGTGTGATACATATTGTCTCAAGGCATTTTGTCAATTTTATTAACAACATACAGTATGTGGGTGTCACAGAAGAAACTTATCAAGTGTTTAATACGATAATTTTGGTTTCTTAAAAAAGAAAGATTTTAAAATATAGTTGAAAAGTTCACACTGGATGGCAGCAATATTATCCCTTTCTTTCTACTCTACATCTTTGCAAAACAAGCATACATACATGCAAAGAAAAATAGATTTGGATCAATTTGCAACTGTGCATCCATTGTGTCTTCTGTTAAAAAATGATAAATAAGCCATAGTCTATATTATAATTCATATAGATATAGCTGTTCTAACATGGCTGGAGTATAGTGATACTGCATCCCAGCTGCATTTAATTGATACACCAAATATCTGAGCTTAGACACAAACAGAGGCTTGGGGGCAGAATAGCAATTTAAGTAGTGATAGTGATTCCATTGGACATTCCATTTAACGAACATATGTCCCTGAACATGAACTGAGTTGATTTCCTTTGGTCAGTGTCAGTTCCTAGGCACCTTTCCTAATGTAAGTTTTATGCTGTGCTGAACATCATTTCAGCGTTTAAGGATGTATATTACTTGTACAACATGGCCTTGTATATGCAAGCCAACTACTTCAGCTGATGCTCAACCAAGGGAAGAGCCATCTAATGCAGTGCTAAAGAAACAGCAGTGAGTGGGTTCAGTGAGAGATCATAGGCAGAGTCCAATATAGTATCCTCCTAAAGCAGAGGTCACCAACCCCCAGGCCATAAACTGGTACCAGTCCATGGCCTATTAGAAACCGGTGAGCTTACACAGGTGAGCATTACTGCCTGAGCTCTGCCTCCTGTCAGATCAGTGGCTGCATTAGATTCTTATAGGAGCACGAACCCTATGGTGAACCACGCATGCAAGGGATGTAGGTTGCATGGTCCTTATGAGAATCTAGTGCCTGGCCCTGTGTTCCCCAACCCCCAACACCCCCCGCCCTGTGGAAAAATTGTCTTCCAGGAAACCAGTCCCTGGTGCCAAAAAGGTTGGGGACCACTGTCCTAAAGTGTTTCCCAAGATTAATTTTGTCAATACACAATTTTTGTCTCATGTAATGACTTTAGAAACTAACCTTGTTTAAGACATGACTCCACTTGGAATACTATAGGTTTTCTCAAAGGACTCGACGGTCCAAAACAAAATTAGCAAAATATTGATTAAAAAGGTAAATAGAGGAAACCTACAAAACTTGTATTATTTTAATTATCGTTCACCTTCTTGAACTGAACAAAAGACAGTTTAAGGAGAAATAAAATGTTGTTTAGATGGTACTTGAACAAATTAATGATAACACTAATACGCACACACTCACGCCTTCTCAAAGAAATTCTCACCAACAACTGCAGGAACTGCAAAGATAAAATTATTATCTTTTAGGCTTAAATCAAACACAGTTGAGTTTTAAGAATACATATCTGACATTTATATGGGGATTAAACTTTCAGGGTCAATTCTGGGAAAAATAAGCCTTTGTGGGCTGCAGGCCATGAAACCTTGGGAATTTCCTAGGCCTCCATGACATTCCTTCTTCCTCAGAGGACACAACATAGAAGTTCTCTCTTCTCCCAAGAGATCCTGGAATACCATCAAAGGCCACTGATTCCCAACAGCTGGGTACCTAACCTTTCCTTACAGATAATAAGAAAGTAAGTTTTAATGGACCACACAATTTTAAGGAAAAATAAGGACACTCTAAATAATTTAGTGCACGGATGGTAGCTTGTATTTTTTTTTAATTTAGAGGATTATGTCAGTTAGAAGAGAACAGTCAGGATAGTGCATAGTGAAAAGTGAAAAATATAACAAAACGTCAGTAGATTAATACAGCAGTTTCTTACTTACACAACAATGCTTTTGTTTTTCTTCCCCAATGGAGGGTATTGGGAAAATAATAACAGTGACAAAGGAAAAGAGTGTTTTAAAAAAGGAGAAAACATTTTTCAATTGAAAGAAGCTAAAGATTGTGATTAGGAGCTCGACCCTCGGTGTTAAGAGTCAAAGTGTTCTAAATATATGTGACAAGTGAACGAGTCCTTACTTTTCTACTGTTAAAGGATATACATTCTCCAAATGCCCAGAAGGGATGCTTGGGTCACATAGGTAAGTGACCATGAGGCCAATCTTAATGATCACATATGGTGTTAAATCGTGCTATGTAATAAACACAGAATTATATACGCAGTATTCTAATATGATTAGCATAAAGCAATTAGGTCTAGGTCCAAGAATTTATGAACATGTTCTGATATCACCTACATTCTTTTCATTCCTTTTACGTCCATATGCTACTCTGAGATTTTTGAATAAGGTCATAACAATTAATCCAAATAGATTCTCAACTCGTGGTACGGTTTGTCTCTGTGTCCCCACTCAAATCTCATGTTGAATCGTAATCCCCAATGCTGGAGGTGGGGCCTGGTGGGAGGTGATTGGATCATGGTTTAGGACCATCCCCTTGGTACTGTTCTTGTGCCAGTGACTGAGTTATTATGAGATCTGGTTGTTTAAGTGTGTAGCGCCTTTCCTCCCCTACCTTCACCCACCCAACCCACTCTCTTCCTCCTGCTCCAGACGCATAAGATGTGCCTGCTTCCCCTTTGCCTTCCCCTCTAAGTAAAAGCTCCCTGAGGCCTCCCCAGAGGCAGATGCTGCCATGTTTCCCGTACAGCCCGTGGAACCGTGAGCCAACTCGACCTCTTCTGTTTATACATTACCCAGCCTCAGGTATTTCTTCATATTAGTGCTAGAATGGACTGATGCAGATTGCATCAAAAGTTAGCATCTACTTAGCTCCCAAAGGGCATTCAATCCAAGAAGATCCCACAGCTCTCATTAGCCTAGATGCAAAGTGAGCTCTGCTAACCCTAGGGCCTTCTACTGACCTTCCAACATTAGGGGTGTACAGAATAGCAGACAGCTGACATTACCATCTCCTATGGATTGTTTCAGTTGTTTTTAAAACATGCTCAGATTCTTATAAATCCTTGCTAGGGGAATGCTGGCTTTCTCTTCAAAACAGAATAGAAAATAATAAACTGGTAGCAGACCTAAATCCTCAAGTGCTTTCAAAAGCTCTCCAATAACCCTCTGAAAAATTTCTGATGTGTACATTTATTTAAGCTTTACTTATTCATAAATATTGCTGTGGCCTTAGGGATGCAAAGGTGATTAAGACCCCGACTTGACCCTCAGGGATTTCACAGTCTAGTTGGGGAGACACAGATATAAATAAATAATGACAGTGCAATGTGGCAATTATTAAGAGGAAGTATCATGAAGTATGATGAACTCCAGCAGTAGCTCAGAGCAGAGGGTGTTAACTTGGCTTGGGGAGGTCAGGAAAGGCCTATTAGAGAAGAGACAAGGATAAAGAGAGGGTGGCTGGGCATGCCAGCTGGAAGGAACACCACTTGAAATGGAGTGGCCACATGAAAGGGCACACAGTCAGGCACCGCACAAGTGTGGGGAATGTGTGGAGAAACTGGGAAATACAGCTGGTAGGACCTTAACAGCCCCATCCACCAATCTTTCTAAAGGGGATGATGCAGACCCACTGAAGAATTGCAAGTAGGGCCAGCACCACCATCCTCAGAGTTCTGCTTCATATCAAGAGAACTCTGGGAGACGCTAGCTCTCTGTAACCCCATATATCACAACCTATGGAAGGAACTAGCTGACCTCTCTGAGCTTTTCTTGTACTTAGATTTGATGATTTCTTGTGTGTGCATACAGTGCAGGCTAAATGGTTGATAAAATCATTGGCAAAAGTTCTCTATTTCAATCTCCCTACTTGTTGGCTAACGTGCCAGAGGGCCACTGGAGATGGGGGAAATGGGACATTGAAACTTTCTTTCAGTTTGAAAACTGATCATTTTCCATAACCAGAGCTCTTGTTTGACTAGTAACATCATCTGGTGATGAAGCACGATGCATCAGCAATATAATGATAAATTTCCCATTAGGAATCTGGGTCTGGCTGCCAAATCAGACAGCAAAAAGTTAAAATGAAACAAAACAAAACAAAACAAATGAAACTAGACCCATTATGGGTTGACAAAGACTTTTCCCACTGGCACTTTAAGGGAAAGTAGGCAGAGAATCTTAATTAATAAATAGCCATTGCCCCATTCAGGCGAGGTAATGGCAATGCCTGAGTATCTGCCATGGAGCAATTTGCAGCTGTCTTCTTGATCTGAACAGTGAATGAGTTGTCGAATATCAAAGAAGAAGGAAAATTAGGCACTCTGCTGCTGACAATTGAACTCTATAAATAACCCACAGTGAAAACGAATAAAAAAATGCCCTTCCTCCAGCTCTCAGTAGCCTCTCGACAGTGTGACAGTTGCTAGTTTTTTCAATAAACATGATGTCAATTATGCCTTTTACCCATCATGGTGAAGTCATGTGTGGGGAATAATTGAGTATCTTTTTTTCTGGCACTTCACATAACAATGCTTTTCCATTTTATTTATATCATACTGAGGTAAAGCAGCTGTCTGATCTGTAATCTATATGTTCCGTCAACACTATGCTTTCTGATTCCTTGCTTCGTTCCAACAGCTTTATTAGCAACAGTCTTTTAGTCAGCTCTCAATTATCTGCAGAAACAGGAGGTTTGGAAGAGCATGAAAAATAAAAACTACAGATGATTTTGAAAAAAATCTCATTTAAACCAACAACTTTAGCTTCTTTCCCAACAAGTGCTTTCCCAGAGCTGTAAATAATACCCCAATTAATTGACACGAGTTTCACATTCTTTTCCTTGCCCAGCCCCTTGTTTGGTAAAGACACTAATGAGAAGAAAAAAGGCCAAAAGGCAGGCAGGACTGGAAAAGCAGAGGGGCTACAGAGGCTCACGGAGGAAAACAGAATTTGGACATTTGAGAGTTAATGACCCAGGAAACATTTCCCTAGAGGATTTGTTGTGTTCCTAGAGGAATGTAACTTTTCAGATGAAAGGTACCAGGTATTAGTTTTACAAATGAATAAACTGAAAGCAAAAAGTTATGCTGAACACAGTTACAGAATTAATGAGTACTGACATATCCAACTAATAAAAGGAGCTTTTGGGTGACTGTCCTTGTTTCCCGAATTCTGCTATTTGCCATGAACTTTTAATATTGTCCGTGGTATTTTTCCCCCCATTTGTAGCATTAAGTGTAGTCACTCAGATGTCATTAGTTCCTCATTTGTTACAGGACTGTGTTCTTAGGAAGTACAGGCGAGGAACATGTGGAATGGCGTTGTGTTATGTTGTACATTCCATATTAAGATGAAAGGAGGTAACATGTTTTATTCGAGATAGTTTCTAACAAATAATCTCTTTTCCAAGTGTAAACAAGCCCACTGCCCCCTAGCTAGAAGCTTCCCCCCTTCCAATTCTACATAAAATATAAGCCTCAAGGTTTAAATTGAATCACTATGTTATTTCTTTATATATTTACTTTGGCATTTTTAAAAAAACTGAATACCTATTGTATATCTAAGAGAGCTTCTAAATTTATAACTTGAAAAAAAGGGAATCATTTCCTCTTCTTCAAAGATGCTTTTTAATACCGTGTCCAAAATATCTAGGGAATTGGAGGGAGAAAAAGGAGAGAGGGGAGGGAGAGCGAGGAAAGAAAAAGAGCTAATGGTCAAAATGCATCCTTATAATAAAATGAGCTGCTTAATGGATACTCACTACAGGAATAACATTAATTCAGTATTAGGACTTTCACTGGCAAAATATGAATGTAATTTATCTTTTTAACTGTCAGCTGCATTTCTAAAGCTCTGAAGTCTGTAGCTTCCAGGGGCCTTTTGTCTTTCTGCCATGGCAGGAATATCTTGGACAGCTGTAAGAGCTTTCTAAGCTATCTTTCTCAAAATCCATTAGCTAATTCAAGGAACCTAATTAGAGCTGCCATTTTGATGGAGCATACTGAATGCTCAGTACAGACTAGCAACACCATCAATGTTTATTAGAAATCACAAAACCCAAAGTGTTCCATTCCCTATGAATATTAATGGGAATACAGCAAACAAAATATTTATTAAAACATATGCTTAATCCCATCAAGGTTTACAGACAGATACTGAAAGGCAGAGAGAGAGGCATGCACTTGAATTTGAAGGCATGTGCCCATGGACACACAATGAACCGAGATTTACACTGAAGCAGCATGTAATCATTATTTGTATGCCCCTCCTACTTGTCTCCCTTGGTTTTGCACCCTGGAATTCAGCCGCTCACAGCTGGGAGGACAGATGTAAGTCCAGAGAAGTCTGAAGAAAGGGGTGGAGGGAGCTTTAAAAAAAAAGAAATAAAACAGCTGCTGACTGCCACAAATCCTTGTCAGTGGAGAAATAGATTGTTTCTCTAAAATCAGCCGCATGGTGACGTCAGTACTTTCTACCCTCATTCTAAAAGATGGTGTCACCGAATTAATCCAAGTAGCTCTTATCTAATGTGCCTACCCTGGGAGAGTTTCTACCAGGGAAGAATCCAGTGGTGCCAGAGGCTGGTTTTTATCCTGCTGCTATGCAAATCAGGCCCCCACTGCCCTTGTCAGCACAGGTGTGGATATACAATGCCCCCCACCCCCGCCTGGGGAGGCCCCAAAGATGTTGTTCCTCCTTCTCTCTCTGGAGCAACTAGGGGTCCTTTGTGATGTATTACTGTCCAGTAGCCCCTAACCGCCCCCTCCCCCTTCAAGCTATTGCCTCCTGTCTCTCTCTTTTCCTTCTCCTTTCACTAAACTTTAAAAAACAATCCTCTGCCGTCTCCTTTTGCCATCTGCCACCCTTTCTTTTGGGCAGATGACAATCCGGTTTGTACCTTCACCACTGCTAAAACTGCCCAGCAAAACTCTCCCTAACCTCTGCTGGACTAGATATGGCAGAGCAACCCTTGTGGCAAGTCTCTCTTCTTTGTTGCCTTCCTACTGCTCCAATCTAATTGTCTGTTTCTTTCACTGTCTCTTTAGCTATTCTCTAAAAGGATTCTCTAAACTTTGGAGTCTAAAGGCTCCTTGTCTATATTTTCACTCTTGGGGATACTATTTACTCCCAGCACTTTGATTATCCTATTCCCTCGCATTTCATATATTTACTTGTCCATCTATTCAACATATGATCCCCGGAGTGGCTCGCATGGGGCAGGTCCTCAACAGAGCCCGCCTGCATGAGGACACACCTCTCTAGCTGCAACATCTCATGGGAGCTCCAAAAGCCATGCTCACCCTTGCTCCACACTTGAACTTGAAATGAGCCAATGTCTTACACTCAACTTGTCCAGAAACAACCTTCTCACATTTCCATTGAAATCTTCTTTCCCTCCTATTTTCTGGACTCGTAATTGTTTCTCTGTGCTCATTAGAGATGGGAATAATGATCAGCATTAGAGCCCAGGCTCTGGAGCCAGATTGCTTGGGTTCTGGTTCTGCCACTTTCCATCTCCCTATCTTAGAGTAGTTGTGTAACCTCCTTATCTCTGAAATAAGGATAATGAGAGTAAAACCAAGTAGGGTAGTTTTGAGGAGCAAAGTGAGTTTTTATTTAAAGCAATTAGAATAGTGCCTGGTGCACAATGACTACTGGGCTCTACTATGACATTATTTGATATTATTGTTGGCTTCGTTTCTCCCATGCATCTTACATTCAGTTGGTTGTAATGATGAGCCTCTAGCACTGTGGCCTCCCCTGCATTCCTTCTTCCACGAGCCCGGTTCATAGCAGCATGGCAGCTAGTCTCTCCGCTCCTGACTCCTTCATTCTAATACATTCCCACATTAGCCTTCCAAAGATGCAACTCTGCTCATGGAATTCCCTGTGACAATAACCTCTTTGCTCTCTTTCCATTGTCGACACCACCCCAGCCTCCTGCTTTCCTTCCACTTGCAGTCCAGTCTCCAGTGAAGCTCTGATCGTTCCCTAAACTTATCCTCAGTTTCACCCACACCCTGCTCTATGCCTTTGACCACACTGCCTCTTCCACCAGTAATTCTTGCCCCTCCTTTTAAAAACAATATAATTAAGATCATATCAATTGTTTAAAAACATCCACTGCCTTGTCATCACGTTTAGCCTAATTCTCAAACCATTCCCCAGGGTCTACATGGCCCTCCCGTCACTGAACTGGCCTGTTTCCCTCTCCACCTCCTTGCTGACCTATTCTTCTCCTGTGCTCACAGAGAGATTCTTTCTCACTCTCCCCTGTTCCTTGATAGCCTAAGCTTGTCACAGCCCCAGGAGTCTGTCATTGGTGGGTCTTCCACCTAAAACACTCTGCCTCCACGTTCTCAAGGCATATTCTCCCTTGTCAGAGGTGCCTCCTCTGGCAGTTTTATCTGTAGACCCTTCAAGACAATCTCTACCTGGTTAGCCTGCTTGTTTCCTTTGTAGCAATGATCACCCCCTGAATGTATCAACTTCATTATCTATCAATTCTCACTTCTCCATGTCTGCCTTCCACCACAAGAACAGAAGGTGTTGAGAGCACGGAGCTACTAGGTCCTGTTCAGGCTGTTTTACCAGTGGCAGGGCCTACCACATGAACTAAGGAACAACTCTCTACCTGTGAAATCCTTCAAGACTCTTACAATCATTTTGCAAATATTTATTGAGCACCCACTATTCATAATCAACTGTTACAGGTCCTGGGGATATAGGAGGAATACAAGATATATAAGGTCCTTAACCACATGGGCCTTACATTTGACTGGTGGTGAGGATGGGGATGAAACAATACACAAACCAATGAAGAGAAATATCAAGCCGTGGTCAGTGCCACCAGTCACTTAAAATACAATATGATGAGAAGACAGTGACTAGGTGGCTACTTTAGATTGAATAGTCAAGAAAGTCCTCTTTCTTTTAATCTAAGGTCTGAATTACAAGTAGGAATCATCCAGAAGAATCTCCATGAAGAGTATTCTGGAGAAAACAGCTAGAGCCAAAGCCCTAATGAGGGAATGAGTGTAATCAATTAATGCAGGAGAAAGAAAGTACACAGCCGGGCACAGTGGCTCATGCCTATAATCCCAGCACTCTGGGAGGCCGAGGCGGGTGGATCATCTGAGGCCAGGAGTTCATGAAAAACCTGGTCAACATGGTGAAACCCCATCTCTACTAAAAAATACAAAAAATTAGCTGGGCATGGTGGAGGGCACCTATAATCCCAGCTACTCAGGAGGCTGAGGCAGGAGAATCGCTTGAACCTGGGAGGCAGAGGTTGCAGTGGGCTGAGATTGCACCAGTGCACTCCAGGCTGGGTGACAGAGCAAGACTCCATCTCAAAAAAAAAAAAAAAAAAAAAAAAATTGCATATGGCTGGAGCTTAATGCTCATGGAACAAAGTGGCAAGTGATGAGGTTGAACAGACAGGCAAAACTGAGATCATATGGGCTTTACAGGACTTGGACAGATCTTTGGATTTGACTCTGAGTAAAATGAGTGGACATTAGGAGATTTTAAGCCAGGAAGTAATATGATCTAACTAAAAGTTTTAGAATACATCTCTGGCTTTTCTGTGGAAGACAGAATAGAGGTTGTTGCAGAAAGGCAGGTGAGGGGTGATGGTAGACTGGCCTAGGTAATGGTCACGAAGCTGGAGAAAAATAGATGAATTCAGGTGCATTTTTTCCTAAGCACAGGCTATTCCATGAACCCTTCCTGGAGGAAAGCAGTCTTTTCTACATTGGAATTCCCTCAGTGCTTTGTACTTACATTATGGCCCTTACCTTCTGCTTTGTGGCATGGTGATCATTCATAGGTTTTATACATTTTGAGTCTTTGTCTAGTCCCCCAATAGTGGCTAAGTGATAGGAGGAATTTAATCATTCTTGTGTCTTCTGTAGACTTTGGCACAGGGCCCTCACCTAGGATGTGTTCAATAAATGAGTTTTTGTGGGAGGTGATAATAAGAAAGTGTGCAATGAAGGAGAAGTGGGAAGGAGAAGGGAGGAAATGATGGTGCCATTTAAGGATAGGGAGGCCATGTGCAAGGGCCAAAACCGCTCAACACCACCTTCATCTACTGCCTGGAGAACTTTCTTTTTCCTATTTTTCTTTCCTAGGGACATAAGCTGAACACCACAAATATATCCTTCATGACTTTGTGAGAGTGACTCTGCCATTTACACATATTCCACAGACAGTTCATTGTTTAAAGAAACGTCTACAAGTTTTTGAAATTCTTTCCATTGTAACATGTTCTTATGGCCTCCTGTTTTCGGCTGGCAATTGCTATAACATCTCAGTGCCATCAGCTCCTATAAGAATTGTCTAGCCAAGCAGTAATGTGCTTGGCTTATTAATGCTCATGGAATATATGTGTGCTGAAATGGTGTTATTAGAAAACTTTTCCATGCTTTTTCATACTAAATATAGCATGCACATTTCTAGATGAAACTGTCCGGAAACTGTGAGAACGTCCAAGCTCACACACTTTAAAAAAGGTAGGCTAGCACCATTTGCTGACCTTTAGCTTTGAATTAAATTTAGCTCCTCATCCTCATTAGAATCTGGCTGCCAAATAGCACTCTACTCTGATTAATAAAGTTTTCTAATAAGCATATCGCTTTCTAGCACTCTGCCGAGGTAGCTGAAATCTTGAGCAGGACTAAAGGGAGAACTGCCAAATGCAAATGTTACATTCCACATACGGTAAAATCGAAAACATCTCCTTATTGTTAAATGAAGCCCGGCTCTGGGTAAAAGCGAATAGACTATGACGTTAGGAATAAGATATGCTTGCTGCCCAGGAAGTCCATCCAGCAGACAATGTAGAAAACCATGAAAACCCACTCAATGTGATGCTCTAGGTTAATTTAAAATTCAACAACCTACATTTTGAAGTGCTCTCATTAATATTTTCAGGAGAAACTGGTTGGGCCTAGTAAAGGAAATTACGGACTAGGGAGGAGAGACACACAGACAGGTTTTCAGGGTAATGGGGGCGCCCCTAGTGACCACCCATTGCCTCCAGGCTGATGCCAGAAATTCAGCCTCAGTTTACTTCAAGGCTTTACTCTTCGCTGAAGTACAGACAGTGCTAGGTAGCCATAGACACCATTCATTGCACGTGAATTAATACTTTGTGGACAAGAGGTAATGCCAGGAGGGAAAGCTACAGATCATGAGGACCTTGATGTCCTGGTAGAAGGTTGGATGAAGTGGAGTGGGGCTTCCCCAATTAAACCTCTCCTTGCTCCGTGTCCTTCTCCAAGGCTAGCCCTGGGTTGGGATGTTGATGGTACTAAAGACCAATCACCCATCACCAAAATAAATTTACTAAGTGCCTACTGCATGTAGAGTGTTGGCCTTTGTGCCAAGGTTAGAGAAGAAAATTCAGAAACTTCACTAAAGAAACCAAAAAGCTTTATCCAAGCACATGATTTCCCTTTCTGTCTATTTCACAAACACTCTCACCTTCTTGCAAATGCTCTCACAGTTGGACAATGGTAATTCAGGGCGATAAGCAAGATATTGTTTCTCATACTGTAGGGCTGACTCTATACTGAAATCTTGGGGACAATAAAAATCAAATTCCTTCCTTTTGACTTTCCTAGACACAAGAGCAACAAAGAGAGGCTAAATCATGTGCTTATTTTTTTTTTTAACAGAGCAATGGTTCAGCAACAAGGACAGACGTCTGTTTACCTCCAGCATGCTTTTCAGCTGTAATCATTTTATTGCTTTTGTTAAAACCAACGCCTCCAATCTCTTCACAGGAGACATTTAGACATATTCCACAACTGCACACTTCAGGGCAACTGAACATCAAAGGAGGATTTGTACAGTTGAGGTATGACTCAAATTTTGTGGGAGACAGCAACTAGAGTGGCAAAGGGAGAGAGTCTATAAAAAATTCAGGAGGAATGCTTCCACACACATCTCCACTCTGCACCAAAGAGAATATTCACAGAGTTGCTGTAAAAATATACAAGCCACATTCAGAGTCCTTGTGCTTATCTGCTCACAACATATTTTAGATAATGAATTACATAATAACCAGAAGAATATTCCATGTTATATAAAGTGGGACTGGAGGTTGAAGTGCAAAAGGAAACGTTTGCAGAGTTCAGGATTAAGTCCTGCATCAGGGCTTCATGTTCAGGGTTGAAACCCCACAGTTTGAAAAACCCAAAGCCAGACATGTAGTTACTGAATTTTGTTTGAAGTGCATCTTCACATAGAATCAATTTGGAATCTACCCACAAATATAAATAGATGTAAAAACATCATTGCCATACACAAGTAACAGATGTTTTCATTACACTACCAGAATACCAAGGTGAGAAGTTAATATTTTTGAATACAAAATGTCAATGCTGTAAATATACACACACGCATACACATACACACATGAAGAAACAAAATCACATGATTAGGGGATAAATTCTTCAGCAGATGAAATTACTGTTAATAAGTGATTAACACTTATAAGTGATAAATGATTGCTGTGTAAAAGAGAAATGGTTCATGTGGGAACCAAAACTTTACTTTCAAAGTATTTTGCACACTGTAACTCATAAGAGGGTAATGCAAAATTCATTCCTGCTAAAACAAACAAACAAACAAACAAAAAAACAAACAAAAAACCCAGAAAACAAAGGGCCACAGGTAAGATCATCTAGCACAGGAAT
This sequence comes from Homo sapiens, assembly GCF_000001405.40. Lineage (NCBI taxonomy): Eukaryota > Metazoa > Chordata > Mammalia > Primates > Hominidae > Homo > Homo sapiens. The sequence continues at coordinate 205,476,568 of NC_000002.12, read as the reverse complement.
AATCATGCTATGCATATAAAACATGTTCAAACCCAACATAGACCCAGTGGATACAGCACCAGAACTTTCCAATCCACATTCACTGCTACAGTTTAGGGCTTGGAAGAGTAACAGGCTACTCAGAAATTTATGCATTAAGGGTGGTGATTGAAAACAAATGGAGTGAGAAGCCTACTTACTGTGGCTTTTCACCGGTGATTCTTTTAAGAAAAAAATGAAAAAAAGGAAACTTCACCATTCTACCTAATGTATTTCTTAGAAAAAATGTTAAATTAAGTCACTTACAGTCAAAATGAACAAATTGGAGGTCTGCCTAGGTGCACTGGTGGCTCACCCTACATGCATTCCGACAACGTGTAGTCTGGCTAAAGAGATAGCTAATTGACGACTGTTCTTTCCACTGCTTGTCCATTAGGATAAATCCAGCTTGTGGACACTGAACCTTTCAAAGACAAAGAACTGCATTAATTTTGTACTCCTAGAGCATTTAATAAATCTGACACTGTCTGGTGGTTTTCTTCATTTTTGACCACTTGACAGCGACTGTGATCACAAGTTTCAGATAATCTATTTTCCTGTGTAAAATTAACAGCAATAAAACAAGCTAAATGGAATATGACCAAATCACAGAGCTTGTCATATCATGGAGTTTCAAAAGGAATCCTGGAAGCATATTGGAGAGAACTTGTATTATGAGCATAAATTCAAACTGCTGCACCAAATCAGAGGCTTTCACTGACTATCACAACAAATATGATGCCCACTTCATTTGCAGAAGCAAACAGTATGCCTATCACCAAAGAGCAGGCTTCTGGAGTCAACGCTCCTCACACTAAATGTGCAGGACTTTTTCTTTCTTAGGCTGACATTTGTATTGAATCAAGTAAGTTCTTCTTCATAATTTTTCTTTTCTAATGGCTCTCCCCCTGCCACCATATGTATTTGCAGGGAGGAGAAAAGCAAAGGGCAGCAAAACCAGCCTTAAGTGCTTGGCAAATGATCTTCCTGAATCTGGACCACATAAATCCTATAAAATGTGACATTTCAACAATAGGCTAGAAAAGCTTTGCTCTCTGCGATGATGAAGCCCAGCTTCAAAATTTATAGTTTCATTTCAGAAATTGACTATAAAAAGAGACCGAGTTAGCTGTCTATCAAACAAGCCTGACAATAGCAAATAAGGTGTGAGCTTTCAATGTCAAATATGTATTTAATATTAAAATTCTCAGATTAAACACTGCAAAGGGGTTTCCTTTGCAACACATGCTGATGGGAGTGGTGATAGACGGGGCCTGGGTTGTCATAGCAATGTCCAGATTCTGATGTGACATTTCTTTCACAATCTACTGTGAGGCTCTTATTTTTCTAATACTGCCTATTCAAAGGGACGCTATTCTATTAGGGGAAGGGTGAGTCAATTAAAACAAGGTCCAAGTAGATATAGCTTAGTTCAGTGCATAAAAGACCTGGGTGCATAATCATTCATTTTTGTCAAGAGGGAGATAAAAGCCTGCATCCAAATACGTCTTGATAAATATACATAGATTTGTTGAGGGAGGAAACAGAAGTTGATTCAAAAAACTATTCCTCCTGGTAATGACTCACGGCTGAGGCGAGCTGAAAACTTCTAGTGGTAATTTGGAACAGGCGTGAGCTTCTATAAAAATGCTTAACCTCACTAGTAAGCTAAGAAGTTCAATGTAAAATGATACAGTACTATTTTTCATGAATCAAATTAGTAAAGGGTAAAGGAAGGAAAGTGATGATACTCAAAGTTGTCAGGAATGGGGTGAAATTAGCTATTTTCTGCATTACTGGTGGAAGCATTATTTCCTTCAATTTTTCAAGAAAATTGTTGGCAATATGTTTCAAGCCTTTGATTCATCATTTCCATTCCAGGAATCCTAAGGAAATAATTCAAGCTGTGTAGCAAAATATTTTATAAAGGTGCTTATCAGAGGGTAATTTATAACACTGAAAACTCTGAAACATCCCAAATGTCCATCATTAAGGGAAAGGTTACATAAATTAAGATACAGTTATCATGCAACCTTAAAAGCGATGGTTTCAAAGAGATTAATTGACACAGGAAAATATCACAGTATCATTGTAAAAAGGCAAAATACTCAAATGTGTATATGCATGTAAATACTATATGTGTGTGTGAGCACTATATGCATGCACAAATGATATATTTTATATGCAGTGATAAACACAGAAACAAACAAAAAACCAGAAGAAACACTGGATGAAAATACTCTAAAAAGTTAATAATAGCCAATTAAATCGTGGAATAATTAGCAATTTTATTTTTTTCTTCCTTAGCTTTTTGCTATTAAATTTAATATAGAATACTCAGAGAAAATTAAGAAAATAAAAGTATATCTTTAAATAATAAAAATATAAAAAGAAGGCAAGTAGCATTAGAACTGAACTAACCACAGTGGGACAGAAACTTGGTGCCTGTATTTTTTAACTGAGTAGTTTTAGGAAAGCTTTCTCTTCTACCAGATTCAGCATCTCTATCTTCCCTTATTACCGGGTTGTGGTGAAGATGAAATAAGAACATGTATATGACAGTGCTTTATGACCCATAATGAAACCTACCAATATGAGTTACTCTAAATTTCACATGGCAAGAAAGGTTGTCATGGGGACATAAGTGAGGTTGAAGATCAAGCTTGCAAAAGTATAATTTGGTAGCTCAGGGTGAAGTTCATTTAAACGTAACAAAGAAAAGAATATCTCCCCTTTCGTAAGACAACAGGTTGAACTGCAAGTTAAAAAAATATAAAATATATATATTTAAGGTTATATATATATATATATATATTTAGGGTTTTATATACGTGTGTGTGTATATATATATATATATATATATATACATACACACACACACACACACACACACACATATATATAACCTTATATTGGGAAACATAGAAGAAAGAAGCATTTCAGTTAGTACATGCCACCTTCCTGTTTATTTTTATTTCAGCTCTTTCCAACAATGTAAGATATCACCCATATTAATGAGTGAAACGTGCCCTACTGTCAGGCAGCAGAAAACCAGCAGTGTATAAACAATTTGGTATTGTAAAACCCTTTAATGGAGCTTAATAAGAGAGTTAACATTTAGACACAATGGGCTGAGACAAGATGTGACAGCTACCATAACACAGAATCTCATTACTTTGTTGGTTGTCTGAATCATAAATAGAATTTTAAGTTTGTTTATATTTTTCATAACGATCCATGAAAAATTAACCTATGATATGAAAGGCAGAATGCTGCAATGCGTAATATGCTAAATTTATGAAATCAGTCCCCTTTTTATTAATGGGAAAGGGAGAGTCTTCTGAGGTCTAGCAGTGGAGAATTATCATGGCAGATGTTTATGGTGGAAGACAATATGGGGACTGGATAGTGGGAAAACTATTATGAGAAACTTCCTAACCCAGAACTTTCTTTTTAGAGCTTCTTAAGAAGTTGCTAGAATTTGTAAAATTGCCAAGCTTCTAGCTCAAATGGACCACTTCAACTTCTATTTTTGGTCATTCTCTTCCTTATACTTACTTTTCTTTCCATTCATTCATTCATTCATTTATTCATTCACTTATTTATTGGTCCTCCATTGCCATTCCTTCTGTAATCCAAGTGACTACTCATTGTTCTGTTCCTTTCTGTCTGTTCCCCCCCTCTATACAACTTCCCATACTCTCATTTGTCTCCCTTCTCACTTCTCAGAACCACAGAATCCTAGGACTGGAATGGATGTCTAGAGCTTGCCTTTCCCTCTGTTATATACACTCAAGGTTGAAGACTACATAGCTTCAAATGGTGTACTACAGAACCTGAGAACTGTAAGAACCATTACTGGGCATCTTGTTTTACCCTATTTGGCTTCTGTTTCTGGGAATTGAGCATAAAGTGAGTTTTAAGAATAAAGAAGTATTATTCTTTGGGAATTTAAGAGGAGAAGTCTTGAGAGGAACAAACATGTAGAAGCCAACAATTTTTTTCAGCCCCTCTTTAATGATATAAATTATTATATGTTATATATCATTGCATATTTATATGATACAAAATAGTATTTATTATCATAAAACTCAGTATGATGGCCCCTATGTACTCTAAAAAGAAAATTTCACTGTTTTAACAATGGACAAAAATTAACTTTTTTTTACTAATTATTGAAAAAGTATGTCTTGGGTGCTAATTGTAAGAAAACTAGGACAACTTTGAAAGGCACTAAAGAGAAAGTGTGTGTGTGTGCACATGTGTGTGTCAGAGAGAGAGAAAGGGAGAGTGTGTATAAATCCAGAGACGGTTTAATTTTTCTTGACTTTCCATGACTTCATTGGTCGAGGAGACAATTCAGATGTATACGGTTTTATGCATCCTATGTTACCTTCAGAGAATAACAATATGCATTAAACTATTTACACTTTTCAAAAACCAGTACAGGAGAATGAAATCCAATTCCAAGACTGTAAAAGCATTGTTGGCTACAAGGAAGCCCAGCTAAACAAAAGAGCCCTCAAACACACTACGTGCAGACAGAAACCAGCCTTGCTCTTTTTTATTCTAAGTAAGCTGAGTGGTAAGCCCTGCTTCTCTAGGATCACTGGGTTACTGATGCTTTTGTAAAGAGGGCCTGACAACAATAGAGAATCTCCTGTCTGCTAAACACAACATGACAACTCCATTTGAAAACCATCCCTAGATATATGTTATTGCAGAAATTATCTGTGACGGTCCTGATTAAAATAGAGTTTCATGTCATGTGGCATGTAAACAGACAATAGGTTACTTTGAAAGTTACAGTTCTGACCAATTAATGGCCAAGGTATTTTCTAGTGAGTATCTCAGGTTACTGTTTTTTAGTTTAGAAAATAAAAATGAGGGCCGGGCGTGGTGGCTCATGCTTCTAATCCCAGCACTTTGGGAGGCCAAGGCAGGTGGATCACCTGAGGTCAGGAGTTTGAGACCAGCCTGGCTAACATGATGAAACCCCATCTCTACTAAAAGTACAAGAAATTAGCCAGGCGTGGTGGCGCATGCCTGTAATCCCAGCTACTCAGGAGGCTGAGGCAGGAGAAATGCTTGAACTTGGGAGGCAGAGGTTGCAGTGAGCCGAGATTGCGCCACTGCACTATAGCCTGGGCAACAAGAGTGAAACTCTGTCTCAGAAAAAAAAAAAAAAAAAAAAAAAGAAAAGTGAGTTTGCACTGATAGTGTCTTTCTTTTTTAAGCCAATGCATTTAACTTAAGAAAAGACATCTAGATATAGAAAAAGACATATAGATATATCAATATGAAAAAGTGGTACTGGTTACATAAAACTGAATGGAAGATGTTAAGCCATGTGTCTACCTATGGATCTACAATACATCTAGGAAACTGTGCCCAAGACTTTTCAGGTTACTCCCAGTATTTGAAACTCACCTGGACAACAAACTTCAACATGGATCCACTTAAAAAGACACAGCTGACCAACACTGCCAGTCACTGAATTAAAGGGTATGAACGAGGTCACAACTTGCAACTTGTCAAACATCAGACTGCAAGAATTGATTCTCCCTTCTGATGTCTGATTCACATCATTCCTGGGCTTGAAAACTCACTTTGTTTTAAACTTGAAACACACGTGAAACACTTGAAAACACACTTTGTTTTAAAGTATCCTTCCATGTCTACTTGTCTGTAATGGGCCAGGGTGCTGTTTAAGAGCTTCCCTATGATTCTATTGTAAACTCCATAGAATTTTTCCTAATAGAGTCAAACATGACTTTCTCTGCCCTGTCTCACAGAGGATCCTATCCAACTCCTAGGGGCAGTGGCCACATCTGTTTGAAACCTCATTACGTTTTACAGATCTTCAGTAGTTTCTAAGCCAGAGGATCTAAGTGGGAGACAGGGTTGCCCTGGAAATGCTGATAGTGACCTGCCTGTATGCCTTTATTCCATGATCCTTACAAATCTTATAACTTAAATTCTCATTATCTAGACAGGACAACCTGAATGGACAAAAGAGATCTGATGCGAGTTTAGGGAGATTCAGGAGAAATGCTCTAACTCCTGAAATCTGGGGTTAAGCTTAAATACTCCTGCAGGGGTGAGCAGAGGGAGTCATCTGACAGTGGATACATGGGCACTGTGGTTAACAAAGAAATTGGTGAAGAGGTCTGAAGACAGTCAGAAAAGCCGAGTTCAACAGGAGCTAAGAGGGTTGTGAAACAAATGATAATGACATTAAAGATTTAATTGTGAAAGCTACTTTGAAGAGGAATGAGAAAGGCTAGGGCACTGCTGGGAGGGGATGCTTTGACATGGTAACAGTGCCAGAGAAAAGGCAGAGCAACCTGAACTCCTATTTTGCTTCCATTAAAGAATTGCAGAACCATATAATTTTGGAACTGGAAAAAAAATGCTGAGATCACTTAGTTCCACCCTGTGTGTCTGTAGGTGAGGAAAGATGCACACAGACATTAAGTGACTCACCTGACATCTCCATCAATGGAAAGCAGGAGAGAGGCCAAAAAGAAAAGGATAGTGGGAGGAAGAAAGAAAATGCATGATCCAGGATTCTTTAAAGTCACCCTGCTTACTGGTACTTACAAATTATATTCAAGGTACTGAAAGAGCTGGAAGGTATACTCGTGGATGCGTAGTCAGCATGGTTGAGAAATTATAGACAATGGCAGATGTGTCTTGATACTGGAGGCAAGCAAGTAATGGTCAAGCTTTTTAAAATGGGGGAAGCAAATTCGAGAATAACTAGAGGACTTCTATTTGATGCTAACTTCTAAATTTTGCTAATGCAACGTTCTCTGGGATGTAACAGTAGAAATGGTTAGAGAGCAATACCAGGAGTCTATGTCAAATATAGGGTGTGAGGAAGAGATTTACAAAAAGGTAATTGCCAAGTAGAGCCTTTCCTCTTGAGGTATCAGCCAAGATTAGGCTGACTATAGTTTCTGGACAGTACAAACAACCTTGTTCCCCTTAAGAAGCTTCTGAAGCAGAGACTGGATGGGGTGAAAAAGTCACCTGCTGTGCCCTGGAGAAGTCCTTCATCTAAGGATACTTTAGTAGGAAGTGCTTCCTCCTGCTGAAGAACAGGAAGAATACCTTGCCCAGTGGTGAGAACCAAAGACCAGGAGAAACATGTGGGATCACTAAAACCAAAGAATCATGGCATCATGATTCAGAAGGAGAGGGCAATCAGAAGGAAGCCGTGCTGACTAGGAGGCAAGACAAGTTATAGTTTGGGGGTTGGTCAGTCCAAGAGTATGTCCAATAAGCTCGTGTCACCTTGAAGTCATGTAGCTAAGGGTAGAGTCCCTTGGATTCATTCATTCATTCGATACATATTTATTGACTACCCAATGCTTTAGGAACTATGCCAGGATTGAAAACATCATGCCTGCTTCAAGATTTGATAGAGGAAACAAACAAGTTAACAGTCAATTCCAACACACTGTGATCATTCTGTGCTAGAAGTCTACACAGAAAGCTCAGAGAGGATCACTAAGGGATGGGATGTTTGAGTTGAATCCTGAATAACACACAGGGCTTCATTAAGAAAAAAAAAAAAAGATAGAGGGGAAAAATGGTACTGTGGTCACTAGTACAATGGTATTGAATCATGCAGCTAAGGTTGGTCTCCTCAGAAAATTGGGAGGACGGAAGGGCTTTAGCAAGAAGAGAGCCATATAGACATATATTTTGAGAGGCATTTGTTAAAGGAAATGCATGTAGGGAGCTTGAGGCCTTGTCCAGATGACTGCAGCATGCCAGAGGGAAAGCACAATGGATCAAATAAAAGTTTGAGGAACACTGGACCCAACAGTGAGAAGTACCTGATGCTCACCGTGAAAATGCAGTGCAGAGACGTGAGAACCAGTGCTACCCATTCCCCTACCTCTTCCTCAGAAAGAGGTCAGTTGTGTGGTTCAGGGAAGGCAGAAGCCTCAAGAAAGACTCCCAGATTCTGGCTTGAGCAATGAGGTGGATAACATTCTCTATACTGAGATGTCACAGGTATAAAACAGCAGCAATAGTCATGAAGAAAAGCTTGTGGTGATAAATGCAAATTAATAAAGTGAAGACTACATCTGTTGTTACATCATCTTTTACAGGCACGACTTCTTGAGGGATGATTGGTTTACTGAGAAGGAGAGTATAGCCCAGGGAAAGAGAAGGCTCTGCTGTAAGGCACTGCCTCTCAGGATTCCTGGCTACAATAGTGAAATATCTATTGGTAAGGAAGGAAAAGTTTGTAGCTAAATGAGAATCGCACTGGTATTATACTGTGAGTTTGGTCTCACATGTGCCTGAGTTAGTTGTTGTCGAAGCCTTCTGTGGAGGGATTACACATATTCCATATCTGAAGACCAGCCTCCATTCTCCTATGTCTAAAGGAAAAAGAAGCCTTGTAAGCTAAGCTAGATCATTGTTTTTGCCTTCCTTTCGGGCAAAGCAAGAAAGAACTGGGATGAAAGCAGACCTAGGCCTGGTCTAGCTCAGCCCACTTGGAGGTTACCTTACTGTGCAGCATCTGGCACCTAATGTGGGGAACATTTTTCTAGATATTGAAAAGCTAGGGCTGACAAATGTGTCTGTTCCCTGAAGCAGGAATGGATTGTTTATATGTCTTTTTCTTACCCTAGTCTATAAACTTCACAAGAGAAGAGACAATGGTGCTTGTTTAGTGGCAGTTCAGGTTTAACATAAGAAAATGTTTTCTGCTTCAGGAACTACCATGAAATGGGAGGGTCTTTCGCTGCCCTGGACTCCAGTGTGTAGAAAACTTCCAACTGAGGCATCAGCTCCCACTGGAAGTATGTTGAAGGGGTTCTAATGCTGTCTAATATGGCAGCCAATAGCCACTTCTGATTACTGAACACTCAAAATTGTGGCTAGTCCAAATTGAGATATGCTTGGCTTCATTCCACCATGAAAAAAGTAATGTACAATAGCTCTAGAATAATTATTGTGAACAAATCTTGAAAATATATTTTGCATATATTGAGTTAAATAAAATATATTATAAAATTAATTCAACTTTTAAAGACGAGGTTATTGAAATATTTAAATTACATATGTGGTTTGTATTATATCTCTATTGGATAGAGTTGCTCTGAAGTCAAACAGCCCCACTGTTGTGACACCAAGCTGGGTGGTGCTTCTGTTCTAGATTTTGAATGTTTCCTACATGGAGAAGAAAGTCCCATTGAGAACATCTTCCTATTTATTGTAATTCAATGGCATTTCACAGAATTAATAAACACACAGATCTGCAAACCAAGCCCCACGGAAACATTTCTGTTTTCTCTTTTGACCATTACAAATGGCTCTTGTGGTGACAACTTTTTTGCTGCTGTTGGTCAAAAAAAGGTCACGTAATTTAAAATATTGGTATTCAAACAAAATGACCAAAAAGATATATTCTAGAAACCTTTGTGCTTGTTTATGATGCAGATCAATGGAGATGATATACTTTATCAGAGACATTAAGACAGCAGCATTCAGTTAAAATAATACCAAGCCTGGTTGGGCGTTGTGGCTCACGCCTGTGATCCCAGCACTTTGGTAGGCCAAGGTGGGCGGATCACCTGAGGTGAGGAGTTAAAGACCAGCCTGGCCAACATGGTGAAACCCTGTCTCTACTAAAAACACAAAAATTAGCCAGGTGTGGTGGTGGGTGCCTGGAATCCCAGCTACTCAGGAGGCTGAGGCAGAAGAATCGCTTGAACCTGGGAGGTGGAGATTGCAGTGAGCCGAGATTGCGCCACTGCACTCCAGCCTGGGCAACAAGAGCGAGACTTCGTCTCAAAAACAAAAACAAAACAAAACAAAAACCAAGCCACACATATTAGGGTAAAGTACATCTTTTGAGCATAATTAGCTTTAACCGAAATGATGGAATAAACACAGCCATTGAAACTCTTAAGTGAATGGGGTACACTGGGAAAAATGGATTACTTAGTTGTATTAATAAAACTTTTCTTGGCAGGTTCGTAGCAGCACTTGAGGAAAGAAATTCAAATTCATGCTTATTCAACTGTGGAGACACAGCATATTACTAAGGTGCAAGAGATTTCTCTGGGTGCAGCAAGAGGTCAAAGCATGGACACTAATGCAGACAGCAGCAGTTAAAATATAAAAAAGACCCAAAAAATGTCATACCCTCTCTTCCAGGAAACAGGGCTAACAGCACCAACAATATTCTGACCTGCAGAGGAATGGGATTTCTCACAAATCTCACCGATATGAGGAAATGACAGCTGAAATTTTGGAAGGTTATAAAAAGATTTGCTGCATGTTTATTTAAAATGGTTTTTAAAATCAATAACAATTCAGCACTGCCTTCCTCTAGTCTAAACCCTTGCTAAGCACAGTGTGGTCCCTGGACCAGCAGCGTGAGTGTCACCTGGGAGCTTATTAGAAATGCACAACTCAGGCCCCATCCCAGACCCCTGGCATCAAAATCTGCATTTTAACAAGATCCCCAGGTGATTTGAATGCATCCGTTTGAAACGCTAAACTTTCTTCTGTAGAAATACACTTCTCTGTCACAGCTGCTCCCTTTCTGTATGGAGAACCCCATGGAAGCTGACCACCTCCTGCCTCTCACTCTGCTTATGAAAAAGCACCAGAGTGTTAGGGATCCTGGTTGGAGGCAGCTTTCAACCTATCACTGGTCAATTAATGCAGCTTTTAGCTGCAATTATTGGACATCACTGTTCTCCAGATGCTTCTGGCATCTGCAAACAGGAGGTTTTTATCCCATTCCTTCAATGGGGCAGGTTTTCTCCCATCAGTACCTATTTTCTTAGCTTTTGCTAAGAAAATTTTCACCAGAATGGAAAAGCTTTGAATTATCAGTTTTTCTAAAGTGAACTGCTACTGCCTTTCTTAAAGTAGAATGTATTTGCCACTCAACTGCCAGTAATTGCGGCAAGAGCTGCCGTTGACCTGGGGACTATTATTCATCAGAATGCTATTACTTCCCACAAGGAAAGTTTATAAATTTGGACTTTACACACATAGGGGAAAAAAGAATTCAGATAATGAAATCGAGTTTTATAGAAAGCAAAATAATTTTTAAAAATGAATAGTCAGCATAGCACAGTGGTTAAACGTCTAGGCTCTTTATTCAGGCGTACAAATCCTGGCTCACCTGATAATATCGCGCCAGTTCCTTACCCTCTCTACAACTCAATATCCTCGTTTGTACCTTGGGAATACTAATAGTACCACTAGATCAGATTGTCAGGAGGATTAAATGACACATGCAAAGTAATTAGCAAGTGTCTAGCAATAGTGGATTCTCACTATTTAGTGTTAGTTGTTTTTAATAATTACTGATTTCATTTTAAATCAAAACACTGCAATTTGGCTTCTGAGTTATATGACATTAGGTCAAACGTGTAATTAACTAAACATATAGATTAAAATGTAATAAAACAACATCTAAAACATGCTAACATAAACAACTCTTCCTTTCTTTAGACCAGGAAGAAAACTTTTGATTTGAGATGTAACGAAGTCATGTCATTGTTATCGTGCAGTACAGAGTCTCACCATTACCAGGCACACTGCTGAACCCAGAGTAGCCCAGTGTTGACTCACTAATTCCTTAAGGCTTCCGAGGGGTCTCATGGGTGTTTTTACAGGTTCCACTAACCCAAAGAAGGGTAGAGAAGAGGAAATAGGATTAACTCCTTGATTAGAAGGGTGATTAAACCCTGCAACAGGCCACCAAGGGAGGCTGCAGGATCTCCATTCCTAGGGAACTTTTAAACAACAGACACAACTATCTGGCCTGTGTGATTTGGGTCTTCTGCCTAGAAGCAGGAGATTGAACTGAATGAACTACCATATTTACTAGTGTATATTCTTAATGAAATATAATTTTAGAGAAAGGTTTTAGTGAAGAGCCTTTCCATAAATGCTAATATTTTTTCAATAGGTAGAATAAACTTCCTTACAAGTGATAGCAAAATATACTTCTGACTACCCTGCACCCAAAGATTCCTAACCCCCCTCTCTGGCTGCTCTAGCTGTGCTTAACTGTGGCTGCAACTTACTTGTTGACAGGCCTGTGACTCCCCCACTAGATTGTGTGGTCCCAGAGGCTGAGACCACACATTAATACCCAGTCTACGAGAGAAGTAGGGTGGTCATTTGTTGGATGGATGGAAAGGAATTTAAAAAGAGCGTTTCCTAGTCTACTAACCAACTTTTAGGTAGCTCATTCATTCATTGATTTATCCAATATTTATTCAGGTAAGCTCTGACAACAAATTTTACAACTATTTTTACAGTATGGTACCTCCTATGCACAATGCACAGTGGTAAATACAAAGGCAAACCTTTTTCCAAGGAACCAACCTAGGATAGAGCCAGATGTACAGAATCCATGTTTCCACCACCAAGAGGGCTGGCAGTTTCAGACTTAAGAAGTATCCACTACAGGTTGAAAACAATATACTGCAATTCTTTGTCTCTTTTAGAGAATTATGGAGTACTTTCTTAAAAATCCCATGGGTTCTGACTACTCTAACTCAGAACTCTGTGGCAGGCAGGTAGGAAATAAAATCTGCCTGGTTACCTGGGATGAAGGTTTTAGTGAAGATCCCTTCAATAAAACACTTTTCTAGTCCATTTTCCTACTCGGCTGCTTTTACTCCAAAGCAAAGTCCCTAAGGCTACTGCAACAGCTGCATGGTATGTGGGGAAGGGTGGCTGGCTTTCCTTCCTCGAGGAGGCTGCTTTGTTAAAATGCTCTCCCAGTAAACAGGCCACAATCTTTCAGGATTTCAGTCTCAGCGTGCAAGTGACTGGCCTATAAACATAATTTTTAACAGCTTTTCTTCAGCAACTCTGACTGTTTAATTAATCTTCAGCCATTAACCATTCATTTAAAATGCCACTTACGAAATCTTAATTTTGCACATTATCAGTTGGTTCACAAATAGCTAACCATGAGCAGAAGTGTAATGATCTCTCTCCCCGTTCTCAGAGCTCACTGAGCTTATAGCCAATTTTGGCTTCTTAATTAACCATATGCATATTAGCATTTAAAATTAAATGACAGGTTTTTTTTTTTTTTTTTTTTTAAAGAATTAATGTGCAGTGAAATGTTAACACTAACATCATTCTGCCACCTTTGGAAGGGCCGCAAGGCAGTGCCTGGCCAGGCCATGGCTACTCTGGATGCCCACAGGGGAAACTCGTGGACGTGTTCCTCACCTCAGCTGAGTTCCCCTAACTGAGTGCACTCTTGCAATGATAATTTGGATCCATTGTTCAAACTCTCCTTATGTGTAAGGAAGACTAAGCAATGTCATTGCCAAGATATTCCTTAGTTCTAGGCATTCAGAAATGACAAAATCAGCAACACATTTTTTTTCAGTGGTTGACCCCAATTAGGTGAGTCAGTTCAAACCAAATAAGGGGGCAGGGAAGGATATTGAGGGCAAAAAAAATAATTGTCAGTTGATGCTGAGATGACTTTTTCTCTAACTAGGACTCTGATTATTAGAGCCCACAGGGAACTCACAATTTTACAGGTGTCAGATAGGGGCACAATCCAAACTAAAAACTGGGTACAGAATTGTTCAGGTTGGTTCATTACAATACGTGGAAGGCTTTGACCCATGAGCCACTGCGTGAGTCACGTCTGAGATTTGATGAATGGCTCACATCAAAACCAGCCCCAAACTTCTGGGACTAGACTAAGAGTCTGCAATCAATTTGATCGGTGGTAGTAATAAACTTCCAGATTGCATACATTATATTCTGGACAATTATGGTAATCTTGGTCATCTGTCTTCTTCTTTTATCCAAGTACAGAGATTCCAAGAATAAACATAAATAAAAAATCACAACGAAAATCATGTTGCATCATCTACTAGAACTCCATGTGCCTGGAATGAGGAAAAGTGTTAGTGTTTATTAAAATGTTTACAACATTGTGGGCATGAAAATGGGAAAAATAGCAGGCTGTTTTCAAAATCACAATGTGAACTGAGGTGCAGCACCTCTGAATTCCTCAGACACGTGGTATAGGTGACACACTGGTGGTTAAGAGCCTCATTTCAGTTATATTATATCTGTGCAAATTACTGAAGCTGGTTTAGACTAAGAATGCATGTGCAGGTGTCAAAAAAAACATTAAGACTGTAATTAGAAACAGAAATGTACTGATTGATGAAAGAAATTTGAACCAAACATGCGCATAAACAATTTGAGACTCAGCAAACTTGGCATTTTGTAATCCTGTTAGCAATTTGGCTTTTAATCCAAGTAAGTACTTAAAATACAAGCATATCTTGACTCTGCAATTTCTAGGGCTGTATTCCAAGAGAATGACAATAATTTATTCTCCCAGAACGTCTTTCAACCTGAAAGGAATCATGAGAGCTTTCCAAAGACTAATGCACAAAACCCATTTCTTTAGTCACTAAGCTAGATCCATTATGTGATTCCTTCAAATATGTATTTGGTACCCGCTATGTGCTAAGCACTGGGAACACAGATGTATAAGGTAAGTCATGCTTACAAAGAAGTCCATTCCATTAGGCCATTGTCACACTTACTCATAAAGTCTACTTTTGATTTTAGTATTTCTTCCTTTAAGCCCTGCCTGAGCATTTCTCTTTCAGTTAAGGAACTGATGATGACTATTAAACTGCTGAAAGAAGAAAGACACCTTAAACTAATGATTCACCACCGACAGAACCCAGGCCAGCAGCATGAGTATCATTCGGCAGCTTGTTAGAAATGCAAATTGTAGGGTCCCACCCCAGACCTATTGAATCAGAAACTCTGTGGGTGCAGTCCAAGGTTTCTGTGGTTTAACAAGTTCTCCAGGTGATTCTGATGCGTGCTCAAATTTGAGAACAATTATCTAGGACCACTAAAAGTTGACCAAGGAGCAAACATTTATCACATTAATAAGGCACCTCATAGCCCTGAAAATAAGTGATAGGGAAATAGGTTAGGTCTCTGGGAGGTAGAGGGTGCATGTCCCTGGACAGCTGGAGAACCATGGGTAAGCTGAAATGTGGTGCTGAAATAATAGGGGACCTTTTCTACATGGCAGTCCGTGCTAGGGAATACCTCTTGGTTCAATGAAGGGAAGAAAGGCGCCAGGCAGACTGACTCATCCATTTACTAAGCCTCTGCTCTTTATCCTCTTGCTTGGTGTTGGTAAGAGGACCTTCTTTCACTTCTTCACACATGCCAAGTTCCTTTCCACATCAGGGCATCCCCCATGCTGCTCCTCTGCCCAGAGTGCCTTTCATGCCTCTTTCAGCACCCAAATTCTCATGGCTACTCACTCTTTGAGTCTCGACTTAAATGTCGCTTTCTCAGTGACTTCTTTCTTGATCCTCCACAGTGTCAAATATGTTTATGACACTCTACTTATAACTACACATTTAATATTTGTCTCCTCCTGTAGGTCTTAAGTTCCATGAAAGTAAGGACTGTGTCTAAATCTCACTCAATAAATATCTGTTGAATGGAGATTCATTAATTTAATGAATGTTATGGAAATCAAATGACTGTTAAAGAACCTTGTTTCCTAAGCCCTGGACTGGAGGCTAAGCTGGTACAGAATACATCATCAGTGGTTTCTGTAGCCTCCTCTTCTTACATTGTTAGATTTTTTTATTCTCCAGATCCTCTATTTGACGGGTCAAATAAAGGGCACTTCAACCAATAGTGGTAGAAAAGTGAGGAAAAAAATGGCTACAACTTGCTGATCACACAATAGGAAGAACCAGTCACTGTGCTTCAGGTTTGCCATGCATTAACTCATTCAGGCCTCTGTGAATTTTATGAGATACGGTATCACCTTCATTCTGGAGGCAAAGAGAGGCTCAAAGATGTTACATTGTATGGACAAAGATCACAGCAGCTGTGGAGTTAGGATTTATACCTAGGATTTATGCCCAGCTTCAAACTCTATGTTAATGACCACTAGGAGAAAGATGATAACCTCAAGAGAAGTAATCAATAGAAAGTTAAATGTTGCTCAAGAGACATCATATTGCATGTAAAGTACCTCAATGCTGGGCATATATTAAATATACAATAAATACTACTATTGACTATCATCATCATCATCATCATCATCATCATCATCATCATCATCACTATCAACATCCTTAGTCTTGATAATCCTCATATTGTGTTTCTAGATCCTGAAACTCACATCTGAGCAAATTCTGGGCATCCTTTATCTGATATAGTTTAGAGAAATACCCTCTCAGAAAAAAAATGACCCAGTAGGAAATTTACGAACTGCATATCCTCAAAGCTGCATTTAGACTCAAATGATCTGAAAATTACTACTGAAGTCTATTGCTTTACATTTTAAATGTTTTCTAGTGAATTAGTTTTGAGACTTGGAAATTGCAGAGACTCAAAAAAGTTGTTTTCCAGATTCTAAACTGGAATTAAGCACATCCAAGTCTTCTGGTACTGTAATGTTCCTAGTTTCTGAAACACTTAGATCTAGTTCTGCCTGTCTTTCTCGGCATTTCTCAGTTTTCACTCACATAAGTACAAATTTGTAAGATCCATGCCATCTTTCACCAACACTGGCCTCACTGCCAGGAGAAAGAAGCTGGAACAAGGCTGCAGTGAGTGCAAAGCAGTGGCAAACATTCAGGAAAACAAACGAGACAAAGGTCTGAAGTTGACCACCACCAGATTAGCTATTTTCTGTGGTGAACACTGAGACATGAGCCACGAGAGAAGGAAGCAAACCCATCCTTCCTGTTGCTAAACGTGGTCACTGAAATGGTGAGGAGGGCCAACAGGTCTCTGAGAGGGAGACTGATGGGAAGAGGCAGCCTTCAGGAATGTGACTGATGGAAGGTTCATAAGACCAAGGCCCAGGAGCACAACAGTGACTGTAGGGCCTCAACAAGAAAGATCAACAGGCAAAAATGTAATGCTAATCACTAACCTTTTCAGTGTTTCCAAAATCACTGTATATTCAAATTCAAATTGAAAGTAATTTAAAAGTGTCTATCATGTACCAGGCCCTATTCATGTTACTTTCATATATATTAATTTCTTTTTATCCTTCTAACAACGAAGTCTGTTAACCATATATTGTTGTCAACACTTAACATTAAAAAAAAGATAAGGGTTTCTATTTTTGGCGATGGTGGAAGAATTTGTTGCATTCTTACTCTCATGAGAATAATCAAAAAAGCTGGATAAGCTTAAAAAAAAGGAAACCTAAAAACTACTTGAAGGCATTGGAGAACTCCCAAGACAGCTAGGACTTGGGAGGCCAAGACTGATTCTAAAAGGTAGGTAGGTAAGCACACTGAACTGAGCCCAATATTCTGTGGCGTTTTTTCTCTCCAAGTCATTTGCTAATTCACAAGTGGCACAGAATCAAATGCTAAGAAAATGAGCAGAGTGCAGTGGCAAAGAGACTTGGAGGCTGAGCAGAGATTCTGACATTCTCACAGGGATGGGAAGATAGGAATTGGAGTTGAGAACCTGCTAAGGAAGAAGGGACTCGTAAACAACACAGACTCTCAGTTAGAATCACAGAAAGGTTACCCTCTAGGAGTAAGAGTAAACTAATACACTACCCCTCACATAACTAAAATCCAGCTTCTAGTGATCTCAATCAAAGACTGCATTAAGGCAATGTGTCCCTTAATGGGACATATTATTAAATACATCTTCTCTGAAGAAAGGTATCATCAGCCTGAGATTTCTACAGCTTTTCAAGGACTGTGTCTAGCATTTGATCAAAAATATGCATACCAGGAGATAAGACCAAATGACTAAAGTGAAGAAGAAAATCAAACAATATGAACAGACCCACAGTTCAGATAGTGACATTATTCAGATAGTGACATTATTAGACATGGTTCTTAAAATAACTGCAATTAATTTATTCAAGAAAAAAGATAATATGATGGAGAATTTCATCAGAGAAGTAGCATCTCAGGGTAAAACAAACAAATAGACACCTAAAACTGAAAATTACAATAACTAAAATTAAGTGCTCAACAGAAGGGTTTAATAGAAGACTGGACACAGCACACAGGCAAGAGTAGTAAATCAGAAGACAGAGAACTCAAAAACCAGACTGCATCACAGAGAGAAAACCAGAAACGAACAGAGAGCAAGACGCATGTACAGAAAGGTCAAATATTTTTGCTTTATTGGATCCCAGAAGGAAGGGAGAGAGAGAGAAAGACAGAAGAAAATGGAAGACGAGGAGGAAGACAAGAGGAAGAAGAGGAGAGGAAGAGGAGCAGGAGGGAACAGAAACAATTCTGAAGAGGTGTGACCAGCTGAGAATTTTTCAAAGATGATGAAGAACACTAAAGCACAGATTTAAGAAGCTCTGCAAATCCTAATCAGGTTTAAACATACCTCCCTGCCAACACACGCTCACAGACACATCACAGTAAAACTGCTGAAAACCAAGACAAAAAGGAAAAAATTTAAGGCAGTCAAAGAAAAATGATACATTACAGGTTGAGTATCCCTTATCTGAAAAGTCTGGGACCAGAAGTGTTCTGGATTTTGGATGTGTTTGGATTTTAGAATATTTGCATTATATACTTATTGTTTGAGCATTCCAAATCTAAAAATCCAAAATCCAAAGTGCTCCAATGAGCATTTCATTTGAACATAATGTCAGTGCTCAAAAAGTTTCAGATTTCAGAAAATTTAGGATTATGGATTTTCAGATTTGGAATGTTCAACCTGTATCTTCAAAGGAGTAAGTTGTCTGACAACAAACTTTGATAAAAACATTGAAAGTTAGAAAACAATGGAATGATATCTTTAATATATTAAAAGAAGAAAAAAATCACTGGCAATTACATACCTAGAGAAAATATCCTTAAAAATAAAGATGAAATAAAACTGTTTTAAAACAAATAAAAACAGAGAATTTGCCACATTACAAAAATACTAAAGGAAATAATTAAGGAAAAAAGGAAAAGTATTCTGGGAAACACAGATATTCAGAAAGGAACAAAGAGAAAAAGCAACAGTTAAAATAAATGCTTACCATATAAACAGTAATTACAGTGTATTGTTTGGCTCAAAACATCTGTAGATTTAAGATACATGAAAACATAGCCTAAAATCTACAAGATTGACAAAAAAAGGAGAAAATAAAAATTATAAATATCAGGAATGAAACAGAGGATATCACTACAGAATATGCAGATCAATAAGATACTAACAATATCAGATCAATAGGAAAATAAGGGAATACAACAAACAATTCTACACACATACATTTGATAACTTAAAATGGACCAACTCCTAGAAAAGTAAACACTCCCACAACTCATACAACATGATATAATTTGAATAGCGTTACAGTTATCAAGGACATTGAATTCATAATTAAAAACCTCATAAAAAAGAACTCTCCAGGCCCAGATGATTTCACTGGAAAATTCTAACAAATGTTTAAAGAAAAATTAACATGAGTTCTACACAATCCTTTCCAGAAAAAGAAGGGGAGGTAATACTTTCCTTACACATTCAATGAAGACAGCAATAAATATTAGCAAATGAATTAAATATATATAATTATTAAACGATTTATTAAATTTATTAAATTTATGATAAATTATTTCATAATACAATATTAAATTGATTATTCAATTTAATATTTATTAAATTATATTTAACTGAGTATTTATTAAATGATTATATTTAATACAATTAAAAATATATAAAATAGTTACATACTATGACTACATTTAATTATATACTATGACTAGAAATAATTATATACTATAATAAATTAGTTTTATTCTAGAAATGCAAGGCAGGTTCAATGTTTGAAAAGTGATCAATGTAAACCAACATGTTAACAGCCTAAACAAAAAAAAATCACAAGATCATATGAACTGAAGTGGAAAAAGCATTTGACAAAATTCATGCTCATTTATGATAAAACCTCTCAGAAAACCAGGAATGAAGAGAAACTTCTTCAACTTGATAAAGACAGCTACAAAAAACTTATAGCTAACAGTACACTCAACAGTGAGAAGGAATGTTTTCTTTCAGGAAAATGTCAAGAAAGTTCATTTTTACCACTGTGGCTCAACATAGTACTGGAGGTTCTAGCCAGCACAATGAGGCAAGAAAAGGAAATAAAAAGCATACAGATAAGAATGGAAGACATACAACATATGTTCACACAAAAGCATGTAGGTGACTGTTTATAGCAACTCTGTTTGTAATAGCCATAAACTGGAAACAACCAAAATATCCAGGAACAGATGAATGATTAAGCAAATGGTACATCCATAGCATGATTAAGCAATGGTACATCCATACCATGGGTTAACCATATCCAATATGATTAAGCAAATAGTGCATCCATACATGGGTTACTACTCAGAAGTAAGAAGAAATGAACTAGTGATACCCACAAAACTTGGATGGATCTCCAGGGTGTGAAAAAAGCCACATGCTTCAAAAGGTCACATGCTACCCCATTTATGTGATTCCATTTAGGTAACATTCTAGAAATGACAGAATTATGGACAGAAAACAGATGAGGGATTGCCAAGAGTTAGGGATGGGGAAAGATGTGTGACTGTAAAGGAGTAGTATGAGGGATGTCTTTGTGGTGATGAAAATAGTTCTATATCTTGACTGCAAAAATGGTTACGTGGATCTACCTGTGTGACAAAATGGCACAGAACTATGCACATGCATTGTACCAATGTCAAATTCCTGGTTTTGATATTGTACTACGATTATGTAAGATGTAACCACTGGAGAAAATTGGGTGAAGGGTACAAGGAACTTCTCAATATTTTATCTGCAACTTCTGACTCTAGAAAAATTTCAAAATAAAAAGTTAAAAATAACTATATAACTATATATAACTATGACTATATAATAATTATAACTATATGGTTACAGAAAATGTAAAGACAAATATATGAAGTTATTTGATAAGAACTGTCATCCAAATGGAAAAAAAAAATCTACTAAAGTTGAGAATTAAGAACATTTTGTAATTCCCTACCCAACTTCAAAGTTCACTAACAGGGAATGAATCGCAATCTTAATGACAAAATGGTGTAAATGCTCACATATCAGCATATATTACATTAGCTTAAACTTAAATGGTGCTTATTAACTGCCAGCTGCTGTTTTTCTGTTTACATATATGAACTCATATATGTAATCTGTCCTTTGGAATCTGTTCTTAGCATCAGCAAAGATTGTATAATGAAAAGGTATGTGGCTTAGCCTAAGAGATTAATGCAAATCCTTGTAATAACACTCTGATGTAGGTACTACGATTATGCTCATTTTACAGATGTGGAAACTGAGCCAGAGAGATGGTAATAATTTCCGCAAAGCCACACAACTATACTGAGTGGCAGAGCCAGGTTTTAAATCAAGAAGGTTTGGCTTTAGAATCTATGGCCTTAACTGCTAAGCTGTCTCTTCTATACAGATTTTCCTTTATTGTCTTCCTTTGTTCTATCTCCTGGCTCTTAAACCACAGTGTAAATAAATACTAATTAATATAAATGTTGTATATAATATCATACACACTTTGCTTAAAGGGTAGTTTAAGGGATTTTCAAGGGTAATTTTGACTGTGAGCTATTCTTATCTTGTGTTTGACTTTAAAGACTAACCTTCCCTGTAAGATGTGACTACACCTTAAGCTCTTGGTGTTAAGTGTGCGTGTGACCTGACTGGCATTTTTGGGGCTTGGTTTTTCGTGAATAAATCAGTAGAGGGCATAGTATATGGATATCCTGTCAGGTTTTCCTCTAAGAATGAGCATGGCTTGAGCCTAGGCCCCCTACTGAACTTGACATAGAAAATCTTCTGCATCTACATGGAAGAGAATATCCTTCTTAGTGTGGTATACAGAAGTCTTGACAATTTGGAGAGTGAGAGGCTGAGTAACGGCCAAGTTTGGGAAAATCCAGAGTGCTTGCTCAGGATTGACTGAAGTCTGTGCAAAACAATGGCTCCTGAATTCCATTTCTGGATGGGTTCATACCAATCCTCAGTCAGCTTTCCAGAAGAGAGGATATTTCACAGCATATAAATATTAAAACGTCTCCTTAAAATGTTGGATAATTATGAGTATACCATTAAAACTATCTTTTCCGGCCCTTTTTCATCCCACTGATTATTTATTGTTTGAAAAGATAAATACAGAAAAGCAATTGACCTAACAATGGCCTATTCTTGATTACACTTTGCATTAAATACAAAAATTATAAGGAGGGCACTTTGGAATCTGTCCTTAGCATCAGCAAAGATTGTATAATGAAAAGGTATGTGGCTTAGCCTAAGAGATTAATGCAAAGCACAGGTCACAAGAGGCCTGGAGTAAGTGTGGCAGATCCACACAAATCTAGCACTACTACAGAGAAGTAGGTCAAAGCCCAAGGCTTCTGATATACTTTTGTACCCCGCAGCCTTGAGTAGGGTGCTTTGCACAAAACATACATATAATTTTTTTAATGGGATGAATGAATCAGTTAATGAATGAATAAATGAGGGAGAAAGGGAGGAAGGGAGAAATATCTGGCAGGTCAGCAGCAGCATGCATGCTATTTGCACATGCTTAGTAGTTTCCAACATTTTTGACTGCAATCTACTCTGAGAAATGCATTTTGCATCATGTGCCAATACTCAGCTATACACATACCCTATGTCCACATTTTACATACATGTACAACTGCAACAAAAATACAAAACAATGCTTAATTACTTACAGTATATGTAATGCTCTTTCTTTTTCCTTTATATTCTATTAACAAATATTCATTGATCACACTACATTGATTTTAAGAGGTACTAATAGGGTGTAACATGAAGTTTGAAAAACCTTAGCATGGCTGGAAGCTCATGCATGAGTTTTGGAGTAAGACTTGGGTTGAAACCTTAGCTCTGCCGACTTATTATCTGTGTCACCATAGGTAAGTTTCATAATTTCTCAGAGCCTCTAGTTTTTCATCGGTGAAATAGATTCCTACTCCACAGGATTTCTGTCATCTTTCTAAAGCACACATCTGAACATGCCAACCCTACTTTAAGCGTTCCCCATTGCCTTGGGCTAAAGTCTAAATGTTTTATCTTAGATTATCTGGCCTTTAACAACATGGCCTGTGCTAACTTTCATCTCTGGCCTCCAGCTGGCCCTGACTTACACTCTACACTCCAGCTCTTCTAATATATGTGGTTTCCTAAACGTACCATGTTTTCTCTGTGGGCCTTTGTGCATGCCCTTATACCCACTCAGTTTCTAGTTCTTCTTTAGGTCATAATATGGATTCCTTCAAGGAGCCAGATCTGCATTCAAGCATCTCTGGCTCACCCTTATCATATCATAGCATAACACTGTTATTATTCCAGATTGTCAGCTGCATCTCTCTGGAGGGCAAGAAACTCTGGGTTCTGTGCCATTCTCTTTGTGTTATTTTATGTCGAAGTGAAGAAATTCTGCATATACCTTCCAACCTCTTCTTAGTAAACAGAATTAGTTAGATGAATATATCCTAAGGATCAGGTCATTTGTTTGAAAAGCATCCCGGTCAATGCTTAAATGCTTAAATGACAGCTTTAATAAATCAGGGTAACCCTTTGGCAAACATTCCTCAAACATGCCCATTTACCCCCAGTGGTTGAGGATGGGGGGAAGGGGCCTTGAAAATGGATGGTCACTGAGTACAAACCCTCTTTGCCTAGCTCATGCATAATAAAGGAGGAGATTGTCTACATCTGTCACCCCTGGACACTGACAATTTAGGCAGATATAACTAGTATAGTCCCAAGGGTAGGGCTCTCAGACGACGGGAAAAAAATTAATGAGAACATCAAGTTTTAAAGAGATGGGATGGAGGAAAGTAGAGTTAATGGTATATCAGTTACTATTAGCATTTATCTGGTCACAGAGATTCTTTCATTAAGAGATTTCTCATTATTGTTTAAAAGTCACTTAAAAATTGATGGTAATATGTTCTAAGAAAAAAAATCTGATTGCTTTGTTCAATTGATGAGTTAACTCTCTACGGAAATGGCATTTATCACTGGGATTCCCACATTGAAATGTGATCACTTTTGTTCACTTGTAAAAACTAAAAACAAATCTCTAAGTAATCTACTGTATTCACTGTTCAAGTCCCTACACACAGCCACACGAAGTCATGAGTCAGAGGTGACAGACAAAATGCTATTAAACTAAAATAAAATTAACTGGAAAACTCACTAGAGAGAAAGAGACTGGGGACAAACACCAACAGAGGTATGAGCTGTACATGACAATGCTATGGCTCAATGAAATGCTGAATCTCTGAAATTAACAAACTGTCGTGACAAAGAGATATCAACTATCCTACATTGCCCCAGTGATACAAGATATGTTCACATCCAGCTGTTCACACAGCTACAAAGCTTCCTGTTAATGCTTTTTCTATCCCTCATTGCCCTTATTTTAGCATTCCCAAAGCACATGCTTTTTCAGTGGTCATGAAAATTAGGAATGTATGTCCCCCAGTTGCCTCTAGGAGTTATT
Organism: Homo sapiens; assembly: GCF_000001405.40. Lineage (NCBI taxonomy): Eukaryota > Metazoa > Chordata > Mammalia > Primates > Hominidae > Homo > Homo sapiens. Next base: position 205,451,979 of record NC_000002.12, on the reverse strand, counting down.
TAGACAGAGCGGTGGAAGGGAGGTGGGGATGGTTAATGGGTACAAAGAAATAGTTAGAAAGAATAAGCAAGACCTAGTATTTGATAGCACAACAGGGTGACTCTAGTCAATATTAATTTAATTGTACATTTAAAAATACCTAAAAGAGTATAATTGGATTGTTTGCAACACAAAGGGTAAATGCTTAAGGGATGGAGATCCCATTTTCCATGATGTGATTATTATGCATTGTATGCCTGTATCAAAATATCTCATGCATCCCATAAATACATATATATATATATATATATACCTATTACATAATCACAAAAATTAAAAATAAAAAATGTAAAACAAGTTGTTCAGGCTGAAATATTTCTGCCTTAGCTATAAAAGAGGGTCTACATAATAAGGATAGCCTCTCACAGGGAGTTAATAAGAATATATTTGACGAAAGTACTATATACTATGAATCTATAACTTTTGCATTATTAAAGGGAACTGAAAAAAAAGAGAAAAGACATCTAAAGGTAATCTATTTGTGGTGGATTCCATAGAGTGTCGCCCTAAAAGCCACTCACTACTCACTTCTCTCTTGACTTTGTTTACTGGAAAGTTGAAATTCTATTTTCAACACCTTTTTGCCACTAGAGTAAATCTTTTAATACATTTTTTGCCAATGAGAAGTTGTTGGAGTCTACTGGGGAATCTTTTCAAAGGGATGAACTTGACTAGCACATTCCATTGGCCATTTGCCCCTTTCTCCTTTCTCCCTGGAAGGTGGACATGAAACTTAGAGTGGCTACGGCCATCTTGGAATCATGATGCAACATGAAGAAGAGGCTTTGCCACTGGGAAAGGCAAGAGAGGAAGAGGAAAAAAGGCCATCTAAATTCCTTAATGGGCGAGACACATGTGTATCAGCTGAGTTTTCTGTTGTTTACAGTCAAACAGGATCTGACTTGACACTGTTGTTATTGACAGCTCTTCTGGGACCCATAGAAATTGGACTAGTCTGTTCTGTGGATGATTGTTAAGCCTGACTCAGAACCAAATGGACAATCAAGTGACATGGTAGGATATTGCCTCAGTTCCGATGATGAGCTTAGGGATATCTAATGAGTTATGGTTTGTAACAAACAATTGCCAAAGTAGCTCAGTGTGTAATGAATGCTCTCTTCACTTATGCAGATGATATGACTGATCTAACAGAATCTGCCTGTTGGGCTGGGTGCAGTGGCTCATGCCTGTAATCCCAGCACTTTGGGAGGCCGAGGCGGGCGGATCACCTGAGGTCAGGAGTTCGAGACCAGCCTGGCCAACATAATGAAACCCTGTCTCTGCTAAAAATACAAAAAAATTAGCCGGATGTGGTGGCAGGCGCCTGTAATCCCAGCTACTCAGGAGGCTGAGGCAGGAGAATTACTTGAACCTGGGAGGCGGAGGTTGCAGTGAGCCGAGATCATGCCATTGCACTCCAGCCCAGGCAACAGTGCGAGACTCCACCTCAAAAAAAAAAAAAAAAAAAAAAAAAGAATCTGCACTTAAATTTTTTAAGTTTTCTTGCCTTTCATCTCCTCACTTGCTTTTCTGTTTCTACTTTTTCTTTCTGATGATTGCAATACACTGGCAGGAGTTGAGGCTGGAGCTAGGAATTAACCACTAAATATGGGACCCTGGAACAGATGGACTCCAACAGGTTCCCAAACCTATTATTTTAAATGGTCAACAGCTAGATACAATCAATAACCTTCCTCAATAGTTATATTTAGTTCAATAATCTTCTCAATATATATACCAATAATATGTAATACAGTCTGATAATATATAGTCCAATAATCTTCCTAAATATAGTTGACATTTATTGAGCCTAACACTGAAATGATTTCATTTAATCCACGAATAAACCAGACAAGAGCAGATATACTCATGTCTTCATTTTACAGTGAGAAATCAGGCTTTGAAAAATTAATACATTTGAACCAAGGCCCTGGAAAGATAAATCTATAGTCTCAGGTCTTTCTCACACTGAATGCACTTAACAATTTCATGATTTTTACAACATATCCCACATACACCTCTATTCTAATGGAACATATTATATTGTAATTATTTGTTTATGAGATAGTTTTGGCTATCAGACTGAGTTCCTTGAGAGTCAGATTGCTTCTAAACTTCTTTGTGTGACCTCTGGAACACAACAGATGCTCAATAAAAGTTTTCTGCAAAATTAGTGGATACATGCTGGAAAACAAAAGCTGCTTAACTGGAGCATTCAGGAGCTGTGCGCTGTCTGCCACTTCAATTTTACAGCTGCCATATATCAGTTACTAAGTAAGTATTTAGTAAGCAAATACTAAGTGCCTCTAAGTGCCTGGTATTACATCAGCTCACAGAAAGTGTTATTTTGCATAATTAAGTCTAAATGGACACATTATTTACGAAAATTAGAAAGAGGAAAAATAAAGGGGGCCAGGCGCGGTGGCTTATGCCTGTAATCCCAGCGCTTTGGGAGGCCTAGGCGGGTGGATCACCTGAGGTCAGGAGTTCGAGACCAGCCTGGCCAACACGATGAAACCCTGCCTCTACTAAAAATACAAAAAATTAGCTGGGCGTGGTGGCGGGCACCTGTAATCCCAGCTACTCGGGAGGCTGAGGCAGGAGAATCACTTGAACCTGGGAGGTGGAGGTAGCAGTGAGCTGAGATCGCGCCACTGCATTCTAGCCTGGGCAACAAGAGGGAAACCCTGTCTCCAAACAACAAAAAAAAAAGCGGTCTCTAAGATTCATCAAGAGCAAATAGTTTCCCACACTTTTTTTTTTTTTTTTTTTTTGAGATGGAGTTTCGCTCTTGTTGCCCAGGCTGGAGTGCAATGGCACAATCTTGGCTGACTGCAACCTGCGCCTCCCGGGTTCAAGTGATTCTCCTGCCTCAGCCTCCCAAGTAGCTGGGATTACAGGCATGGGCCACCACGCCCAGCTAATTTTGTATTTTTAGTAGAGATGGGGTTTCTCCATGTTGGTCAGGCTGGTCTCGAACTCCTGACCTCAGGTGATCTACCCGCCTCGGCCTCCCAAAGTGCTGGGATTACAGGCTTGAGCCACGGCACCCAACCGTAATTCCTTTTCTTGTTAGGGTTACCAGAGTGGTAAATCAATGGATTTTCACAAACATGGTGTACCTCGTTATCACTAAGATAAGTTCAGATGAACTGGAAAATGCAGACTAGATAATAGCAGACTAGATTAATAGCTAACTGAAGATCCCAAAGAGTGTTGATTAATGGAGGTCTCGAGTGATGAGTGCTGGGATTGTATTTGACATTGATCAACGATCTTATCAATGACATGGAGGAGCCCACAATGATTAAATATGAGGCTGGTAAAATCTAGGGAATAACAAATACATTGGAGTACAAAAATCCATACTTTAAAATATCTTTATTGGCTACAACAATGGGCTAACCCTAACAAGTAAATATTCAACTTGGATAAAGAGACTATCCCACATTTTAAAAAGTTATTGTACCAATAAAGGATTTTGTAAATTTATTGGGGAATCTTGTTTGATAGCAACTTAAGTGAAAAAAACCAAACATTTAGTTAAAAAGTGCAATATAAGCTAATAATGACAATGGACATAAAAGCTTAGGCCACATTAATAAGTGTAAAGGATTAAAATCAAAGGATACCCAGAGTCCCACTGACTTCTGTGATTTTCTGACCATATCTGAAATATGGTACCCAGTTCTGCATGCCATGCCCAACAAAGCAATCATAAACTCAATAGACTTTAGTGTACACATTCCCCAAATGGCTGCCAAGAGGGCTGAAGGTGTGAATTATAATTTAAGAAGGGGCTAAAACAGCTGGGGGAGTTTATGCCGAAGAAATGATTATACAAGAAACTTCTCAAGGTCATTTGCTGTGTTTTCTACATCCTTCTTAAGGCCAGTGCTAAGCACAGAGCCTGGCCATATGTTTAGAGTTCATAAATGTTTGTTAGTGAAGGTGGTCATAGCAGTCACTTTAAATACCTAAAAGGCTGTTAATGAGGCTTAGATGCTGTGTCCAGGTAGCTCAACCCAAGATCCCTGGTAAAAGCTACACGGAGACAGTGTTTGGGTGGGTAAAAAGTGGGCATTTCTACATCAACTAGAGTGATCTAAAAGAAAAAGGATGCCTCATGAATTTTGTCACTGAAGTATGCCAATGTGAGTTAGGTGACATTCATGAGGCAGTTCATGGAGAAGATGCCTCTGATGAGTGGGACGTGAGGCTTGACCACTGAAGGTGCTAGCCAACTTTAAGATACTGTTAAATCAGCCGGGTGCGGTGGCTCACGCCCATAATCCTAGCACTTTGGGAGGCCCAGGTGGGCAGATCATGAGGTCAGGAGTTCAAGACCAGCCTGGCCAAAATGGTGAAACCCCGTCTCTACTAAAAATACAAAAAATTAGCTGGGTTTGGTGGTACACATGGGTAATCCCAGCTACTCGGGAGGCTGAGGCAAGGGAATCGCTTGAATCCAGGAGGTGGAGGTTGCAGTGAGCCAAGATCGTGCCATTGCACTCCAGCCTGGGCAACAAGAGTGAAGCTCCATCTCAAGAAAAAAAAGAAAGATCCTGTTAAACCATTCATTCATTATTCCAAAAATATTTATTGAGGACAGACTGCCCCAGGAACTGAGGAGACAGGTGAGCAAAAGCAGGATAGGTCCCTACCACCCTGAAGCCTGAAGCTGAGACCAGTGGTCTCCAAAATGGGCTGTATAAACCCCATTTGAGGGAGGAAGAAAATATCAGAACCACTACTCATGTTACAATTTGTTAAAGTCTCATTTTAAAATTAATTTCTCTATTTGGTATATGTCTTCTATGTAATATATTAGTAGGGTAAATTAGTATATATCAGTTAGAAACAAATGCCCATATTTTTAGAGGTTAACACCCGAAAGCAATTTTTTTCTTTTACTGATACTGTGTGCAATCAAACCCATTTGGCAACCTCTAGAAATGAATGTCAAATTGTCACACAAACTAATGCAAAACTGCATTTGTGCTGTGTGCCACATATACCTTCTAGCCCCCTATTTGGAACTGTTTTGTCCTCATCCAGACATAAAGTTTTCATGTTCATACACTCTGGGAGCCCTTTCAATGCTGGCATTGCGGTGGAAAACTAACACATTGTAAACCTGAGTAATTGTCAGGCTTTGAGGGCAGGATTTAACCCATGCTACGTTCAAATCCTGGAAGAACCAGCATTGTGAAAATCCAGTCACGTGTCTCTGTCCTGGTGGTAGAAATTTTTTTTTAACCACTGTCATTTATAGATGAATCTTTTATAAGGCAATTTTTTTTTTCTAAGATGGACTGAAGGTTCAGGGCCAACCTTTGAGAAGCAAGTAGGTATGAGACCGAAGTCGCCTCTATTAGAAAGCTACTATGGACCACATACACACGATCTGTTCCTATGTGACAGAGATATATGGACAAATAGGGTATGTTTCATATGGAGATAGAAAAAAATGCAAAATGTAAAATCATATTTAACCATCACAGGATGCAAGGCTATATTATAATCTTCCCTTTTACAAATAAGTAGATGAGGATAAACCGCCTATGCTATTAAACAGCCTATTGAATTCCAGGATTATATCTCACGTTAAAACCCTCAGTGAGTTCTTCCCCTCAGCGAGCTCTTCTCCAACCCAAACCCTGCCCCACCTCCCTCAGGATAGAGTCCAAACTCTTCGTCAAGGCCGGCCAACCTCTCTCATCTGCCTTTGGTCAGCTCTGAGGCCATCCCATGTTCTCTCTTTCCATTTACCCCTCCCACCAGGTTTCTATTTTACTGAGAGTCTTTCAGTCCCCCTAACACATCATGCTTCCTCTCCCCTCTGTTTTCACCCTTGCTGCCTGGCCCCAAACAGTACCCTGCACTTACTCTTCGGCTGCACTTTCCACACTGTGTTCTCACTGCATGTTTAGGTCTTTGTATTGCCATTGGATCCTAATATCCATAATGAAGGCAGCATAGTCATCTTCCTCCCAGTTCCCTGGTGAGTCCAGTACTGAACTCAGGCCCTGACCCTTAGTGGATACTCAATAAGTATTTGTTGAATTAAATGCATGAAAATAAAAAATGGCATCTTGGATAAGTCATGCAGCTCATGCAGCAGTATTTGGAAGTGGACTGGACCCATATCAGCTTCATTCCCATACCCATGATTTAATCTGCCATTATATGTTGGGAGCCCAGATGGATGCTTCTTTACTTATCCAGGTACTAATTTCCTTAATATGGTTTGGATCTGTGTCCCTGCCTAAATTTCATGTCAAATTGTAATCCCCAGTGTTGGAAGTGGGGCCTGGTGGGAGATGATTGGATCATGGGGGTGGATTTCCCCACTGGTACTGTTTTTGTAATGGTGAGTGAGTTCTCGTGAGATCCGGCCGTTTAGAAGTGTGTAGCACCTCCCTCCTCTCTGTCTTGCTCCTGCCCCTGCCATGTAAGACCTGCCTGCTTCCCCTTTGCCTTCTGCCACGATTGAAAGTTTGTGGATGCCTCCTGAGAAGCTGAGCTGATGCCAGCATCATGCTTCCTGGACAGCCTGCAGAACTGTGAGCCAATTAAACCTCTTTTCTTTGTAAATTACCCAGTCACAGGTATCTCATTATAGCAGTGCGAGAATGGACTAATACATTCGTCAAGCAGGAAATGAGAGTGTGGGTCTATATCATAGTGTGGGGTAGGGAAAAGAAGACTGTAGAACACAGAGATCTAGGATAAAGTCCTGATTCCATGCTGTGTGACCTTGGGCAAGTCACTCATCTTCTCTGGGCCCCAGTTTCTGCAGTAATCATATGAGAAGGTCACTCTAGACAGTCTCTGAATTCTCTTGTTAGCTCTGAAATACTGTCACAGAAGGAACTTCAAAGCTGCAACTTTTCCATTCTATAACTCTGCTCTCTCTTTGTCACCAAGAGCTCACTCCTTAAGTTCTCACCTCTTAATCAATTCTCTTCTCATTATAATTCTCCCTCTGGTCCTACTTAGCTACTAAAACTGTTCTCTCTAAATTAACTGATGACCTTTTAGTGGCCAAATCTAAAGCCCTCTTTTTAGTCCTTATTCCACTGAGCTCTCTGAAGCATTTGAAAGCCTCATGTCTGTGATATCTGCTAAACATCTTTGTCTTTGTTTTAAGTTAAAGTTTTGGGCTGCTTCTTATACTCTCCTGTCTCCAATGCCACTCTCTTATTTCAAGCTCCTGTCCTCATTTACTACTGTAATCATCTCTTACTCTGTCTCTTAGTCTAACCATCTTCTTCTTTGTCTGCCATCAAGTTGGAAGAGCTATTTTCCCAAAACACAAATCCATCAGCTCATTCCCCAATTATGACGCTTCAGTGGCTCCCATTGTCTACGGGATTGGCAAATACATCAAAACCCACTACACACTTGCTACCACGCATCATTCTGGAGTCCAGGAAAAATACCCTTATTCAGGCATAACTTCAGAACCTTTCTTTTTTGTTTTGAGACAGGATCTTTCTCTGTCACCCAGGGTGGAGTACAGTGGTACAATCAACAGGTCACTACAGCCTTGGACTCCTGGGCTCAAGCCATCCTCCCACCTCAGCCTCCTGAGTAGGTTGGACTACAGGTGCATACCACCACACCTGGATAGTTAAAAAAAAAACTTTTGTAGAGGCCGGGTATGGTGGCTCATGCCTGTAATCCCAGCATTTTGGGAGGCCAAGGGGGGCAGATCACCTGAAGTCAGGAGTTTGAGACCAGCCTGGTCAACGTGGCAAAACCCCGTCTCTACTAAAAATACAAAAAATTAGTCGGGTTGGTGGCTTGTGCCGGTAGTCCCAGCTACTTGGGAAGTGGAGACATGAGAATCACTTGAACCCAGAAGGCAGAGGTTGCAGTGAGCTGACATCATGCCACTGCACTCCAGCCTGGGTGACAGAGTGAGACTCAAACACACAAAAAAAGAAAGAACAATATTTTATAGAGATGGGGTCTTGCTATATTGCTCAGGCTGGTCTCCAACTCCTGGCCTCAAGTGATTCCCCCTTACCCCGGACTCCCAAAGTGCTGGGATTATACTGTGCCTTGCCTCAGGACCTTCATTAACACAGATTTCTGGACAGCCACTACCAATCAATAAGTAGCAGCCTAAGATACAACCCATTAAATCACAAACTGACCCCAGCCTGCTTTGCAGCCACTTTTCCTATCACTTTCCTTCCCACCCATGCTCCGTGTCTGGGTGCTTCTGAGCTCCCCTAACAGGCCTGCTCTTTCAGGCCACTTTGCTCTTGTGCATGCTTAATTATTCTGCAAAGAAAACAATTCTTCCACTGCAATTGCTCCTGTCTTACTAAGCCTTCTAGAGCCAGTTCAAATATCACCTCTGTTTGGAGGACTTTCCTGACTAGCTTAGGCAGAGTTAGAAAGGAAAAACTTCTTTTCCTTCTATTTACAAGACAATGCAATGATCCATTTCTACATGTGTTGGTCCTCTATTCACTAGATTATGACCTCTTCTGGCCTGGGACTGTTTCTTAATCATCTCTCTATCTTCCCTAAAGCTTTCTATAGTAGTTGGAACACATTAGGTGTCAAATACATACTTACTAAATGAGTGAAGGAATGAAAAGATGAATGGATGAATGGCATTGCCCTCTAACAGTACGTATGGTATGTTTAGAATTTGTAGGTTCCTGCTTACGGATACTATTAGGGAAACTGCCATAGCAACTCTTCTTAGACTTATCTGGGCACAGGCATATCAGGGAAGTTCAGATTTTCATTGAAAAAGGAGAGTAATAATAATAGTAACAATGATGATGATAATACCTAACATTAGTGAATGCTTACTATGTGCCAGGACAAAATCGGCTTGCTTGAAGACTTGAAGAACAAGGAGCAGGGCAGTCTTTAAGCATAATTAAAGATAAGAGCAGGATAAAGATAATTCTGAGTATAAAGAGTCACATTTTGATCTGCTATCCAAAAATAGGACAGCGGTGAAAACTCTATTGAAAGCAGCTTTAGATCACTTTTAATATAAAGGGGTCAGAGCCAAAAGTAACACTCTTTTACACATATGTCTGGACTGGGCAGTCAATAATTTTTTAAATATCATTTTATAGTGGCTGCAGTTAAGATTATCATAAGAAACTTATTTTCTGGTCACGTCGACATAGATTAGTTAGTAGAGTTTCCTAAATAGTGTTCCAAAGATCTGGGGGAAACATATGCTTTAGGTGACAAAAATTTGGGGGATGATGCATGCTGGTTGTTGGATGGTCCTCTTAGAAACTCAGAATGCATGTCAGCATATTAGGCATAAAAAGACTGCAATAAGAAAACCCGTTCTTCCCAGGCCCGGCGGCTTATGCCTCAAATCCCAGCACTTTGGGATGCCGAGGTGGGTGGATCATGAGGTCAGGAGTTCAAGACCAGCCTGGTTAAGACAGTGAAACCCTGTCTCTACTAAAAATTCAAAAATTAGCCAGCCGTGGTTGCAGGCATCTGTAATCCCAGCTACTCACTCGGGAGGCTGAGGCAGGAGAAACGCTCAAAACTAGGAGGCAGAGGTTGCGGTTAGCCGCGATCGTACCACTGCACTCCAGCCTGGTCGACAGAGTGAGACTCCGTCTCAAAAAAAAAAAAAAAAAAAAAAAAAAGGAAAACCTGTTCCTTGTGGCTTACCCTAGAATTCCTAGAATTCCCCATATGTATTGGACTTGTGAATCCTTTTTTATAAAATGCCTCACATTTATTTCCATGGAATTAGTATTGGAAAATACTGGCTTAAGAGGTTCCTATAAACAGTCCCTCTGTGTTGGGATTCTAGCTGTGGAATACGCAGAGAGGATTGTTATGAAGACCTATCTAATTTAGGGAAGGTAAGATTGACTATGGTTTGGGTGAGAAGAGACTCATGCCTGGTGTTATTATTTATACAATAAAATTCAATCCTCTATGAAGGCTGGGGAGAAAAATCCAACTCTTAATCAATTCTTTGAATTAGCAGTTTAGTTATTATGGCTATATCACAGTCATAAAAATTTATATTTTCATTTTGTCCCAAAGAAAAACTTCACCATCTTTCTTTAATATTATCAACCTGGATGCCTGACAGTAAGGATTAAAAATTGCTCCTTCCTTCCCACTTGGTTATTGGAAAGGCTCTGAAAGGTAATCAGTCTTTTGAAGCTACACTTTACAGTCTGCATAAAAATGCCATGATTTCCCTTCCTCTCCCCAACCTAATTGAAAGTGCATAATATCACCCAGCTGGGGAAATGTAAATGGTAAACATATGCAATATATCATGCCATCACACAAAGGCTGGTTACTAATAGGGACTGGGTGGTTGTCAGGACCCTAAGAAGTCTGGAAAACAAGTCTTTTCTTCATCCAGAATGAGAGCCCTCTGTGCCTGCTACCCTTCTTCCCCACCACCTCCCTCCAGACGTCAAGCTAGTCAGATTAGTCCAAGATCAGTCAACTCATTCCTTGCATGTGTAATTCCAAGGGTCACCTAACAATGTATATCGACTAAAACTCTCTTACATCAGTCTTTCAAGACATGAAGCATTTTACTTTTGGCAGGAGGTGGGGTTGGAATCATCTTGTTTTCTACCTACTTCAATTGTACTGACAGATAGTCCTATTATCTCTCTCCTTAGCTGCTAAACCTAAAGATCTGTGGACTTGTCACCTCTTATCTTTCTCTACTTCATCAAACTCCTATTGCCAAGATTATTTCTTTTTCTACCTCTGATCATCCATGAATATCTATACAGGGTCACCTTTCCCTTGAGTACAAAACCCCCATCTTACTTTTCAAAGGCCCCTGCTCCTCTGCAGCTTTCTGTAATTCCCACTTCAATTACACCTACTTGGAAGCTATCATCTTCTCTTTTCTGACTCTCCACCTCCATGTGCCATGCCATCTTCCTGAATAAATCTTTTACAATTGGTCTCTTAGGAGAAAGGACAATATTCGTTCAAAGTTTTCTTCATGAGATGTCTGTCACAATACTCCTTCAAAAATGGCTCCCTATTGCATCATGAACTCTGCTACTACTATTCATTCATGCCACCTTACAATTGGCTATTGTTTTATTTTTGATGGTGGATATCTTACAGGTCGGTCAAAGGATGGCACTTGTCTAGGGTACTGACTCGTTTCAGTTTTAATTGATTGAAGGAGACATTTTTTATCGGTTTCAGCAGTAGAGATGATTTGAAACATACTGAATTAAAGCTACATTTATCTTTCACTAAGTTTATTACCTGTCAGCTGGAACCAGTGGATGGTATGGCTTGTTGACCTTGGCATAGAGACCCTCTAAGTGGTCTCTTTCTGGAGACAGTGGATGGCCATCCCGAGGGTAACCAAATGGTCCAGCTCGAGGGGGAGATGGAGATCTAAAGACATTTGCTGATGTGCATGGTTCCCGAAAGTGGTTCACTCTGGCATAATTGGGGTCCATTTCATCATCATCCATATCATACACTGATCCAATTGCACCAGTAGCATAATCAAGAAGACCTCTTGCCTGCTTTTCCCTTAGCTCCTGATGTTTTGCTCCAATCCTGAAAAATACAGTACAGGTAGCAAAGATGTATGTGAGTTTCATATAATAATACAATGAAATACTCTCTTGAATTTATGTTAACTCTTCCTCGTCTCTTAGCTGTCATTCTCCTGTTTACTCAAGATCACAGCATGCAGAAATGCCAACAGCATAAGAAGATTAATTTTATATATCTGATCTTTATTTGTTACAGGGTCTTTACTTTGATAGCAATGCTATGGGTATTTTGATATCTTGCCCACTGATGACTAGGCTGATAGTAGCTTCAGAGGCTGTTTTCATTCACATTCCCTCCCCACAGATGGCATGTGCTTGTGGGAACAGTGCATCTTTGGTTCGATATTATAGAAGCCTTTCTTGGGACAGGGATGCATGTTAACAAACTCATCAAAATCCTCTAGTTTTTCTACGACTTCAGTAATTTAGTGCCCTAGAGTTCCTGTGTATTCTTCTAAAGAAAGGAACTTGTGAAAATTGATTTAAATATGAAAAAGAAATACAGAGGCTTTCTGGTCACTAAAAGCAGTGGGATCAGGGATAATTTACAAGAGACTCTAAGTTTTTTGGTTATACAAATGGGGATTATTGTGTCTCATTATATAGGCGCTAGGGACAGAGTAAAATAGTGAAGAAATTAATAGGTTCCTGACAGAGATGAATTGGCACATATAAGTGAATTAAACACCATTACTGGCAGAACTCCACAGTGCTAAAGCCTTAAGTGATATTACAAAATGCTAGTGCTAATCAGTGCCACTGTGCAGTCTACTGGGAATGGAAGCAGAAAAATATACTTAGGTGGATTCCAAATCCATCTGAATTTTGAGAATTTGACATTTAATCTGGAAAGTGTTAAATCAGCTCTACTAAATTCTCAGTAATGTATTAAAATGGAAAGGTCACTATAGCCTCTTACTGGACAATGGTGATCTTGATGGTGTGAGGAGGTCTTCAGCACTAATGAGAAAAGAGTGTAAACCTTGTCACTGGACAAAGAAGGGGCACTGTGTACAAGAGGAGAGATAAGACGATGCTGGCTCAGGCGGCTAAAGAAAGTCAAGAATAGATGGGACAAACTTGATGTCCTGGGCCCAGAGAATATAAGAGGGCTGTGGGCTAGAAGTGAATGATCTGTATATGACTGGAGACATACGGGAGGCCAGGACGAGTTAAAAAAACAACTGAAACCCATCAGTATCTTCCCCTATTCGAACAAAAACAGCTGTTTTGCACATGGAAGCTAGTTTTATTTTGCAAAACATCAAATCATTTGTAAAAATCTTTAGAACGCAGGATTTTCTGAGGTATTTTTCTCTTTTGGCAGAACAACATTTTTGTTTTTTATTTTTCTGAGTAAGGAGCAGAAAAGAAATTGGGCAATTTCAATTGGGAAGCAAAAAGCAAAAAACAAAACAAAAAGAATAAGAAGGCATGAGACCAAAACCAAAACCAAAACAAAACCCCAGCACCTATCCTCAAGTTACAACAGATGAAAACAAATGCCAGGATATATTATTGCATATCTCTTTTGATTAGGCCAAACCTGTGCCCTACACAGAAGTAATTAGAAGAATTTATATTTTTGCATACGGCAACTTGAATTTCCAAGGGATTCTGAATTAAGATGAAAGGAAGATTACACAGTAGGGTACCCGTTAAGGGCCTTGCCTATTCCCTTTCAATGCCTGTTAGTCCTAGATTCATGGATGCTTGTTTTAAGTAATTTTTGATAAAGAAGATAACCTGCTCCATTCTGCAACAAAACAATCTTTCCAGAGACAGTGCAGACTCGATTATCAGAGAATGCTTGCTGCACCCTGATGATAGGGATGGATTTCCATTGCAAATAGAGCAAAGGACATCAATAAAGTTAGGGGGTAGGATTCTGTGTGGTTGCTATCCCTCATAAGTGAGATGCCTTCAAGAGAAATCATTCAGCAGAAAGATGAATATCTCATGGCTGCCTCATGGGGCAATACTTGTGTGCATTAATGGAAGAGGAAAATACTAAGCTTGATTTTTAAAAATCACAGAAATAGAACACTGGTATCTGTGTTCCTTATTTCATCACTTCCTTCTTAGAGGTTTTCTCATTAATTAAACTTGCTGAGTACGTGGAGAATCTCAGATGAAAAGTACTACGTCTGTGCCAAGCAATATTTTATCTTATATTTTTCCTTTCTGAAACAAAACCGTTTCTTTGATACTCTGCACCAGTGAGTGTTTCAGTAACTAATTTCATATTAATCATTCAACAGGTAAAATAGTAATTTCTCTGAACAATCATTATTATGTCATATATCAGGGTCCCTCCATGTTGAGGAGGACAAGGTAATCTCTGAAAAGGAGTGTATGGTGGCAGAAGAGACCAAGACGGAAGTGTCAAGGAAATTTTTTTTTTGGTAGCTTTGACCCTCACCCCCACCCCCAATTCATTGAGAATTTTACTTGTTTATAGTCATTTCCACTTAGAGGTTTCCTTACCACTGGGAACTCAACCTGTTAAAATATTTATTTTTCAAAAGATACCCTTTTTTATTTGACGGTACTACCAGTTTCCCCATTCTTCTGAGCAAACTGCGTTTGAATTGTTTAAATCTCCTCTTTCTCTTTTCCTCTATGGGAACATTGCTGCTTCTTTTCTCCATAACACCTCTTGGGTATCCTCTTTTATTTCCATTTCTTTCATCACAGTCTAATGTTCAGACTTTTATGTTGCCCAGATCTGCACCGTCCAATATAATGGCCATTAGCTGAGTGTGGCCCTATAAAATTAAATTTGAAATAATTCATATCAAATCAATTTCTCAGTTTCACAAACCACATTTCAAGTGCTCAGTAACTACATGTGGCTAGTAACTACTATATTGGACAACACAAATAGAGACTAATTCCATCATTGCAGAGCGTTCTATTGGACTGTACTGGCCTAGATTATTCTGAGAGTTTTTGGTATGTCACCTCATCCCACTTTAATATATACCTTAAAAGGCTCTGGAATAATCTTCCTTAAAGAGTATTTCTGTCATATCTGTCAGATTGAGGATCTCTAATAAGAGATGATAATAAATGATGAAGTCAAGTAAGTGACTCTACTTCCCTCCCTGAAACTCTATGTGAACAAACACTTGAGAAATTGGGAAGAAAATTCTATCTACAGTGGAATTAGAAAACGACCATAATCTCATGCCTTGCTATGAAACTTGGACTCAGCCCTAAAGGCGGAGTGCACCACCAGTCGATATATGGCTGCATCTCCAGCCATGTATACATTTCACTGAAAATAAGGAGGGAGTCTAGAGGGGTACAGTCAATAAACTTTAATATAGTCTAAGGATAGGAATAGGACCCTGGAATTGTACGGTAATTCTTTGTGGGGATCCAGCTTCAGAATGGAGGAGAGGCAGAGACAGAAGAGAGATATTTCCCCTGAGCAGGTCTCCCACCTTAAAAAAAAAAAACTTCATGGAGGTGAAGTAGTGAGAAAAGAGAAGTATGAACCTGCTTTGTATCTGATAGGCAGAATTAGCAGAGTTATATAACCCAGACTCATCAAAATAGGACCAGTAATCTAGGTGACTTCACTAAGAAGTAGGCTGATCTCAGACTAGCTCTCCCAAAACAGAAAACCGTAGAAAAGAAGCCACCAGGGCAGAGTACCCAGCAAATCTGGCAAAAGGGTATTTTGAGAGATCATGTAGAATTGAAGCTGCTGGTAACCTTAGACCACTATGCCCATGTTATTTAATACTATATTTTAGCACAGATTTTTTTTTAAAGAAAATTAAAAAAAACTTCCGTAGAAGATAATATAAATTTAATGGTCATACTTAAATACAGTAAAAGAAAATGTTAGAGCTTATTGCATATAGTAAGCATAAGTGCTGTCTCAAGGAGGAAAATCAAGTAATCGACAAATGCAGGCAAACTCATGCTGGCCTCTAACACAAATAAAAGAAAAACACTCTCAAACATTTGAAAACATAGAGGGAATATGGTACTTATTGACCCATCTTGAAAAACTTATTAATAATGGAAAACAGCAAACTAAGAACTGCATCAAAATGAAGAATTCAACATGGTTGCTACGGCGGTAATGTCTCCCAAAATTCATGTGTTGATATACAGTCTCCATTGTGGTAGTATTAAGAGGAGGTTTTGGGAAGTGACTAAGCCTTTTGGGAAGTGACTAAGCCATCGTGAAAAGATTAACATCTTATAAATGGGCTACAGAGCACTAGCTAAGGTCCCTCTTTGCTATTCCATTGTTCTGTTCTTCTGCCAAATGAGGAAACCTAGGCAGCACCATCTATGGGCAACAGGGCCTCACCAGACACTGAACCTGATGGCACCTTGATCTTAGACTTCTCGGTCTCTTGAACTATGAGAAAATAAATTTCTGTCTTTATAAATTACCCTGTCTCAGGGTTTTGTTATAGCAGCAAAAATGGACTAAGATAATGGTGAAGCTGTGGAATAGCAGGTCTGGAGGTAAGCAATACATTCATTTAAATATAAAACTAAGACTAAATATCTGTGGGAACAATAATTACAGAAAAAATGTAAATATTATAAACTCTGATAATATAAAATATAGAAAAAACTAATGAAAATCACAAGTTAATAAGGAAGTAATTTGGGAGAGAGTACCCTATCTTTATTTTCACCCTTCTTCATTTTCTCACTTTATAAAGCAGGCATCAGTAGTTACTGTCTAAAATTGATACATCAAGAAACAGAGGTTTGAATATATTAAATATAATTACAAAGAAACCACTAAAACCCAAATTTTCAGCAGGAGAGAAATACACAAAATAAACTCTTTACCATATAGCAGAAAATAAAAAAGAGATAGCAGTAAAAAAGAAAGTAACAAAAAAATAAGTTGACCAAATTTATGTTATGAAAATAAATGTAAATGGAATAAATTTCTTTATTATAATTAAAGGATCCCAGGTATCAAAAAGAAAAACACACAAAGTGCTATTATAATAGTAAAAGATGGGAAACAGTCTAAATATGCATTAACAGGGGAATATAGAAAAGTATTATGCAGCTGTAGAACATAGGGTCATACTATTCCTATACTAAAAAGAAGATGATGTATGTAAGGGTGAGGGTACTACACATATAAATATTTATATGATATATATCCTCACATATACATAGAAAATGTCTGGAAGAATACACAAAAAATTCCTAAGTGGTTGCATCTAGAGAGTGGAATTAGAGGTAGCCTTTATACCTTATGTGCTATTTGCATTTTCTATA
This sequence comes from Homo sapiens, assembly GCF_000001405.40. Classification (NCBI taxonomy): domain Eukaryota; kingdom Metazoa; phylum Chordata; class Mammalia; order Primates; family Hominidae; genus Homo; species Homo sapiens. The sequence continues at coordinate 205,435,096 of NC_000002.12, read as the reverse complement.
TTTTTAAGATAATTAAAAAAATAAATTTAACTTAATTTTCAGTACAGGGGGTACATGTGCAGGTATGGGTATACATGGTTATACTGCATAATGCTAAAGTTTGAGCTTTTAGTGAACGCATCATGCAAATAGTGAACATAATACTCAACAGGTAGTTTCTCAACTCTCACCCCCATCCCACCCTCCCCAAGAAAATTTTAAAAACTTAAAAAATATAAAAAATTTCCTAACAACTACAAGTTGTAGTGAATAAAAATGTTTTTGAAAACATTAAATACCCTGTACCAAAAGGCATCTTTATTTCTTGTAAACTTGATTTCTCATGATCCCTTTGTCAACTCAGTTATGACAATTTTCTTCAAATTATTGTTCACTGAACTTTTATTTGGTCTCTTTAAATCAACTGCTTTTCCTAATATTACTCATGTCCCATTAATCAAATATTTAACTCTAGTTTTCTCTGGCATAAGGACTTAACTTATTCATAAACAGCTCCACAATGACCTTAACAATTCTTTGTCTCCTCTTCAACTCATACATCCAGTAAATTCTCTATTAATATGAAACTGTTATATGTCACTTTGTAGAAAACAAAACCAATTAAAAAACTTTTATGATTTTTTCTAGACCTTCTGCTTCCATAACTAGATTACGGGCTCCTTGAATGCGTCACGAGTGTTCTTCCTGCTAATATTTGGTTGACAGATTAATTTATTCAATATTTTACTGACATTATACTATATACTAGCAAAAAATAGTCTCTGACTTACTATCAAGGGAGACATAAACAAGTAATTATCATTCAATGAAAAAATAAATAATAACTAGAAATGCCTAATAGGCAAATGAAAAATGTATCATACATCATCAGGGAAATGCAAATTAAAACTACAATGAGATGTCCTTACTAAAGTGTAAAAGAATGACAAAAACAAATGTTGGAAAGGATATGGAGCATCCAGAACATTCACACACTGCTGGTGGAAGTATAAAATGGCATAATCCCTTTTGGAAAAGGTCTAGGAGTTCTTTCAAAACTAGACTTTCACTGATGTTAGGACCCAGTGATTCACCTCAGGTGAATTGAAAAAAGAAATGACGACATATGTTTACCAAAAATCCACGAAGAGTGTTCAGTAGCAGCTTTATTCATCATAGCAAAAATTAGACATAAAATTCAGCTGTTTATCACCAGGAGAATGGATAATCAAACTATGGTTTATGCACACAACAGAAGATAAATCAGCAATAACAAGAAATAAACTACAAAAATAGCCAACAGCAGGGATGAATCTTAAAATTATCATCCTTAGTGAAAGAAGTTGGACAGAAAAAAGGATTTACTATATACTATATAATTCCATTTGTAAGCAATTCTAGATCAGGCTTTTACCTATGAATGGGAAAAAGTATGAGGGAACATCCATGGGTGCTAGAAATGTTCTGTAATTTGACATACATTCATTAAAAGAGAAAAGAGAATATTACTCTGTTTTCAAAGAGCTAAGCATTTCACTTTATGTAAATTATACCTCAATTTACCTTTTTTTTTTTTTTTTTTTTTGACACAGAGTCTTGCTCTTGTTGCCCAGGCTGGAGTGCAGTGGCGTGATCTCAGCTCACTGCAACCTCCACTGCCCGGGTTCAGGTGATTCTCCTGCCTCAGCCTCCTGTGTAGCTGGGATTACAGGTGCCTGTCACCATGCCTGGCTAATTTTGTACTTTTAGTAGAGAAGGGGTTTTGCCATATTGGCCAGGCTGGTCTCGAACTCCTGACCTCAGGTGATCCACCTGCCTTGGCCTCCCAAAGTGCTGGGATTATAGGCATGAGCCACCGTGCCCAGCCTATATCTCAATTTAAAAAGAAAACACAAAAAGAAAAGGCAAAAATGCTGATTATACTACTTATACCTTTTATAAACTAACAAATTTAGATTCATTATTTATAAATTGAGTTATATATAATTCTCTTTTAAATGCATTATCTAAAAGCAGTTATTATAACAAATTAACAGAATACAATTGCTGGGAAAATATTTAAATTCCTTAAGCAAACACACCCCTTCTCAAGCAACCAAAACACTTCCAAAATTTTTTGAATGATGAATGCAGAAACTTGTAATAGATGTAAAACAAGCTGTCTAGTCTTTAGAGGAGGTATTTATGAATCAATAAGAATGATTTGTATTGTCAACATCAAAGGCTGGCCTACAAATTGGTACTTTATGAAAAAATATGTTTTTAGTAAGTAGTATAGGGGAAAGTGAAACAGGAAGAGGTAGTAGGAGTTTTTGAAGGGAGTTTACATTATTAAATATATATTATTAAATACAGCAGCTACTAGCTACACATGGATACTGAACTCTTGAAGTGTGAGTAGTATGACCAAGGTACAAAATTTTAATTAATTAAAGTTTAAATAAATTAATTTTATTTAAAGGCACTAAATTTACTTAAAGGAAAGGCACTACTGAAAATATAAAATAAAAGGCTTGAAGAAGAAGAAAATAATTAAACTATACAGATAACAGGAGAAGAGTGTTCCAGGTAGAGAGACAGCAGATATAAAGCCCCTGAGGCAGGCATGTGCTAAAAACAGCAAGGCCAGTGTGAGGGAGTGAGAATTTGGAGGAGGCCAGAGAGGAAGCAGGGACTTAGGGCAAACAGGGCCTGGAGGTCCATGGTAGAGTTCGGTTTTTACTCTCAGTGAGGTGGGAAGCAAACTAGAGGTTGCGAGCAGTGAAGTAATAGGCTCTGACTTACATGGTAAAGGGCTCTCTGACTGCTTTGTTGAGAACAGAGTGAAGTGGGCATTTCTGGGTGAGAGAAAAACTGTGGAGAACAGTTAGGGGGTTATTACAATAAGCCAGGTGAGGGAAGGTGGTGGTTGTCCATACAGGTGTATCACTGGAGATGGTAAGAAGCAATTGGATCCATGAGCTAAAAATAAAACTGGTTTAAAAACAAAATTCTGTAATTAAGACTGCCCTTCAAATGCCTCAAAATAGAAAAGTTTGCAACACACAAGAGCCCATCCTGTCCAGTATTTCATCTACCTAAAAAGATGAACTGACATCAATAATAATATTAGTGATATATTTTCTCATGATTATATAACAGTTCTCATAATGTACAGAAGTCTTAACTTTAGAGAAGAAGCAGCTGAGATTAGAGAGGCTACACACTTTGCCTGACAGCTAACATTTACTAAATGGTAGGAATTGAATTATTGAATTCTGTTGAGGTGTTTGTCTTCAACATTAATGTTTCTTTCATTTATGTTAGATTATAAATAATCTAAACATGATCACATTTTAAAAATTGATGTGGCCAGTCGCGGTGGCTCACGTCTGTAATCCCAGGACTTTGGGAGGCCGAGGTGGGCAGATCACGAGGTCAGGAGATCGAGACCATCCTGGCCAACATAGTGAAACCCCGTCTCTACTAAAAATACAAAAAATTAGCTGAGCGTGGTGGTAGACGCCTATAGTCCCAGCTACTCGGGAGGCTGAGGCAGGAGAATGGCAAGAACCGGGGAGGCAGAGCTTGCGGTGAGCAGAGATAGCGCCACTGCACTCAAGCCTGGACAACAGTGCAAGACTCTGTCTCAAAAAAAAAAAATTGATATAATGAAAACTTTCAGATATCCAAAAGTAGGATAATAGCACAATGAGCTCCCATATACGTTTCATTTCTGTATTCAATAATTATCAAGTTTCGGGCTGGGCATGGTGGCTCATGCCTGTAATCCCAGCACTTTGGGAGGCAAAGATGGGCAGATCACTTGAGGTCAGGAGTTCAAGACCAGCCTGGCCAACATGGTGAAACCCCATCTCTACTAAAAACACAACAATTAGCAGGGTGTGGTGGCACATGCCTATAATCCCAGCTACTTGGGAGGCTGAGGCACGAGAATTGCTTGAACCTGGAAGGTGGAGGTTGCAGTGAGCCAAGATCGTGCCATTGCACCCAGCCTGGGCAACAGAGCAAGGCTCTGTCTCTAAATGAATAAATAAATAAAATCAAGATTCTGTCATATTTTAAATATATTTTTCTATTAATTTTTTACCAAGCATTTTGAAAGTAAATCCCCCTACATACTTCCAAAGGCATATCAAAATATCATGAATGTTTTATTATGCCATTATTTCACCTAAAAATTAACAATTATTCCTTGGTATCATCTAATACTCCATAAACAAATTTTCCCAAATGCCTTAAAAATGTCTGTCTTCCCCAGATGATTTATTTGAATCAGGTTGTAAAAATGCTTGTACGTTACATTTGGTGTTCTCTTAAGTCTCATTAAATGTACTGAACTGTACTCTTTTTCCTTTTTGCTTTTTATTTTTTCCATGCCTTTGGGTTATTGCGGAAACCAAGTTGATCTTCCTGTAGTTGGTCCCATGTGCTGGATTTCTCTGTTTACTTTCTTGTGAAATGATTTAACTTATTCCTCCATCCCCCCAAATATCTTGTTTATGAAGAGTAACTTCTAGAGCAGTGCTTTCCAATAGGATTTTCCGTGATGATGGAAATGGAAATCTTCCATATCCGAGCTATCTACTACAGCAGCCGCTAGCTACACATGGATACTGAACTCTTGAAATGTGGCTAGTATGACTAAGGTACAAAATTTTAATTAAAATTTAAATGAATTAAATTTCAACGTGACTAACGTTTATCATATTGGACAGTGCATCTGGAGGCTTAGTTAGATTCAACATTTTTGAGGAGGAGTACTCTGGTAGGTTGAATGGTGGCTCCCTAAAACAGACAGTTGACCGTTAAACAACAGGGTTTGAACTACACGGGTTCACTTATACACAGCTTTCTTTCAACTAAACCCGGATAAATATGGTACTTGTGGGATAAGGAACCTGCATATATGGAGGGCAGACCTTTCATATAAGTGAGTTCTGCAGGCCCCTCACTTATATATCGAGGGAAATTGTATATCCATCTGGAATCTGTTGATGCAATCCTATTTGGATACAGGTCTCTGTACATGTAATTAAGTTTAAGATGTTGTTGTGAGATTATCTTGGATTATCCATATAGGCTCTACATCTGATGACAAATGTTCTTATAAAGGAGAAGACATAAACGGAAGAGAAGAGCCAGAGAAGGCAATGTGAAGGCAGAGGCAGAAATTGGAGCCATGTGTCTATAAGCTAAGAAACACCCAGGATTGCTGGCAGCCAAGAAAAGCACAGAAGAAGATGGAACAGATTCTCTCTCAAAGCCTCTGGAAAGAAGCAACTCTGCTGACACCTTGATTTCAGACTTCTGGTCTCCAGAACAGTAAGAGAACAAATTTGTAGTAAAGGCACCAAGTTGATGGTAATCTGTTAAATGGCGGCCCTATGAAACCAATATAAATACCTTAAAGGAAGCACATATGCTTCAAATTGTGTCATACACAAAAATTTGGAAAAATGTGTATTTTTCTAAATTTAACATAACAAAGTACAGTTATATAGCTTTCATCTCTGTCTTCTCCATCCTAAATATCTGATTGTCTTTAGTAATGCTAAGGAGACAAACTGATGTCTCCATTGTAAAGTTCCCCTATCAATGTTTCATTTAATCATTTCTTTCACTGATGATGTTTGACTGAATTAATTATTTCATTAGGGGTTGCACAATGGTCATTTTTGAAGGCCATTTTAAAAATGTATTAGCTGGGATTCTTCTGCAAAGAAAATCTTTCAACAATTTTGGCATTTTGATTATGGTGAGATGTACTTAGTATTGGGAAATCTGAATAAATGCTTAAATATTTCTTTTTCACTGCTAATTTTCAGAGTCAGGAGTTAGTGTCCTAGATAGTTCCAATGGTGACAAACGAGTAGTTAGGAACATTTTTGGGGGAATACGGGATTGTGAACATAATTATAAACTTATGGTTTTTTATGTAAGTCCATAATATATAATACACATTTGTAATAACATATTTAGGATTTTTATTCAATTGCATTCCTTATACTTTTTCTTGCACATATTGTCCATATTTAGTCAAGAGACTGCATTGTATGAGCTCTTTCGTTCTTCTGGCTTAACCTTTAGCCTTTGATTGCTTCCTTGCTTTACCACAAATAAGTAGTTCCAGGTTTATGTTGAGTATCTTGTATTCCTAATTTGGAAGCAGTCATTCCTCCAAGGACCCCTTTGTTTTTAGTGGGGAATGATATCTAGAGACCACAATCTGGGCCCTAGGCGTGCTCACTGCCACTGGGTTATTATTATTTCTCAGCCTTTTCTCTGAATAGAGTTAGGAAATACATATTTCTGGGGGAAAAAAAGCCCATATGTTTATACTAATATTTCTGATTCAAATTTAACATTACAGAATTTTTACTTTTAAAATTTTAATATTGTATATTTATTCCTCCCTCCTTTAAATGCAAAATCTTGATTCTTAACACTGATATAATTATTTTTATCATATAGTTTTAAAATGATAATATCAATATTATTGTCTTAGTCCCATCAAGCTGCTATAATAAAATAGACTGGAAGCCTTATAAATAAATAATAGAAATGGATTTCTCAAAGTTCTGGAGGCTGGGAAGTCTGATAACAGGATGCCAGCATGGTTGGGTTCTGGTGAGGGCCTTCTTCCAGGATGGATTGCTGACTTCTTGCTGGATCTCTCACATGGCAGAAGAGGTGAGGCAGCTCTCTGGGGCCTCTTTTTATTTTATTTTATTTTTTGTGACAGAGTCTGGTTCTGTTGCCCAGGCAGGAATGCTACTGCATAATCTCTGCTCACTGCAACCTCTGCCTCCTGGGCTCAAGCAATCCTCCCATCTCAGCCTCCTGAGTAGCTGGGACTACAGGTGCACACCATCTGGCTAATTTTCGTAATTTTTTGTAGAGATGGGGTTTTTTCCATGTTGGCCAGGATGGTCTCAAACTCCCGAGGTCAAGCGATCAACCTGCCTTGGCCTCCCAAAGTGCTGGGATTACAGGTGTGAGCCACACTCCCAGCCTCTGGGGCCACTTTTATATGGACGCTAATCCCATTCATGAGCACTTCACTTCTCAAAGGCCCCACCTCCTAATACTATCACGCTGATGATTAGGTTTCAACATATGAATTTGCTGTGGGGAACAGAGTTGGGGGGATGGCGAAAAAAACATTCAGATCACAGCAATTACTAACAGTTTGACTACTAAAGTTTAAGATGTCTTCATTGCTCTATTTTTTTGCTAGAATATATTACACTAAATATGTATAATCAAAACGTGTATTCTAATGTCACTTGAAGTAATTCTTTTTCCTGAATGGCTATGCAACCAATTTGTTTCACAGTTAGGTTATTTATTTTCGTTTGTTTTCAGTTTTTAGGGATTGTTTTTTCCTTTTTATTTAATTTGCTATATGTAAGGCATATTTTTCAAAATTTAAATATAGCAAAATATAATATATAGCTTTCATTTCTGTCTTCTCCATCCCATGCAATATAACTATATTTGTTTCTTTAAAAAAAGCAAGCATGTTTATATATTTAGATGCCTTCTTTGTTACACAAAAGGTAGCATACTGTCCATATTTTTCTATACTTTGCTTTTTTACATAGTAATAGACAGAAGAACATTCCATATTAGCAAAGAAATCATAGACACTACAATTTCTTTAGATATCTTTCTCATTTTTAAAATGCTTCATAGTATTCTACTGTGTGGACATGCTTTTGTTTATTTAACGAGTCATGCATTTGCGAACATTTGGGTATTTCTGATTTTTTGCTATTGCAAATAATGTCATAATGAAAAATCTTGTGCAAACGTCAGTCCATATTGTTACCACTGTGGCTTTGGGAGGAATTCACAGAAGCAGGATTGCTGGGTCAAAGAGAAACACACATATACTTTTTTCTAGATTATGACAAAATTCCTTCCACATTTCTTTTATTTTGCATTGCCACCTACACTGTAAGAGGATGCCTGTTTCTCTACAGTCTCATCAACAGAGTGCATTGTCGAACTTTGGGAAATTTGATAACCATAGGTGAGAAGTCATATTTCGGTGAAGTTTTAATTAGCCTATCTCTTCTTATATGATGCTGAGTATCTTTTCATATGCTTAAGGGCCATTTTCATTTCCTCTTCTGTGAGCTGTCCATATCTTTTGCTGATTTTACTATCAGATTGCTAGCCATTTTCCCCCTTGATTTTTCAAAGGCCTTTGAATAGGAGCAATATTAGCACTTTATCTGTGGTATAAATTGCATCTATATTTTCTGATTTTCTCATTTGCATTTTATGATTCATTAAATGATTATTGATTAGTGTTTCATATTTTCTACTCCTCAAAAGCCTTAGAACATTTTGCTACTTTTCCATACTATTTCTTGATTTATTTTGTCTCATGCAGAATGTGTCCACAATAGCATAGCTCTGACTGACTTGGCCAGTGCTAGGAAGTTGTAGGCAGTGAAATTCTCTTTGTTGCTACTGTATGAACCCAAACAACAGAGTCAGAGATGAACAGAGAGTAAAGAGGAGGTTTGCTCCCTATAGTGGTAATGGTAGTCGAGGTCAGAAAAGGTTTTTCATGGAGAGCTCTGGGGTAAAAGAAGTAGTATCATTAAAAGAGATTATAAACTACCTGCTGTACAGCTTTCTTTATTGACAGCAGAGATAATTTGTCTGGCTATCATTTCTGCTTTTGTAATAGAAGCTACAATTAGGTCACTATAATTATCCTTTGTTCCAGAGAACAGGCTCAGTTTCTTCAGCTTTTCCCTATCAATGCAGTTTTAAAGCTACAAGCTGTACCTGGTCAGGAACAATGTGAGTTTACTATTATTATTATTATTAGTAGTAGTAGTATTAAAATTATTATACTGAACAGCCAATACAATGTTACATGCAATCTTTGTGATCAATGTTTCATTTTTTCAACAAAACTATTTTAACTGCATTAATATTTTTCACCATTGCCTCATTCCTCTCTGGGTGTCTATAATATTTTCTAAACGATCTCCTTCAGTACCGCCCATTTTTCTTGTCAGCCTAAACCAGATCTGACATTGTAAGGGAACTAGATTGATGGGATAATTTATCACTTTTCTTGATATAAATAAAAAAATAATACATATATTTCTGTACAGTAAATTTGACATTCTATAATACTGACATGCAAATTTTTTAATGTCATTAATTGACTCTTTGTTTATGTTTTCCTCTGTGCACACACAAATAACACGGTGAATTCTTCATGGTTTGCAGAATCCAATATGTGGATATTGTGCTTATACAGTCCATGGTTTGCCAAAGATCATGGAGCAAAGGGCATGTTGATGTTCTTTTTCTCTAAATCCTAAATGCTCATTAAAGTAAGTCAAGGCAGTAGAGTTTGGGAAGCTTCTGAGAGTCAGGCGTGGACTCAGAACATCCTAATTCTAGAGAATCCTGAAAAGTTAACTGGTTCTTTGTCTAGGTGGGATGACCACAGAAAAGACTTCCATATCCTACATGGCCTGGAACCAAGCACATTCCCCAAATCAAATGTTGTTGTTTTTTTTTTTTTTTTTTACACCGAGTCTATTTCATATTCTAAACTAATGGGATTTGCAATTCCTACCTACGAGTTGCATTTTTTACAATGCCAAATGGCAAGATCCTTGAGTATCTTTCCATTGCTACTAAACACTGCCATTTCAAGAAAACTGCCCTTGAAGGCTCTCCAACTATTGCAATTTACATTTTCCCTAAATTTATACCTTTCCCAGACCCATTAAGCCTTTCCCATTGCTAATGCACTGAGTTCCTGTAATTTCTATTCTCATAATGTAGACAAGTTTCTCAGAAATGCTTAGTAAACATTTTTAGCTTTCCTTAGAAAATTAGCCCCAAAGAGAGGTGGGGATGTGACGGGGAACAACCTACAGAGTGCTTATGATATTCTCTGATAACAACTAATTCCTTTATAACAATCCTAGACAGTCCCCCTACAAAAGGTGTCATTAGTGTTGAAGACATTAAATGATGTTCCCTAGGCTGCTGGCCAAACTAACACTGAAGAAAGAGCTGTAAGAATCTGCCCCTGGGGGAGCCCTGCCGGTTGGATAAAATTTGTAACTTGTTGATGTGCTTTATTCTTATTGCTAATGACATTTGTAAGTGGCAAGAAGTAGCCTTTATTTTATTTATATTCTCCCAGTTTATATTTGCCCACTTTTTGTAGCACAGACCAAAGCAGAAAGCAAACTAAGTTTTCTGTATTAAAATTTTCTGGAGCACAGCATTGTTTAACCCTAGGGACTGCCAAGGGTTATACCTGAAAACTAAACGACAGGCCCTCGGTGCTTATCATTATCTGGAAAAGAATGAGGATCAACCCCTTCTGTTGAATGTCTGGGGTATTGTAAGCTACATAAACTTCCTGAAGAGGAAACAGGAAAAATAAAGAGAATAAAAGGAAACTAACTACATTTCCTTTCCTTTCCCTTTAAACCTTTCTTTTCTTTCCATTCTGTCACCTGGAATTTCACACCTGGCTGGTGCACTCCTGGACAAGTCTTTGATCTTTATCTCTCAAAGCCGACTCACATAAAAATGTGCTGAAGCATGGGGATCACGGCTGTCCACACAGCATGTGCTGCTCTATTTCCTTTGTTTTCTTGGCCCTAAATGCCACACTTCCCAAGGCCCTGGACACTCATCCCCAGGTTACATAGAGTCTTCATTAAATGAACTCTGGGATCATGAAAAGCTCTAGAAGTACCACCGACTTCCACAGAGCCCGGAAAAACCACCTTAAGTATAGAACCATGACTATACCTAGGACAGGGATAAACACAGACCCTTCATACCTGAGGTTTCCATCTAGTTCAAAGGTATAGGGCACTCATATTCTGAAAAGTCACGTTCTCTGCATCATAGAGAGTTTAAAAAGACACAGAGGGTACAGTCTTTTCCCTCCTATCCAACTCACGCAGAAGGCTTTAAACAGGTCAGCAAAAATATTGTATTCAACTACAGTATTTTCTTTTTTAAAAACTTTTAAGTTCAGGGGTACAAGTGCAGGTTTGTTAAATAGATAAATCTGTGTTATGGGCCTTTGTAGTACAGATTATTCCATCATCCAGGTATGAAGCCTAGTACCCATAAGCTATTTTTCCTGATCCCCTCCCTCCTCCTATCCTCCATCTTCCAAAAGGCCCCAGTGTGTGTTGTTCCCCTCTATGTGTTCTCATCATTTAGTTCCCACTTATAAGTGAGAATATGTGGTATTTGGTTTTCTGTTCTGGTGTTAGTTTGCTAAGGATAATGGCCTCCATTTCCATCCATGTCCTTGCAAAGGACACGATCCTGTTCTTTTTTATGGCTGCAGAGTATTCCACGGTGTATAGGTATCACATTTTCTTTATCCAGTCTACCACTGATGGGCATTTATGTTGATTCCATGTTGTGAATATTATTCCATGTCGTGAACCCTATTGTGAATAGGGTTGCAATGAACATATGTAAACCACAGTATTTTCTATGGTGCTTATTAGGCTTGCCATTTTTGGCTTCTTAAGATGGGACTTTGTTCTGGAGAAACCATATAGAATATTCTCACATGTCCAGGCATATGCCAAGAAATGGGGCATGTCAGCCAATTTGGTTTGATTCCAACATTTATTGAGTATTTACTAAGTACTTAGAACTGCACTAGGCTAGATGAAAAGGACCAGGGACACATGAGTATCAGGTGAAAGAACCACAGGCTTGTCCGTCAGGTCTGCAAACTAAGGTCCCCTCCTACCTCCAAAAGGATAGTGATAGGGTCTTCCTTAACAGGGGTCCAAGCCTGAGGTGAGCATCCTCATCATCTGGTCTTCCTCCCTCTACCGCATGCACACTGAGGACACAGCACTGGCTGGGCCAACATTTGCCTTAGGCAATCGCCGCTCAGCAACCATCAGAGAAGGTCCAACAAGCTAATCCAGATGATGTCTGCTGTGTCTATGGTGATTCTGTCAGACTGTTGTGCAGTTAGGGCACAAGATGACTACCAGGAATGACCTCATTCCTACTCCACTGGATGTCGAGGAGAAAGGTTCTACCATGGCCATCAGTTCAAACCTGGGTGTCAAGGAGTATGAAGGAGGCTTTTATAGACGACCATATGCTACTTGCACATAGTTTTGAGAACTACAATGAGGATGTTTCATTTGTTAGGATAGGCAATGACTGTTTGTCCATGGGAGCCTACTGTCTGATCTACCCTCACTGTCCCTTCACCAAGCTATTCTTTTCAGGGCCTATTCTCAGTCCTGACCATGGCATTCCATCACTCAGCTGGCTCCCTATTCCTTGGCCTACCTAGTGGCCCTTTGCTCCAGGTTTTGCCTATAATTACCATAGGAAATCTCTTCATGTTTGAAAAGAGACTTGTTTTATCTCCTATGGGAACTGCAAATTGCTAATGGATCCATAAAATGTTGGAAAAAAGGGAAGAATTGGCATTTTTTTTATTGTGGTTAGCAGGGTACTGCAGAGGTCTAAGTTTTAGATGTGGGGAAACATCCTTCAATTACCTGCATGACTAAGATTTAGATTTTATTCAGGCTCTATGTAACCACAGTAAGGAAACATACTTTTTAAGAGGGAGGCAAGGTGTGGCCAGATAGCTCCCTTCATGGAGAATCTAGTCATTAAACAGCAGCCCAGACAATCTCTTAAACAGTAAATATTTAACTGTTTCTCTGCTTATAACACTTTCATGTCTTCCTTTAACACTTAGATAAAATCTAAGCTCCCTACGATGATCTGTGACGCTATCCACTCGGTCACCGCCTCCTCTGTGACTCTGGCTTATGCCACGCTCTCCCTTAGTTATTCAACTCCAATTACAAAGCTTTATTTGCCTCAGGCCTGATTAGCTCTTGCAGTTCTTTCTGTCTGAAATCGACTTCTTGTGACTGGCTCATCGCTGAGATTGAATCTTGGCATCTTAGGCATTCTTCCCAGCCCCATCTTTCTATCACATTGCTCTAGTTTATTTTCTTCATACTCCTATCATTACTTGATTTTATCTTTTTTATTTATCTGTTTACAAGAATGGAATCTTCATGGAAGCAGCGTCCTTGTTTGACTTGTCTATTGATAGAACTCCAATATCTAGCACAGTGCCTGGCAGACAGTAGGCACTCAATAATGTGATGATGGAAACAGACAAAGCAAGGTCTGAGAGAGAAGGCCAAGTGACAACGGAAGCAGAGATTGGAGAGATGCACTTTAAAAATGGCAGAAGGAGCCATGAGCCAGGAACATAGGCAGCCAAGTAAAAGCCAATGACAATGAGTCTGCAAAAGGAATCAGCTCAGTTGACATCTTGACTCTAGCTCAGTGAAACTAACTTCAGAATTATGGCCTCCAAAACGTTAAGAGAATAAATTTATGTTGTTTTATGATACCAAGTATGTGGTAATTTGTTACAGCAGCAATAGAAGACTAATGCTGATTATGAATGAATGGAACTGATGATGAGACCTAAAGAGAAGTATTTAGGTATGCACTATTTTCATTCACAGCCTTGGTCAATATGTCATTGCTCATCTTTCCTGCAATGTGGAAATATGAAAGATGAAACCTCAGACCCTATAACATATGAAGAGAAAAAACAAATTCTGGCAGCTTTTCTACTGTGTGTCTTGAGGAGATTAAAAATGGAATACAGTGGAACACAGGAGAGGAAACCCACATAAATGGCTCTAAATGTTAAACATAACAATTATATTGGAGACATTGCAATGTGCCTGCATTGTGTAGGCACAGCACCACACAAACTGGTCCCGGCAGCTGACATCTGTAGTGCAAGAAATGGCCACCTAGAGGAGAATAGTGAGTCTAAAACAGATGATGTTAGGCCTTTCTTTCCTAAACAAAGATATCGTCTTATCATCTCCCAATATACAGCACATATTTTCTTTTCCGTTTTTTTTGTTTTGTTTTTTTTGTTTTTTGAGATGGAGTCTTGCTCTGTTACCAGGCTGGAGTGTAGTGGCATGACCTTGGCTCACTCCCTCCGGGTTCAAGTGATTCTCCTGCCTTGGCCCCCCGAGTAGCTGGGACTATGGGCACGCCCCACCACATCCAGCTAATTTTTGTATTTTTAGTAGAGATGGGGTTTCACCATGTTGGTCAGGATGGTCTTGATCTCTTGACCTTATGATCTGCCCGCCTGGGCCTCTCAAAGTGATGGGATTACAGCGTGAGCCACAGCACCCAGCCTCTTTTGCATTTTTCATAAGGCAAAACTTGAAAATGAGCAGCAATCTATTCATTCTCTCTCTTAGAAAATTTACGGTGACCTGCTTGCAAATAATACAAGGGAAGTATCCCAGAAGAGGCTCTTGGTTCATTAAAATAATCAGCATATTCCAATATGCATTCATCCCTGAAATAATAACAATTCACTTTCAATAAATTAATTATGGTTTTAATGAGCAAAATTTACATTTATATTTCTGCCTTAAGATCTTCATGGGAGGCAGCATCCTCCTCACCCAGACAGTTCCACTGAAGCAAAGCCTTTTTCAGAGTAGACCTGCAGGTGTTGATGGATATGTGAACACTCTGCTATTTCAGAAATGGAAAAGCAAGGTGATGTAGGGAGCCAGACAGCCTGGGATGGAAACTGAGCTCTGCCACTTTCTAATTTTGTACCACGGACAAATTATTTAACCTTTCTGTCACCTGCAAATGAGAGATATAATAGTACCTGCCCCAAAGGAAAAAGGCTAAATGACCTAATACTACTAAAGCTATTAGAAGAGTGTGGCTGGCACGTACATAGCAATTGTTAGGAATAACAGTAACAGTTATCCACATCTGAGACAGGGGAGATGAGAGAGCAGAGAACAGAGATACTTATGCAGTCTTCACATGCACACACCACTAATAGCTCTTGAAAAGCATAAACACAGCTTCTTTTAGCTCCTTCTCAATTCCACCTGGAACCCTAGACAGAGAGTAGATACTTTTAATCAATGCTGTATAACCTGGATTGGCCAGAATGCTCAGGGGACCAGGTGTGTTACGGTTAATTGAATTTTCTGCTTGATTGAGAGTAAAGCAGCAAATGCTTTTGGTTCGAATCTCTTGGCCGCAAATCTTTCGAAAATATATGAATCCTTTAATTTGCTTTAGCCACATTCACTGAACAGATTTTTTTTTGAAGAGGGAGGGACATCATTTGAAGACCATCCTTCTCCACTGCAGTTTTCATCCTGTAACCCTTGAGGTATGGAGGAATCACAATGAAGTAACTAAATATTAGCTGTGACCTGACCTCATCCATTTAATCCACATTTCTGAGAGTCTACTATGTGCCTGGCACTGGGAAGCATTTCTTATTTCTTCCTGATTCTCCCCTTTCCCCGTTTCCCTCCTGGCTAGTGGAGTGTTCAGAAGAGACTGCAGATTAATGAAGTTTTGGGATAATTACTAACTTGAGAAGTTTAAAGAGTAAGTGACTTGTATGTAATATGGAACTTGTTTTTTTCTGGCAGTCTGGGGTCTGCCTTATCTATGTCAATAGATGGGGGAAAACTGACCTTTGGTCACCCTAGTTGGCCTCTTCAGTTTTTCAAAACTGTAAAGAAAGTTCAATTTGCTCCACCATTTTTTACTATGGTGCTTGTATTAGTCTGTTTTCACACTGCTGATAATGACATACCTAAGACTGAGTGATTTATAAAGAAAAAGAGGTTTAATAGATTCACAGTTTTACATGGCTAGTGGGGGCCTCACATCATGGCGAAGGCAAGAAGGAACAAGTCACATCTTACATGGATGGTGGCCAGCAAAGAGAGAGAACTTGTGCAGGGAACTCCTCCTCTTTATAAAACCATCAGATCTTGTGAGACTTACTCACTATCACGAGAACAGCACAGGAAAGACCCACCCCCATGATTCAAATACCTCCCACTGGGTCCCTCCCATGACCCATGGGAATTGTGGGAGCTGCAATTCAAGATGAGATTTGGGTGGGGAGAGAGCCAAACCATATCAGTGCTGTATTACTGTATGTATATATATTACATAGTACTATATACAAATGAATAGTTTGTAACCCACTTATAAGTATAGAAATATTTTGGCCAAACATTCTAGGCTACTAAGATTATAGTTTATAGTTTAAAATATTTAAATAAATTTTGTATGTATCTGCAGAATATTCAGTAATATAAATTTATGACCCAAAGTTATCTGCCTGTCTCAACTGCTATTTTCCCAGAAAGTTTTGCCCTAAACTTTTTACTATATTCTGTCAGCTTTAGAGAAAGAAACTATAATGGAAAACACCCTGATTGCTTGGAAAATCCCTTAGATTTTAAATGAAAATTTTCCCTGAGTCTTAAATTTCTCTCTAGTCAGCAGCAAAAATATCATGTATTATTGATGGGATTAAGAATTTAAATTTTTTAAAGTCTCTTCTAATTTGCTGCACAGTTAAGTTGTACTTTATAATTGAATCTAATGATTTCATTGCAAGTGTCTGGAAATACTGGGTGATAAAGAGGGTGTGTCCTATTGTCCCAGCTACAACACTATTTTCTCATGGCTGCCTTCTCTGTGATCATATAGCATTTTTAAACCCCCTTTCAGCATTTATCATAGTTAGCTTTATTATAATTAGTGTATTGGTCTCTCTGCTCTCTCCTTAATCATGAACTTGTTGAGGGCAGGGACTAGATTGTGTTTTACGCATCTTGCCATTTCCCTCATGTGCCTAGATGCTCAATTAATATTTGCTGAATTATTGAAGAGTTCAGGCCAAAAAAATTAAAAAGTCAAAAGTGAATCATAGCAGAAGATATCTACCCAAATCCTCTAAGTGGAAAAATTTCATATAACTTCAATTTAACCTCAGATTCAAAGGTGTGACAGCACATCTCAAGGAAAAAGGTCCAGGGACCTAAAACAGATTACATTAGTTCTCCAGATGATCAAAAGTATGAAAATTCATCAAAATACACATTTTTCTTATAAGCTTTTAGGCCTGAAATTGGGAACTATTCCACTGAAGTGACCAAGTAAAGGTGACCTTTCATATGAGAAAACGTAAAAAATGAAAAATGAGGAAAGAAGAAAAAAAGACACAAGAGAATACAAGATGATACAGATTAACAATAGTTTATCCAAGGAGTACTGCCTATTAGGAAAACACATGCTTGTTAGATTTTCAAGTGCACACAAAGTGGGTGGGACACAATAAAGGCCTCCACTGGGGGTTCCCGGAGAAGGCCAGCTTCCAGAGGAGGCCCCATCTGCAGGGTGCCTACAACTGCTAAATGCAGAGCAGATTCAGAAAAATTTCTGTGTTTCAGTGAAAGGTTAAGGGGGCTGGATTGATCTTGCAAGGAAGGCTCTAGCCTGTGGAGATCAGGCTGGGGGCCATGAGGATGAGATGCAAAGAGAGGCATCCAATAAACTATGGGAGAGACTATGCAACTTTTTGAGTATGGAGATGACAAGTCTGCTCTACCCTTTGGTGATCTCTCAGGTATTCCTCCTGAAAATAAAGGTTCAGCTTTTACACTGTTGGTGGGAGTGTAAACTAGTTCAACCATTGTGGAAGACAGTGTGGGGATTCCTCAAGGATCTAGAACTAGAAATACCATTTGACCCAGCCATCCCATTACTGGGCATATACCCAAAGGATTATAAATCATGCTGCTATAAAGACACATGTGCACGTATGTTTATTGCGGCACTATTCACAATAGCAAAGACTTGGAACCAACCCAAATGTCCATCAATGATATACTGGATTAAGAAAATGTGGCACATATACACCATAGAATATTATGCAGCCATAAGAAAGGGTGAGTTCATGTCCTTTACAGGGACATGGATGAAGCTGGAAACCATCATTCTGAGCAAACTATCACAAGGACAGAAAACCAAACACTACATGTTCTCACTTATAGGTGGGAATTGAACAGTAAGAACACATGGACACAGGGTGGGGAACATCACACACTGGGGCCTGCCGGGGGGTGGGGGGAGGGGGGAGGGATAGCATTAGGAGATACACCTAATGTAAATGACGAGTTAACGGGTGCAGCACACCAACACGGCACATGTATACATATGTAACAAACCTGCACGTTGTGCACATGTACCCTAGAACTTAAAGTAAAATAAAAAAGAAAAGAAAAGAAAAGAAAGGTTCAGTTGTTCCCTTAGCCTGAAGGCCTTGAAGGTCCAACAGAATATATTTTTAGATGTTTACCTGGGGTTGGAAGTGCAGTTTTGAGCTCCTTGTAAGAAGACCAAGAAATCTTATTTCTCCTTAAAAAAAAAATTAATCCTTGAGTCCTTAGCATCTATTACAGTACTTGCACTACAGTGGATACTTACATGATTTTTTTTAATGCATCAATCTTCCATAAAGGGGCATAGTTTATATGATATCAGCCTTATTATCATGTTGCCTTAACTCTTTGAGCCAGCCAGCTGTATTCTTTTCAGAAAATTAACAAATCTACTTTTGTGCATGCTGCTCACCTGCAGGCCAAGGGCTTAGCAGATTTTCAGGGATGAAGACATATGTGAGGAGGAATGGTGCCTTCCCCACAGGTGTTCCAGTCCCTTTACCCCCAACATTTTTCTTGATTGCTTTTCAACATCTCCCTGTTTCTCCAAGAACCTAATTCTCTTCACTGGTATCCTTTTATACACAGCATGAAAACAGGTAGTATGTAATCATTCATTTAACTAAAATAATACTTTTCCAATTCATTAAGGAATGGTTATCAGATGCTCATAAGAGGATGTAGCAGGGTATTACCAGACACTATTAAGCCTATATACATATTATCTATCTATGTAACTATATCACACACAAAGACACACACACATGCAGGCACACCCAGGGTCACAGCATTAAAGGTATTCTCACAAACAGGAATACTTTCAGACAGCTAAGTCTTCTTCATACCAGAAGCATGCCCTCAGGATGTCACAAAGTAATAAAATAAAGCCCCCTACTCCTCAGCTAGTCTATGCTTGAAACTGTTTCTCATATTCCTTCAAATGAAAAAAAATTCCTTTCCTGTGTCATCTGATTATAGGGCAATGTAAAAATGAATGTGTAAATAGAATCATAAACATGTCTACATAGTTGCATATGTTTTCAAATGCCCTAGAAAAGTTGTAAAAACATACTACATATTTCGGGTTTAATCTGTGATATTTGGAGATCTTCATCAAATTTCCTGTGTCAATTGGCATGATTTTAGTAAAATGTGTTTCTCCTCAGAGGCAAAATCTTTCAGTATATCTTTGAGAACTTAAATTCCCATGTTGGTTCACACATCATATTAGTTTATTATGTCACAATTAAAAAAAAATTTCTTTGAATTGAGGCACAGTCAAGCTTATGTGAGCAAGAGCAGTATGGACCAAGGTAATTGATATCTGTAGGTGGTTATTTCAAATTGATCAATGAGGATTGCACAACTAGCTTCAGTAGAGTGTGCTTATTCCTCTGAATATTTTTCATTCAATGGGATGAATTGGTCACTGATGATATTAGGCATCCATTTTTACCTTAAGTCGTATACACACTTGAGACATTGAATATTTTAGCATAATGTCAGTTTTCTTGGCATTGGATTTTTGTTTGCTGGTGAAATGAGTTATGTTTCCTCAAGAATTAAGTGCCCATTTCTTAACATTTTGTAAAATGTTCTGGTTTCACTTACTACCTTTCTCGGCAAGGCTTTACTTCTCTGTCCATCCTTTGAAATAATTGGTGAGGTAAATCTATAATTATTGGGAGCAGAATTGATTATCAAAAGTAGGAAAATTATTATGCCAAGTTTTTAAGTTGCCGTGTGAAAATATCCTATATAGAAACATATTCAATTTGGGTTTAATATTGTCAAAAGCAGTGAACTATAATATTGAAGCATTTTGTTAAAGCTATGATCTTGTTTTTCCAAAGTGGAATATTTAATGGTCATTGCAGATTTTTTCAATATGCATTCATTTATGTGACCATTACAAAATACTTCTCTAAAATTTAAAAGTCCAACTAGCAAATTATCCTCTTTTGACTTTCTTATTACATCCACTATAACCAGATTAAAAACATGTGAATCACACCATACATTATCTTGACTCTGTGTTTTTTTTTAAAACAAAGTCAACCCACTAAAATATCCTTTGATGCTCATTCAGCTAAAATTTTACTTTTTTTTAAAGGTGCATTATTTGATCTGAAAATATCTTTAAGTGCCTAGAATATATATATTTTTAGCACTTGAAACTTTCTTTGGCAATCACAGCCTCTATTAGAGACTGTGAAACATTTTAGGATTATTGAACAAATATCAATTATGTCTATGTCCTCAGTGTCAATCTAGATTGGAAATGTGCCATCTTTTACATCTTCACTAATAGAATTTTTAATTAGCTGTTGATGCTGTCAATAATAGAGTCCACTATTATTTCAAAAAATGATTAGTCTAAGCAATTCCTCATCTACTCATTTGTTCTTTACTTTAAAAAACTGGTACATACTATTATAATCAAGGTAATTTTTAAGGAGGCCACTATACTTTCAAAAATAAGCAAGAATGTTTGGCAAGATATTTTAATAGATAGTTATTCTTTTCCTACTGATTAATAAAATGTTGTCAGTTTTTGAAATTATCTAAGTAACTTACTCAAAATTTAATGCTGTTTTATACTTTTAAGTCAACCAGGACTTTACTGAATATCTTCTCTTTACTGAGATGTAAGAAAATGAAACAAGTTACAATCTATGCCTCAAGAGAATTAGGACTTAGACATGAAGAAAAGACATGTAATTGCAGGAGAATATAGATTAGAAATATTTTACAAGACAAAGGCTCTAATGTAATTATGATATGGACTCCTAATCACGGGCTTGGAGTTTAGTCCTATTGCCTCCTTGAAAGAGTAGCTTGATGGCATCTGATACATCACAAATGGCTGTTGCCATTTTTCATGATCTTCCATCTACATTAGTTTTTTATGCCTGCCCCCAAAATACAATCAGCACCATGAATTCTGACTGAATCAGCTCAAAATACAGCACAAAAATATCCTCATTTGACAAGAATAAGCCAAGGACAGTGTGTCTCATCCATACAACCAAATTCAATTTTCCCTAAAAAGGCGTATCTTCCATTTTAAAAGGTTAAAATAAATGGTACTTAAAACTAATTTCAACTGATTAAATTTAAGTCAATGAAAGGGGATGGGGACACAAGCCCAATTTGAAAACAACAACAAACAACAGCTCTCTGGGCCCACAGCATTTTCATTTCCCTGTGAAGTGGATGAAATTTCATTCACTTTAAGGCTGTGTCTCTCAGGATCTGGTTCAGCCACAGGGAAACAAGTGTTGATAGTCCTGATGGACTGGCCACTATGCTTCAATGATTCATTTCCACTGTCCTACTGCCAGTTACAAATAACCTCATATTTCTTGACACCATTTCATAGCCCAGGGAAAGTCTTATATCTCTAAACGCTATAGCTTTGTCTACCATTGATTTAGCCTATTCTGCTCTTAGTTCCATTGCAGCAATTATTCACTTGAAAAATAAAATTAAAATCAGTACGGTTTTATAGTTGTTCATTCATTCATCCATTATTCAGCAACTACTTATTGAGTGCCTATTCTGTGAAACATAATGTATTAGATCCTGAGAGAAACAGAAAAATGATTACAATATCATCCTCACCCCAAGGAAATGGTGAGGTAGTAAGGGAGAGAAGGCATGTTTGTAAATACAAACATCTACGATTCCATGCAGAAAAATAACAACAATAATAATGACAATGTGTATCTATTATGTGCCAAGCACAGTTCTAGGTACTTTAAGTATTTCATGTTATGTAAATTTTATAGGAACTCTGAAGGCTAGATATTTTTATCCTTTTTTTCTTCTTCAAATGATCAAGATCAGAAAGTTTTCTCAGAACATGCACCATCACACAGCTAGTACAGGGAACAGCTAGGCTTCAAACCCAACAGTTTGATACTCATGTTCATTCTCTTTCAAAGAAAGACGAAGAAAAATAGTAAGTTCACCATTTATTGGCTGTCTCTGTGCCTGGCACTATTCTGAATGCTTCACTTCAGAGTCTTATTTAATTCTCACAACATTCCTATGATGTTATATACCCATTTTGTAGGTAAAGAAACTGAAAATTACCACAATCAAGCAACTTGACCCAGGATAGGTAATGGAAGAATTCTCTTCCAACTTAGGTAGTTTGAGAAGGTATAATGGAGAAAGCGAGGTTTCATTGAATTTCCATTCATTCGGACCAACTCAGACAGAAGAGCATTCCAGACAGCAGAAATGGTACTAGAAATGGCACAGTGATTGGAAAGTGTTAATCTCAGAAAGTATGAACATTCCAGATTGGCTGAGTATAGGGGTCATATTGGTCAGGGGTGGAAATTATGATTAGAAAGGTTAAAGTCAGATGTGTTAGGACAAAGAGTTTGCACTGTATGCAGTAGGCAATAGAGAGCCACTGAAAGTTTGAGAGAGAGGAATGACTTTGATCAAAGCAATTATCACTGATTCATTCATCTCCAACCTGTCATAATTTAATAATCTCTGCTTCAAGAAATCATAACTTCAGAAATTATCTATGTAAGTTTCTCCAAGAACATGAATACTTATATCTTCCATCTAAACAGCCCATTGTTGTTACTGTTGTTTAATATGGTTGAGGGGGCTTTTCCACGACCTCTTGGAGAAGCAGGCTTCTGTGCCACTTCTGTGCACAGCCCAAACCACTTCAGCCTCTCTAACTCTCAATATGAGATGCTAACAAAGGACACAAACCAGAAAAAGGCAGGAGTTTGTGCCTGGGAAAGGGGTCAGATTCCTTGGGACAGCAATCTGAATTTCCTTCAGATGCACTGTAAGGTCATTAAGTAATTATACTCCAGGGCAAAGGCAGGTAGCTGGGAAAGAGTGGAATGGGAAGAAAAGGACATTTTCATCCCATTTCCTCCAAAGACTGGATTCCAAATATTAGCAGATCGGAGTTGCCACCCCCTTAATGTAATATATAGAATGGAAATGCAAATATGAGAATTTTGTGAATTTAATGACAGTGGTTACAAGTGTTTTCTGCAGTCACACGCCCTGTGGACTTGGAGAGGCTGGCAGTCACCCACACCATTTGTGTCCCTTCTCCCTGAATGTGTTTCCAGGGCTGCCAAGAACTGGCTGCAGCCAGCACCCCCCACACTACTGTGCTGCCATCTCATGCCAAGCTCACTATGCTTGAGGAGCAACTTCCAACCGGCGATCAATAAAAAATGAGGAGAAGCTTCTTGAATGGAAGTATCTGGCATGACTCCCAGCTGGGCAAAGTCTCCGCTCAACTTGGCCTCCTTCATCATAACAGGATCCAATTCAGCAACTTTCACAGATGGTGTGTCTCAGAGCATTCTAGGCTCCCAAAGGCTACTGTATGGGTTATCTGGGGTTTTAATTCCCAAAGCAGGTCAGAAAATAACAGTCAGCACCTAGACTGAACCAGTGCGTGCTTCGTAAATATTGCTTTTAATTTTCACAACAATCTGAAAGACAGGTTTCTCATTTAACACATGAGACTTGAAGCAGATAAGTTTGTTCATGCAGAGTCATCTTTAACCCACTCCTGGGCCTTGTAATCTTTCCATTTGGCCATGCATCTCTCTGGGGCCATCACCTACATTAGTTGGTCCCAAACATGGCTATAAATGACAATCACTTGAGAAATAATTTCAAAATACATATCCTTAGGTTCAACTACAGACTTACTAAAATATCTGTAGTATATTTCTATTATATCTATCTATCTATCTAAAATATGGTTTCTCAACCTTGGCACAAGTCATGTCATGAGTCAGATAATTCTTTGTTGCAGGGGGCTGTCCTATGCAGTATAGGACGCTGAGAAAGATGCTTGAGTTCTACCTACTAGATTCCAGTAGCACTTCCCCCATAGTATGGTAACTAAAAATGTTCTCAGACATTGTCAAATACCCACTGGGGTCAGAATCACCCAAAGTTGAGAACCACTGATGTAAAAAGCTGTCCAGGAAATGCAGAAAAAGCATATTCAAAGTTTGGAGTTTGTAAATCACAGGCCTAGGTTAGTATTTCTATGTGAAGGGTATGGGGCGGGTGGAGGCCGGGTGGTGACGGGGGAGAAGATTCCAGAAGACAATAGATTGAGCATCCTTTCAAATCATATAGAGTTTGCCAACCTATGTGAACATTAACTACACTTGGCCTGTCATGAAAGCTTCCCAAAGCAGGATATAACAAATGTTCAAATAAGGAAAGAAGATGAGAGACTTACAAATTCTTTTAAAATATTTGATTTACAGAAGTTTGATATATCCACAGTTTTCAGAGACCAGTTTCAGCAAATTAAGATTACTAGTATATTATCCAGCCCCAAACCGGCCTACAGAAAATATTCTGGGTTCACTAAACTTTTATTTACGCAAATTTTTTCTTCTAAAGATCTTAGAAGTTAAAAAGCATTTTATCCAAACAAAATGTAGGAAACTGGGGCCTTTAAGTATTATTATTACCATTTTATTTCATGGTACTAAAAATAGAAACTATAAGAATACATCCTCAAAAGTGGCTTATCCAATGCCACGAAAATGAATAATAAAACAGAAGCTCTCATTCCTAAATTCTAGTCACCAAACAGCCTTCTACCTACTTACAGTCCCCCAAAGCTTTCACAGAAAATGCTCTTCTCAAATTCTGCCACTGCTGTATTTAATCCCCATTAAAGTAAATTTATCTGTATAGGTTGAGCATCCCAAATCTGAAAATCCAAAATCTGAAACTTTTTGAGGGCTGACATGACACTCAAAGGAAATGCTCATTGGAACATTCCTGATTTTAGATTTTCAGATTTGGAATGCTCAACTGGTAAACATAATGCAAATATGCCAAAATAAAAGAAAAATCAAAGTCTGAAACACTTCTGGTTCCAAGCATTTTGGATAAGGGATATTCAACCTGTATCTCTGAGGTACAGCTCTGGTATCTCTGATTGGCATAAAATCCAGTGAATTACAAAAAAATTATGGATTACATTGAATATCTATTTCTGTATTTAATACGTTTATATTACAACCAAATATCCTGGATCAGCGAAATTTAAAATTTCTTTCCACATTTTTATCAGGTCAGATACTCTAAACAGTTCTGTGGAATCGTTCTAGGTAATTCAGTATAATTCCTTTTCAGAATGTATTCCAACAGCCCTGCAACTACATACGATAAAGTAATACATCACTCCAGGGTACATGAATTCTTTAAAAATATTTAAAATTATTTAAAACAATTTGTAGAGAGCTGGTGTACTTCATAGAAGTTTGCCTAAATGACTGTTGGAAAGCATGCCAGTCAAGTGATTCATTTTATGTATTAATCCAGCTCGGCTGACAAGCAGTTGCTAATACAGCACTTCTAACATTGATTCAAGTCCCATAAAAGGATTTTGGCTCATAAAAAATGCTGGCATGGCATTAGGATGTAGGTGTTTCCATCTCTGGTCTATAGAAATACAGTAATGTGCCAAGTTTTGTTGGTGACCGCAAGCATTTCTGAGAAGATAGGTGTTACAGAGATCAAATAAATGTAAAGATATTAAAGCTACCTTCACCCCGGGCTGTGTCTAAATCCCTAATTTCTCTAAATCAGAGGCAAATTTTGAAAAATGGCCCCCAAATAAAGAGTAGTGTGGGTGTATGGCTACTATGCCATTGTGTTTATGTTCTTTCTCTCTCTATATTTTTAATTCTCATTCTAGGAAAGATGGATATTTTTACCTTTACACGAGCATCAATAGTAATCACAGGGATACAGAAAGATCTCTTTTCATTCACTGAGTTGGTTAGTACTATGAAAAACAGAAATCTGATAGCTTCTTTCTGTCAGCATAAAAAGAGAACATGTCCTTGTCCTGAGAAACACCACCAAGTAAGATTTTTCATAACTTCCATGCAGTGATGATCTAATAAGGATCTAAAAGTAATTAACTGGATCTTTTTTAGCCAACCAAAGCCTTATTCAAATACACATTTTTACCAGCATTTTAAGGGAGCCATAAATTGGGGCATTTTGAAAAACTGGGATCTAATCCAGCCCATGATCTGATCAGGGTTCACTAGTAATAATAAATTGGGACTATTAAAACTGGGAATCATTCCAACATTTTACCCAAACCACAGGACCTAGAAAATTCTACTGCAAAAGATAGGGATATTCAGTGATGAGTAAAACCATGCTGAATTAATCATGTGTATGTAATCATGCCAAAACATGGGTGTTTTCAACAGTTTAAATAGTGCCAAAGTTATTAAGTTCAGTAAATAATTAATTATTGAGAATTGCTTGGCAAATTAAAGAAATCAACCTTCTGGTTTCTTTAATACATCCTTTTTTGAGTGTACAATAATGACAAAATACTATCAATTCACTTGTTGCTGTATATATTTAGGAGCGTTATATGTGTGTAGATTACAACCAAAATATTAATTCCAGAATGTAATACTTTCCTTTTCCTTCTTCGACTCTAATAAGCATCTTCATTTTTCAATATGAACAAATGTTGGATAAACTCTAGCCTTACTCTGGTTTTCATTTCAATTTCCAGTAACATAAAAATCCTCCATAATTAAATAAAATGCTGAGAGGTTGGGAATAGATTTTCACCCACTTGAATTCTCAAACTATAAATGGTTTCTGAATGTTTTTATATCTCTAAGATGCATTTCGTTTATGTGGGGAACTTGCAGCTGCATAATTAAATCTTGGTTTGCCAAATATCAAAAACACATGTATTGATTTAAACTAAAGGGAACAGGCCACAAGCAGCTCAGCTGATAAGGCAAGGGAGAAGTCTGCAGTTCTTGGAAGGCTTCCCAAAAGGAAAGAAAACTAAGAACCTTGAATTCAGACACTGAAACCGATTAACTTTCCTAAATCTTAGCTTCACTCTCACTTAGACATTCCGTTCAGGCTAGTTGTTGAAAACAAGAGCCATATGTTTTCATACTTTTCAATGCTGAAGCTGAAGAGGTTGGATCTTTTTTTTCTCCCATCTCCTCATGTATCCTGCTAAGATTCTAGTAAGATCTACGAAAGCAATGTTTAATTAATACAACAAATGAGCTTCCTGCAAAATAAACTCTGATATGGTATAAGAGTAATGGAAGATTTTGGAGTATATAACTCATGTTATTAAAATTTTTTTTTCAATTTTAGGAGAAAACTTCATTTACTGAAGTATTATTTCAGGGTCAGTAATATGGGACTTCAATGGAAGACAGTCTTTGGTGTCAGTGGAGATATTTTTCTCAGGATAGTAATACTAAATTAATGATGAGGAGGGGGACATATTTTTCTTTTAACCAATCTCCACTGGATTTTTGAGATGGTATTAAGAATACAGGTATTTAGTTTGGTATTTTACAGGTCCAAGATTCTGATTAATTTCATACTTTGTAAAAGGTTACAAACTTAGGTCTTAGAATTGAATAACAACAATATATACTTACTGACATATTAAGACAATCTCTTGCTTTCAGCTCAAGATGCTAATTTACATAATCTGAATGTGTGAAAAATGCTAATTTAATTTAGTTTGAAAAATGTTGGAAGAAATCATCTTTGAATATAACACTGGGTTCATATCTCTAGCAATGAATATGGGCCTTTGGAACTAATCTTTTATTATGGCTAATCTCACTGAAGCATGAACAAAATGATGAGTTTATTTAATGCAGGGCTTCATTGCAATAGACTGTTTGACTTGTAACAGGAGGTGACACATCATAAGCTGAGAAATCTCTTACTTGAGATTAAGAAAATCCTACCACACAATCTTGAGCAAGAAACTTGGGCTTATACACTCAGGTAACAATGGTGTATGCACTACCATAAACCAATGCCATGACAAGTTCAATAATTATTGCTCTAGAAAAGTAAAAGTAAATGCTTCCATACTTAAGATATTTAGATATTTCTCATACTGGAATATCTGAAAAGAACCCCAGAGATCATCTAAGGACAAAGTAGCATTTAAGGTACACTAGAAGGCCAGGTGCAGTGGCTTATGCCTGTAATCCCAGCACTTTGGGAGGCCAAGGCAGGTGGATCACAATTTCAAGAGACTGAGGCCATCCTGGCCAACATGATGAAACCCCATCTCTACTAAAAATACAAAAATTAGCTGGGCATGGTGGCGCGTGCCTGTAGTCCCAGCTACTCGGGAGGGTGAGGCAGAAGAATCGCTTGAACCTGGGAGGTGGAGGTTGCAGTGAGCCGAGATCATGCCACTGCACTCTAGCCTGGTGACAGAGTGAGACTCTGTCTTTAAAAAAAAAAAAAAAAAAAAAAAAAAAAAGATACACAAGAAGATTTTAGGTGCTATGTGGCTTAATGTACTTAATTAGATAAGCTAACTTACATGGCTATGATTTTTATAATATTTTATTTATTTGATTATGTATAAATATAATTAAGACAATAAAGGAAATAGATCAGTGACTGAAATTTATACAACTCTGATCTAGTCCAATATTTATGTGATGAACTAATGCTTTCTAAATGTAATCATTTCATTAGCTTCTTATTCAACAGTTTCAGTGTCAACAAACTCACTGCCTCATACTGCACCCTAATTTTAAGGACTTTTCCCTTCCATTAAGCTGAATACTACCTCTCTTAAAATAATGCTCCATTAGTATCTTCAAGAGACAAATACATAAATAAGAAAATAAATATTAAAGCAAATAATTTGTTTTCAAAAAAGTAAATAAATGAATGGATGAATAAGCAAATAAACTGATAAAGTAGAACGGAATAAAATGGATGCTACAAAACCGATCTAATCTCTATGTGACAGTTCTTCAAGCATGAGAAATCCACAAAGTCTTGATTCTGTAAGCTGTGTATTCTCAGGTCTTTCAACATTTTTAATAAGACTTGGATTTAGTACCCGCATGCTCTGTGTGAGAGAGAGGCACGGGATATTCCAGGTGTGATCTAAGCAGTGTAAAATTAGAATTATTGTTGCTTCCTTTATTTTGTACATGAACTTCCAGTAATGTAGCTTAGGACCAGATTAAGCTTTTGGCAGGCATATCCACATGTTGACTCATGCTAAACTTATGCTCAACTAAAACCATCAGGCAAATGTTTCATATATTTGTTATTAAATCAAACCTTCCACATCCTGTGTATGTGTAGTTCATTTTTGGACCTAAATGCAAGACTTTACATTTATTTCCATTAACTTTCTTTACGTTTAATTCAGTCCATTGTTCCTGCTGATTCTGTCATCGGACATATTGTCAACCCCTGAAGTTTTGTGGCAACCACAATCTGATCAACGGGTCACCATCACTAACGCCGATGCTCAGCAGGCCAAGGTTAAAAATAAATTTTAACGAAAAAAATTATTCTTGCAAGCTTAGATTGATGGGATATTCATCAGTAATGTTTGGGTACCATTCTCAAATAGCTAATAATCCTTCTAGGGTTATATCATCTGATCTAGATTTCTCTGCATTATCCACAGGAAATATGACACAATGCAATTCTGATGTCTAGGAGAGTACCTTGCTCTTTGTGAAGCCTGGAGATTATAAAAGGGTTTCTCAGACTCTGTACTATTGACATTTTGGGTTGGATGATTCATGTTGTGGGGGAGGGTAGCTGTCCTGTGCATTGTAAGATTTTTAGCTACATTTCTAGCCTCTATCCAGTAAAAGGCAGTAACTGCTCACCCCTCTTCCCGAGTTATGACAATCAAAAATATCTCCAGACATAGCCAAATGCCCTTGTGGTAAAACTGCCCCCTCCCATTGAGAACCACTGTTCTAGACTCTGCATTCCTCTAATCTAATCTAGTAACCCAACTCATCTTTTATGGCTTTTTGGACTTTTTCAGTACATGTAGCTATAGATAAACTATCCATATATAGCAGCAAAATGGTTTCGGATCAGGAATTAGATATGTAGATAACTTAAAATGAGATATGAAAATCAGCACAAAAAAATTAGATGAATGGGGAGAGAGAATATAAAATCCTAAAATTTAGAATTGAGGTTAGATCAATCCTAGGGTAAAATGATTACAAGGAAATTAAAACTTCAATAGGATTATATGATTTAGGAGGTAACTTATAAAGACATTTGTACCTGGATATTCATCCAAGTATTATTTGAAACAGTGAAAAATGGCAACAGTCTGGGCATGGTGGCTCCTGCCTGTAAACCCAGCACTTGGGAGGCTGAGGCAGGAGGATCACTTGAGCTCAGGAATTAGAGACCAGTCTGTACAACGTAGCGCGAGACCTTGTCTCCATTTTTTTTTTAAAGGAAAGAAAAAAGGGATAAAAATGGGAACAGACTAAATGTTTGACAATGGAAGGTAAATAGTTTATCGTATATTGATCTCATAGAATATTAGGCAGTGATCAACATGACATATTTTAAAACATTAATGACATGGGAAAAATGTTCAACATATAATGCTATGAAAAAAGCAAGATGTTATAGATGCAGGTTTTGGATATCAAGTGTTCAAAGAGAGTTGTCACTTGGTATCCATGGGGGATTAGTTCTAGGACACTCTGTGGATATCAAAATCTGTGAATGATCGACTCCCTGATATAAAATGGAGTAATATTTGCATATAACCTATGTATATCCTCTCATATACTTTAAATCATCTCTAGATTACTTATAATACCTATTACAGTGCCTACACATCACTTCATTTGCATAGCTTCAATGTAGTACTTGGCACAGCAAATTTAAATTTTACTTTTGGGAACTTTGTGAAATTTCTTTTCTAAATATTTTCAATCTGCGGTTGGTTGAATCCACAGATGTGGAAGACGTGGATATGGAGCCAACTGTATATGCATAAAAAAAAGATTATAAAATATTAGTAGTGGTTATGGGATTATGGTAGAGTTATGTATGGTTTTAATAGTTTTTATACTTTTTATGTTTCCAAAATTTTCTTAATGAACTGATATTGCTTTTGTAAGTTTTGTGTGCATGAGGGGTGCTGGGGGCAAGTGACCCATATTCCCTTAATTGAGTGAGCACTGGCTAGGGTTTCTAATTTGTTTACAAAAGATTGTACCAGTAAGAAAAGATATTTCGGAGAAGGTACATGAAGAACAAGGAAAATATTTGTAGACTGGGCCACTCAGTCCTTTTGAGAAAAAAATCCTGTGTATCATTTTTCACTAAATAAGAATAGTTTTATGTTATAGCCAAATTCTGCTCCTCCAAGTCAGTGGTTCTCAGACTTTAGAGACTGCTGACGAATCACCTTGGGCTTGTGTATGAAACACAGATTCCTGGGCTCCAACTCCCAAGGTTCTGATTCTGTAAGTCTGGTATGGGGCTCAGGAATCTTCATTTTTAACAAGGTCTTCTAATGATTCATTCTGATGTAGTTGGTCCCTGGACCACATTTTGAGAAACTCAGCTACAAGAAATCATGTGGTTGAATTTGGTTTTTTTTTTCCTGCCTCTTTGGATAATTGCCTCCTGGATATGCACTAAAGATAGCTGTCACAGACCTGTAGCAGTGTGCTGGTAAACTAGGTCTTCAGAGAAACTGTGCTATAAATATACTCACTATAGCCAATGTCGAACTGCCAATGGCTTATCAGCCAGCTTACAAAATTCTTGAAAGTTTAACAATTGGTTCCTATAAGCTGGTACAAGCTGGCTCCAGTACTTTATGGTATATATTTTATTTAGGTGCATTAAATATTTTGAAAATGAGATATGCTAATGTAAATCTATTATGATACCTATGACAGGATGAGACAAGTAAGCAACAGGATGGCTTGAATCACGTCAAAGAAACAAATTTCAAACATATTAGGAGAAAAGTATAATAGGTTTTATCACTATTTCTTACTCTATTCTATTTTTTTTCATTGCCATATCATGAAGAGTGATACACTCGCTGAGTTCTTTAAGAGTTGTGAATTGGTTTCCCATAGATGATGGAGAGCTAAGGATCAGGACTCCAGGGTTGGGAGCAATGCCAGATGTTCAGCCTCCACCTCCACCATCCGTGGCTCTCAGCCCCTGAGCTGTTGAAATGCCTTTGGTCATTAATTCTATAGCACCCAACCATAAAATCAACTCCTCAACTTCTTCCTCTAGCACATGATTGAGACAATGTTGTCTCTAGGAAACCCCTATCAGATGTGTTTTATGTGTTCATGTGTGGGAAGTGGCCTAAGTGGAGGCTAATAGTATAGTTCTTTCACTATTTTGACCAGACATATTTTAAGAAAATTGGATCCGAAGCCTATACAGCCAGCTGAAGTGAATTTACAGCTCAGCTTTTAAGAACAAGGCTCCCTCAGGCACCTGCCTACTAAAGGCAAAACCAGAAAGGAAATGAACCCTTGCTTAAAGACAACTCACCTTATTTTATGGGTTATCAATTTTCTAGCTGGCACACAGTTCCCCAGCTACTAAGAGTTTTTTTCCCCTGTCCCAAGTAAGTATGAGCTACAAAAAAATGTAAAGTCTGCATTCTAGAAAACAGCTCAGTTTCCTGAAGATGAGGCATGGGATGTAACCTCAGTAAGAGAAGTCAAGGGAGCAGCAAAGATCTATGATGTAGGCTCCCCACATAGATGCCTTTGCCAATATATGCATTAAAATCTCAGCCTGGATTACATTTTACATTACAGGATTGCTGAATCTTAGGTTATGACGGAGAATATCTTTCATGTCTTCAGGATAGCTCTGTCAGGTGAATAGTCAACAACAATGTAAAACACTTGATTTCCTTTTAACTGCTCCAGTGACCTTAGAACTCAGCTTATCAACCTCTCAAAAATGAGAAAGGACTAAATAGCTTTTTTTCCTTGCTATTGAAAAAGTCAGCCTTCTCAACGGGAACAGACTACAAAATAGGGGTCAAAGGCTAACAGTAGATACTCTTAGACTCCTCTGTGCTAGAAAACACAATGAATAGATATGATTTTCTTAGTACACATACTAAAGTAATAAAATCAATACAAGAATGGTCTCTTTAGAAACTATAAGAACTAATGTAACTAATAAGCAAGTGAAAAGTTGTGTAAATCTGAGTACATACACGATGAAGTCAGAATCAAACGCTTAGAATTATATGCTGGTTTTGTCATAATCTCAGTCTTTCTCCAAGCTCCATTTAGTTGTGAAGGCAAAGAATTTTCAGGAGAAATATGAACATTCAATTACATGTTTGAAAATCAGACATTTACACATCCACTTGCGATAAGTGCCAGAGTTAACATCAAAGATACGTGAAGGACCTCTTGTCCAAATGGAACATTAAGCTCCTCAAGCAGGAGAATTCAGCTCTTGCAAACCAGCATTATTCCAGCAAATGAAGCCGGCCCTTTAACAGATGGGCAACATACTCTTCAGCTTGCTGATAGCCTAATAAAAGACAGTGTCTTTTTAAAGAATGAAGGACATTCACTTCTCAAATTACAGGACCCAAACGGATTGCGCAGAATAAAATTAAGAAGGTATACAACAGCCTGACTAAAATTAGGAACAGACTATGGGAACTGGATAGTTCTAAACATCAATATCCAAATGACCTTTCTTTGGAAAAAAAAAGACATGGAGAAAATATGCATTTTTATGGTCAAAACAGGTGGTAGTGTGTTATGGAATTATAGGCACTGATATAGTAAAAACATGAAGCAAATTTCTTCTCAAAATAGAATAAAAATTTCCAGAAAGGGAGGTTCTTTTTGTATCAGACACCTTTCCTTTCAGATCGGTCAACCCCTATACTTCTTAAAATGAAATTTCTCCAGTTGACTGTTGCAATATCTAAATTAAACCCAGACCATAGAGTCAAAGAAAATGAAGGTCTCGGCACTTCTGCTCACCTTTCACGCTCTTCTTTCATTTTCTCCAGCTCTTCTTCTCTCAGGCCACCATGTTTCAGAGTACCTTTCTGCTCAGCCTTTCCACCCTTATCCTCTTTCTTCTTTCCAAATCTAGTGAAACGTGAAGGAGAAGGCTGTTAACAATAATCACATTGTTTTTGCGGTAGAGCTAAGATATTTATGGGATGAGCTCATTAAGTCATACTTCTTTATTCTAAGTAAGTCAAGATCATTTTGCATAAAATGGAACTAAAATAAGATAATGAAAGCAGAAAAATAATGCCATTATGAAATTCCCCCTTTTCTCTCTTCTTTCCTTCCTTCCTTCCTTCTTTTCACTCATATTTATCATGCATCATGCACAATATCACGTGCTTTTATGGAAGTCTGAGAAAGACAGAAACATCAGCTTGTTTTGTGATTCTTCTATTACTCAGGTTGCTTAGAGGTAGGACTTTCTTTAGTTTTTATTTTTTTTTTTTGAGACAGCGTCTCACTCTGTCACCCAGACTGAGGTGCAGTGGTGTGATCTTCGTTCACTGAAATCTCTGCTACCCGGGGTTCAAGCGATTCTCGTGCCTCAGCCTCCTGAGTAGCTGGGATTACAGGTTCACACCACCATGCCCAGCTAATTTTTGTATTTTTAGTAGAGACGGGGTTTCACCACGTTGGCGAGACTGGTCTTGAACTTCTGGCCCCAAGTGATCTGCCCACCTTGGCTTCCCAAAGTGCTAGGATTATAGATGTAAGCTACTGCCAGGACTTTCTTTAAAATGTGTACGTCAGGTCCTCCTGTGATGAGATTCTGATTCCCTTTGTATGTGTCGACAGAAGGTAGGGGAGAAGGGGCAGCCTAAGCATACATAATTTGAAAATTTTCCTTATTATTTAGATAGACAAATATTCAAGACTAATTATGATGACCTATTAATGCAATAGAGAGTGAGAAACTAAAGAATTATCATTAATATATAAATAAAAGCTTATCAATCTCCTAAGCAGGCTTCCCGAGCTCCAGTGTCATTGGCACTTAAAGGTAAACTCCTGGAATTACACCATGACAGTGCCACGAGAGGCCTTATTGAACACCTCGTTCAATGCTCTCATTTTACCAGTGAAGAACCAAAAGCTCTGAGAGGTGTCGAACCTTGACCAAGACCTCCCACCAGAGTCAGGGCAGGGCTGAGATTAGAACCCGATCTCTGCCTGTACGCTTTCCTTTATGCACAATCACTCTCTAATGCAGCCCCAGCTTCCTGAGTCAGCTCTGGAACACAATGAAAATATAATACAATTCCCCAGAAAGGGAGGTTTCTCTGGGTTAGTATGTTCTGAGCATTCCTGAGTGCCTGGGATGTATATAGTTACAAGGGCACAGTGGCAGTTATGATGCTTTACAAAAATACCATATATGTTTTGTACTTTTAGGAAAATGAAAACTGCACATTTGAAATAAAAAAAGAAGATGCAGCTGGGTGTGGTGGCTCACGCCTGTAATCCCAGCACTTTGGGAGGCCAAGGCAGGTGGATCACCTGAGGTCAGGAGTTCAAGACCAGCCTGGCCAACATAGTGAAACCCTGTCTCTACTAAAAATACAAAAATTAGCCGGGCGTCGTGGTGCATGCCTGTAGTCCCAGTTACTCAGAAGGCTGAGGCAGGAGAATCACTTGAACACAGGAGGCAGAGGTTGCAGTGAGCCGAGATGGCACCACTGCAGCCCAGCCTGGGTGACATAGTGATACTCTGTCTCAAAAACAAACAAACAAACAAAACAAAACACACACAAAAAACAAAACAAAACAAAACAAAAAAAACTTGGGGAGATTCCTAGATTTTTTGTTTTTGTTCTTTTGAGATGGAGTTTCACTCTTGTTGCCCAGGCTGGAGTGCCATGGCATGATCTCGGCTCACTGCAACCTCTGCCTCCTGGGTTCATGTGATTCTCCTGCCTCAGCCTCCCAAGTAGCTGGGATTACAGGCATGCACCACCATGCCCAGCTAATTTTTTGTATTTTTAGTAGAGACGGGGTTTCACCATGTTGGCCAGGCTGGTCTTGAACTCCTGAACTCAGCTGATCTGCCCTCCTTAGCCTCCCAAAGTGCTGGGATTACAGGCGTGAGCCACCGTGCCCAGCGATTCTTAGACTTTTTCAAATTATACATGTATGGGCCGGCTTCATACCCCCAACCCTGCCCCAGCACACACACAGAGAATCAGAGTCTCCTCACATGAGGACCTGACATATAAATTTTGAAGAAAGTCCTGTACTGTAAGCAATCAGAATAATAGAAGAATCATAAAACAAGCACATGTTTCTGTCTTCTTCAGAATCCCATAGCAATGGGCATCTATTTGCAGCTTCCTAGACTGTGTTTTGACCCATAGTAGAGGATGTTAGTCAAGTCGGAGCTCTGAGTATCACACCTGGAAGGTGGCATTGCTTATATTCATAATTGTGCCATGGTCCTGCCTTTCCTAGAAGCCTCTTCCAGTATTCTGCATGTTTCTCAACTTACTATTTCAATTAGCAAGTCTTCTTTCCTAAATTTTCTCCCTCCATTGCCATCTCTCCATCTCTCTCTACTCCTACTGTAGTTTTTTGGTTGTAGCCAGTCTAGTCTTGGGACTCTGGCGAACCAACTGTCAGCTCTAATGCTATCATCCCCCAGTCTAGTTTTTTGTCCTTTTCTCTCTTTCCTGATTCCCTTTCTGAATTTATTCCTTTTTTTTCACTGAAGAAATATCCATGTATCATTTACAGAAGTACGGAAAAGAGAAAAATACAGACAAAAATATAAGAACTTTCTTTCTTTTTTTGTTGAGACGTTGTTTCACTCTTGTTACTGAGGTTGGAGTGCAATGATGCGATCTCGGCTCACTGCAACCTCCACCTCTCGGGTTCAAGCGATTCTCCTGCCTTAGCCTCCCAAGTAGCTGAGATTACAGGTGCCCACCACCAAGCCTGGCTAATTTTTTTGTATTTTTAGTAGAGACAGGGTTTCACCATGTTGGCCAGGCTGGTCTCGAACTCCTGACCTCAGGTGATCTGCCTGCCTCGGCCTCCCAAAGTGTTGGGATTACAGGTGTGAGCCACTGTGCTCGGCCAGAACATTAACTTTCAAATATAATTCAGATTTGCCTGATACATTCAAGACTTCTCCTTAACCTACAAAGCAGGAGATAGCTAAATAATGTTTTCATGAATACATTCTTTAGCATTCCAGACCCATGCAGAAGAGTCTTAGGGGTCAACATTATTACTCTAAGTATGTTTACGTGAGAAGTTAATAGCTCAGTACATCACTTGAGATACATAACTTTTGCTTAAAATGTCATTAAATATAGTAATGTTTGGGCAAAATATTCAACACGGTGGGGAGTCAGGGTAGAAATAATGCTTTAGGAGGTTGATGAGGGCAAAAATTTTGCCAAAAGCTTTACAGGTATCAGGCTTTTCTTTTTTTTCCATGTCCCATATTATTTCTCCTATATTTGCAGCTTTTGGGATTTCTGAGGTAAAAGCAGTCTTGTTTTTGAAGGGTAAAACTAACCATTTCCTAGCCTACCTTGATGTTTATTACCACACCCAATAAATTATTTTTGTTTCTGGTAGCTAAAATGTTTGACTTGTACTGCAGTTCAGCAATAGCTCATTATCCTTCCCTCACAGTGGAATATGTTTGGTAAGAAAAAAAACATGTTAGTTGAAAGTAAATTCTGCAAAGTATTTTCTTCTTAGCAAGAACTGCCAATAACAGTCAAATCAAGCAATTCTACAAATATTATAAATGCTTTGATTTAAAGTTCATGATCCTCGATTCAAGTTTCCAATAAGAAGGGCAGAAATACATGTGAAATTTATTTTATTAGCCAGAGAAAATGATTACAAATTACCTTATTTTGTAAAGTTTGGGTAGGCCCAAGAAAAGCATT
Source organism: Homo sapiens (assembly GCF_000001405.40). NCBI lineage: Eukaryota > Metazoa > Chordata > Mammalia > Primates > Hominidae > Homo > Homo sapiens. The sequence continues at coordinate 205,397,188 of NC_000002.12, read as the reverse complement.
ATAAAACAATAATCTTAAAAACAAAAACAAAAACTCCCGCATTGTTAAGATGAGGAAATTGAGACCCAGAGAAGTTAATTGCATTTTATTTATTAACACACTGAATTCTTTTTCATTTTGCAATAAGACAACTTAATTATCAGTAGTGGCAGTAGTGGACCGGGGGAGAGAGTGAGGGGGAAAGATTCAACTTGGTGACTTTCCAAGCCTTTGTTTTCCTTTCTGTAGCAGCCTTTGTGGGGATCATTTCACAGCCACTCTTACTTTTACTGAGATATAGAAAGAGGAATTGAGGAGGTTTATCTTCCCATTAGCTATTTTTGTGAGAAAAGTCACGAACCCTGAATGGCTAAAATTACTACTTTATATTCTAGAGTTTCAAATATGCACTGCATTCCAGGCCTCCCATTATCTGTTACCTTAGAAATTTGAGAGTTGGCAATTCTGGGCTAGGTGCCTTAAGGAAATTGCTTAGAGGTCAACCTTACTTTATATAAAAGATATTTTCCTAAAAAATTCTGTGCAAACATATGGCTTTAATCAATAAAATCTTTTTTTACATGTACCTGGGAAGCCTGTTTAAAGAATCTTATGATGGATCTTTTTTGTAAAGTGGAAAAATCACCTTTCAACATACGCTTTATGTAAATTTAGATGTTCATGAATTATAAGTTTGCTTAAAACACCTGTCCATTTCTCTGTTCATTTCTATAGAGGTCATATGAAACAGATTCATGGAAAAATCTTTCTTCTTTCCTTACTCGCTCTCTTTCAAAAAATATTTATTAGGTATCCACTAGCTGTCAGAAATTATAAGCAATTGATATAGGTTAATATTATGTTGGCATACAAAACCACACAATATCGTCATGAAATTTACATTCTAACAGAGGAGACAGTTACCAAACAAGTATATATCCATAATTGTTAGTTGTGATAAGTGCTGTAAAGGATGTTAGAAGAGACAATAACAGGGAAGTGACTGCCTGGGAAATGCCTCAGTGAAAAAAATAGATTTAAGCTGAGAATATAAGAGTGAGAAGTTCCAGACAAGTGAAGAGTGGGAGAAAAGTCTTGAGGGTGAAGGAAACAGCACATGCAAAGGACATGTGTGGGGAAGGCTTGATGTATTCAAAACAGTAAAAGAAGGCCAGAGGCTGGGAGATGAGAGAGGAAACTCCGCCAGGATGCAGATGGAAAAGCCAATGGGGACAGGTGTGAGAGAAGCTTGTGGTTTAATCTAAGAGTGATGGGAGGTCATTTCTCAGTCATTCAAGGCGCAGAGAAGCTAGGTGAGGAAACTAGGAGACAGAGTTAGTGGAGGAGAAACGGCAGAGGAACCAAGTGTTTTGAGCAGAAGTGATACAATGTGATGAATATTTTAAAAAGACCATCCTGATGCTGAAGTAAAAAGCAGCAAGTAAAAGCAGTAACATAATTAAAACCAGTGATTTAACTGACTGGGGATCCCTGCAGGAATCGGTGAAAGATGACAGTGGCTTGAACTAGAGAAGTGGCCATTGAGAAGAGAAGATAGTCATTTGGAAATGGTGAGTCAATGAAGAGGTATCAAAAGATTCAATTTAAAACATGATTATTATTGTAATATATCTTTGGGAAATTCCAGTAGATGAGTCCATGCCTAAGTCCTGAAAAACTGTAACACTTAAAGATCAGAGACACGAGTGGGGGTTGGGGGAGAGGCAGGTGGACAACAGAGATAGAGAAAGAACAGCAAGAGAGCTAGAAAGAAAGTCAAGAGAATGTGGTTGCAAAAGAGTTTAAAGAATGCTGCAAGAAGATGGACAAAGTCAACAGATGGGAATGCTGCTGAGATGCCCAACGAGGTGAGGACTGAAAAGCGTTCATTAGATTTGGCAACATAAAGTCATTCATAGCCTTGGCAAGGGTCAGCGGAGTAGTGTGAACAGAAGCCATGTAGGCATGATCTGAAGAGTGAATGGTGGGTAAGTATAAGTGTCTGTACAACCATTATAGACTGGGTAATGGTTGGCTGGGAGGGAGGTAGCTGCAGGTGCAGTCGAGTGCTGAAGATGGAGGTTTTCAATTTGGCTTATACCATAGAATATTTCAGTTGCTGAAAGGAAAAGAGAGTGAGAGGTCGGAGATGGAGGACAGAGAAGAATAAATTTCTTTTCCCTCTTTATTAAGGTAAAATATACGTAACATAAAATTTACCATTTTAGCTATTTTTCAGTGTACATTTCAGTGGCATTAAGCACATTCACACTGAGAAACCATCACACTATTCATGTCCAGAATTTTTCATGATCTCAAATGGAAACTGTGTACCCACTCTACATATAGTAACTCCCCACTCCCTCCTTCCTCCAGTGCCTGGTAACTGCTATTTGACTTTCCTTCTCTATGAATTTGGCTATTCTATGTGAAATTCATATAAGTGGGATCACAGAAAATTTATTCGTTTGTGTCTGGCTTATTTAACCTAGTAGAAGGTCTTCAGGACTCATCTTTGTTGCAGCATGTGTCAGAATTTCATTCCCTTTTAAGGCTGAATAATATTCCATTGCAGTTACACAACCATATTTTGTTTATCCACTCATCCACTGATGGACATTTGGGGTTGTCTCCATCTTTTGGCTATTGTAAATAAGGCTGCTATGAACATTGGCATAGGAGATGAAAGTTCTTGATAAGGGAGGAGGATAGAGATAGTGTCTCTGGAGAGATTAGCCTTAGATGGAAGGAGACTCAGAAAGATCAGCAGCCTAGGAGAGGAAAATAGCTTGTTTATGGAGCTGGTAAAGAGAAAGTAGAGGAATTCCAGGGCATTTAATTTATCAGTTAATGTGATGCAGCATGTATAAGAAAAATGGTTTCTATCCACAAAATGAGATCTCTTAGTAGAATTTAAGAAATCAAAGATTGAATTACCCAAGGTAGACAAGAACCTCAGAGAGGGTTATAGAAAAACCCCCCACACAGACCTCCTTAATGTTGTTATATTGCCTAGGTAGGGGGGTTGTGAACAGCCATCTGGAAAAGTGGAATTTGATAATGGTTTGTTCATTCATTCATCCATTCATTCCTTACTGAGCAGCCACTACACATCACAATAGCCAATGCACACAGAATTGAACCATTAACAACATAAATTGTCAGGTAAATATCTAACCCCTCAATTAAACTAAGTCCCTAGAATCCTATTTTTTCTATATAATAAAGATTTTAATATTATTCTTAATAGTTTTCTCCTAGTTTCTCAGCAAATATTTTCTTCTGTTTCTATTTCTTTCCTTGGGTTTTCTAAGTAATGATGACATTCAAATTCCTCCTAGACTCCCATACATACGCTGATGAATGATTCAAATTTACAATATGTACAGCTTGTCCTCTGGCATTTTTCCTGTCTACTCTCTCATTTAGTTCACTTCTTAAGGTGGCTACATTCTGTCTATCTACAACTTTCCTCCCACATCACACTGGGCAGTTTATGCAGTTATTACCACCAACCTACATCCTCTTAGTGCACACACTATACAAAAGTGATCCTGAGCAATGTCCTGTGAGAACTAAAAAGTCAGGCAAGGAAAAAGTTCATTCACTCTTGTTCAAAATAGCTGCTTAGCTATGAATCCAAAGAGAGCTGAAAAGTTTGAAACAAAGTCTGTATATCTCCTTCTCCTATCAGGAAACGTCTTTGGGTGTCTATGATGCATTTGGAAAAAACTGCAACATCTAGTCATCGCTACTATTAAAGTCTGACATCTGTGGAACAATGTCACATGTGAAAACCTACAAACTTCACAGTCATAGTATTTTCTGGACCTGGATGATTGTTTGTCCACTCTGTAACTAGCTGACTTACAAACTAGGCATGATAGCTCCTTACATTTTATAAATTACACAGTTTGAAATAGTTCAAGCAAAATATAGGGGCAGAGAAGTTCATAGGCCCTTTACTATTATTTCCATAGTTGATTCTGAAATTCACCCTATAAAAGGTTTCTCTTGTCAGATGTATTCTAAATTGGGTTCTGAATTAGCATACGCATATGCTGATGAAATTAACTTCCATGTATTGTAATCTCATATGGTTTTGTGAACCGCAGCTTTTGCTTCTAAAATTTGTGTCACGAAGGTCTTTTCTTGTTTATCTCACATGGTTCCATTGTACTTGAGAGTTAATGAGACTGATAAAAATTCAGTGAAAATTGACCAATTAGAGTTCCCATCCCAACCCCTTTTTGGGGGTCCCTAAGGACATTACTCACTTTTATGTTAATATTATTGATAGAATAATAAACAGATTTGTGTTTGTTGCACATCAATCTTCATTAAGAAGGAAAAATATTCTAATTCTATTTCTGGTCCCCCACACTGCCTTGGCTATGCCTGTAGCTTTTAAAGAGGGAGGCAAAATGCTACAAAACCCAGGATGCTTTTCACAACAGTAGGGCTGTGTTTTAAACTCTAAATCCGTTCCATGGCATGCAAAAGTAGATAGGGATTTGCCTTGTAGGATGTGTACACAAGTAGAAACTGAGTGAGTTGATGCTTTAATAACGAACGACAAACTCAATATTAAAAATCTTCCTAATTAATCCTAACTGGGTCAGGCAGTTTAAACCCTGAAATTAAGTTTTCTAATTAAATTTTTAAATTTTGATATGTTATTTAGACATTTATCCTGGGTATGTTTATATGTTTCCAAGATGATGACAAGCTATATGAAAACAACAAACCTGTTTAATCCCACTGGTATCTGTGTCTGCTACCCTCTTTAAGGCCAACCTTTTTTATCCAGCCAAGATGTAGCAGCTACTTTTCTCTGGGTTGTCACTCATTTCTAGAATGTGGCCCTGAAATTGGTGGTCATGGCAATTTCTCATTCTGAATCAGGGAATCTTCAGATCTCAAATATGTTGATGTTTGTTTTTAGGATTAAAAAGCAGGGAGGTCCTATAACGTTCTACAACTTCTAAGTGGATAAAACATCTGCTGGGGAGAGCCTTAAGCAGCTCTCTAGCTAAATTCAGCTGCTGGGAATCCCTGAGCTAATTTGCTTTCCCCATACCGAGGGGCTAGGAAATGCAATGGATTTAGAAATACCAGATACGTTAAAAATAATTCTAGAGGGTCCAGAAAGTAAAGTAAAGCACAGATCACCAATAACTAATATTTTTTAAACCAAACAAACAAAAGAGAGAGCCTCTGAATGGACGATTTGTAAGAAAAGTTAAGAGATTTGTTAGACACTGGATATTGCTTTTGCTGAGCTTTCTGTAGCAAATAAAAACTGTACTCTGAGATTATTAAAGCAGCACTCTGTTAGGGGGAAAAAAAGGGAAACTTATGAAAAAAAGGCCAGAAATTAAAATTAAATAAAAATAAGCGTGAATGAGTGGGCAAGAAAGATAAAGATACTAATAAGGTATGATTTTCAGATCCAAACAGGGACTCTAAAAAGCTTATTCACTGTCATTGAGTTTTAAGTTATTCTACCCCTCTGCTTTCCAGAAGAAGAAATACTCTTCAGGAGCGCAGTGAACTTTGATTAATTGCTTTCATACACTTTCACTGGCTTCAAAACATGGTAGTCAAGAGCCTTAGTGACTCAGATGAAATGCTTACGATTTCTGGGACAGATATTTAACAGGAACATTATGGAAATAGATCTTTTTGCATTTTTTATGTTTTCTTAATAGTTAAAAAAGCTTTTCTTTTTGTTAAATGTTTACTTATTTCAAAGCAGTAGAAAATATGTCTTCTTCCTTTTCATGATTATGATTTTTAAGTGGATCTTCGGGCTTTTCTGAAGGCTGGTTGAGTAAATAGACACAACTGATGGCATGTGCATAAAGCCCTAACACTGCCTTAAACAGATCACATGGCTGGAATTCAGACTTCAGTCAATAGCCAGATACTGCCTTCGCATTTGTGCGCCCACAACATCCCCTTCTTCCTCTTTCCTTCCCTTTTCTCTACCTCCTTTGCCCCGGAAACCCGAAAACTAGGAAAGGAAAGAGTGTTTTGAGACCAAACCATACTTCACTGCTGAACTTTCTATCAACTGTGGGAGGTTGCCCGTTTGACTTGCCCTTCCCAGGCCCAGTTGGCCCCAGCTTGCTCCACACTGGCCACAGATTCATCCTGCAGAAGGAAATGGTCCCCACAGGAAACAGCTCTGAAGTTACCATTGACAGGCAAATGGGGTCATCTCAGCAAACTGCCCAGAAAGGAAAAAACTGACTCATGTCAAAGAAAATAAATCCAACAAGGGCTAACTAAAAATTCTGTGGAAGCTGGAGGCCTCATCTGCAGTCTCTAAATAAAACATCAAATACAACTTACTTTCCATAGCATAAAGTAACACATGGGCAATTTGTATATATTCCATGATCGGAACGAACAGATGATGGTGTCTGCCTTGTTATGCATGGAGAACAAACGGACAATATGAAGAAATGATTTTTTTTTTTATAATTACCTTGCAAAGGACCATTTTAACAGGAATCCTGAATCCTACTGTTCCATCTTCAGATGTTAAGAGAAACAGGGCACATTTTCTATGGAATTCATCTGCACTAAACAAGAATAAAATGATTGGGCTCCAGACCCAGTCTAATGGGAGTAAAACTTATCTTTATAACTGATTAAACAAAAAAAATTATCACTTCTTTGATGCCCAAATTCGCATCTTTTCTCTAGCATACCGAATTAATTAGTTGAGTGACAAAAGAATTAGTCCATGTAGGATCACAGCTGAAATCATATTTATCTGAAATTTAAAATTAAGAACACACAGCATTAACCCTTTATAGCTCATGTAATATTCTTTTATGTTCCATGTATTCCAAACCTGCTGCACATCACAGAAAGTATAACTAGAGCTTTTTTTTTTTTCATATTCTTCTTCTTTCTAATATATAAAATTTTGCCTGGAAAGACAATGAGAACATCATAGAATTGTTTTTTCCCCTGGGGGTAAGAAACTTTTCCATTGTGTCATAAAAATCTTAAATTATGTAGCTTTTTTTTTTTGTCAAGCATTTATTGTATAAATACAAAAGAAGAAAAATAATTAATGCATGGTAGAGCTGGTAAGAGAGGCTTAAACAATAAAAAGAGTTATTATATTAATTCTTAATAAGCTATATTAAGTTTGAAACTGTTATTAAAAGGTGAAAGCTCTCAACTTTGATTTTTAAAAAGTTTGTTTTGTTTTCCATAAATGTAAAAGCAATTTTGAATAAGGGAAATTGTTGGGGGTTAATTTCTGAGATGTCTCAATTCAACAGAACTCAAATTTATTCCTCGAATGAAATTTAAACCCAAAGCCATCTTTAAAGATGATTAATCTGCAAGATGTCTTCTATAAAAAACATGATGTCTATCTCATACTTAGACCTTTCATTCCAGAGTTTCAGAAATTATGGCCTCCTTAATCTAAAGTATCAAATAAATATATGTGTCAAGTTGTTGCTTTGCTCTCTAAAGTTTTGACGCTACACATCTTTGACATTAGATTGCATCCTACCATTAAGAGAATTTTAAATAACAGGCCGGGCGCAGTGGCTCATGCCTGTAATCCCAGCACTTTGGGAGGCCGAGGCGGGAGTTCAAGACCAGCCTGGCCAACATGGTGAAACCCTGTTTCTACTAAAAATACAAAAATTAGCTGGGCATGGTGGCATGTGCCTGTAATCCCAGCTACTTGGGAGGCTGAGGCAAAAGAATCCCTTGAACCTGGGAGGCGGAGGTTGCAGTGAACCGACATAGCGTCATTGCACTCCAGCCTGGGTGACAAGAACGAAACCCCGTCTCAAAAAGTAATAATAATAAAATAATAATAATACCTCCATTTGTATGTACTCTTTCATAGAAGAGTTCTTTTGAAGAAAGAGGTAATTGGAAAATATGAGCCCTAACTTAGTTTGTAAGGCAAGGGATCAGATTTCAATATTTTGATGTTAAAGTTAACTAATATCTCTTTTTATTGTGTAAGTACCTTAAAAGTAGGCCATAAAATGGAACTGATTCTCAACTACCAATAAACTTAGAAAAAAAAATTTATATCCTGAATGTCTCAAATGAAATTCTACATAAGACAACATTGACTCTTCTAGGGCCAACAAGTCACAAGTTTCTATGAAATTTGTCAAACGAATGTTGCCTACAAGGATCTCCATTCGTTTCTTAAAAGTTTAGAACCACCCCCTCTTTCCTTAGCTTCTCCTTTGAGTTTAGAAATTTGGGATCTATGAGCAAGACAGAGTTACCAACTGCAAAATGAGGAGTAATTCATTATTTTAAGTATAGTTGTTATCCATTCATTGAACCACATCATGAATATTCTAGGCACCCTCCAGGACCCATAGCACCTTATCTGGAAGGAGCTGACCTAGTGTGATGGGACAGTCATTTCGGGGCCATTGTGATCAACAACATTTCCCCTTTATCCAGAGGGGCCTGAACAAAAGACAAGTTTTTTTTTCATAGAAATAGATTTCCCATGGGATTTTAATATAGTTTTATAAAAGTAGATATAATTCCATTCTCCAGCAGCATAATATCACTAAAGCAAATATATCCAGAATTAAACAACAACAACTTGATTTCTAACAGGGTTTTCTAATCACCTGTAATTCAGAAAGAGCTATTACAAACAACACACAATCACAAAAGTATTGTATACTCTCACCTGGAAATGCATGGTAGCTTAGCGCATAGTGATGATTTACAATTTGACCAAAGAAATCAGAAATTGATTTATAGTCTGTCCACAGCATCAGCCTCCTATTTGCTTGTCTACTAGACTGTGAAACTACTATTCTGCTATGTAAGTGTATTTTGTTCTTCCTCCCTTTCCTGTACCAATGGCTAATTTTTCCTTTCTTCAATACCACAGATGAGTAATTCCTGCAGATGCAGAATACTCTTCCACAGTTCAAAATGGCTGCCAGTGTTCTCACAGAATAACAAAAGAAACCGGTGCTAGGAATTGTTGTGTATATATAATTAAATGCACAATCCTAGGAAGCACATAATTAAATCAACCAGAGGTCTGAGCCTCTGAGTGGAACATTCCAGATGGGGTCTCTGGTGAGCATACCTTTAAAAGAAATGTGGGTGACTCTCAATCAAGTAAATTTACCAGAGAGTGTTTCCTCATCTCTGGGGCTCTTTTTAAAAATGAGATAAATTTTGGATCCTATCACATAAAGAACTGATATTGAAAACTTCTGCCCAGCTACGTGTTTATTCAGATGACAGAGGTGTCTCATAATCTGCCATAATGCATTAAAAACTGGCAGCCTGTGTTTCTGAACGGCTCTGGAAGGTGCAGGGAACACCAGCAGCGTCACTCAGATGACGGCTGGACTGGCAACCATTACCCAGAGCATCTGCAACCTGTATTTGGCTTTGGATTTAATGCTTCTGGTCTCCCCATTTTTAGTATTTCTAAACTTCCCCACCTAATATTGAAGTGACCTCCAATAACTAATCCTTTTTACAAACATTACAGTCATATTTGATTCTGTAGAAACCCACAGTATTTGTGCTTTTCATTTTGGAAGGTTATTTGGAAACTCGAGCCAATATATTTTTTCAAGTGTGACTAAGCTGTTGTCATTCATTTTACACCAACCCTAACACTCTCCAGGACCCATCCTACTGAGCTCCACATGCTCACTAATCCAGTCAATCCAGTGATGGAAGAATCACTTTGGATAAAAGAACAATAAATCCACCCATTATCTCAGTTCTATAAAAGTAATATTTGAGTGCATCAGTAAGAAAGAAAAGAAAGAAGAACCAGAAAAATGAACAATTTGGTAAGGAAAGCCTGAGCTTAAATTATTTAATCTAAATTTAGCAAGTTAGAGGGAGGAGAGGTAGTTCTACAAAGGCCATATTAATGGACCCAAATCAGAAGATTCATGAATAGTAATTCCAAAGCAATTTCATTAATGTCTTGCATCTAAAACAATGATTATTTAAGAAGGCAACATTTTCAAGGGGATTCATAAGTGCTTTGAAATATAAAATGCCATTAAGAACCAATCACATAGTATATAGAACTATGGTCTATGTATTTATAAATGTATTGGATTTCTGTGTGAAATATGCATATTATATACTGACTGACTTTATGCAAGCACCAACATATTTCAAAAATAAGCTTGTTCAATAAATACTTTCGAAATATTGTTTAATTATCTACCTCTGTGAAAAATATTCCATTTTCATTTTTAGTTAGGAAGAAATCTGTTGCAAAATATTTTTATTGGTTTAAAAATTAAGAGGTAGTTTCTTAGGGATAGGGGGATCTGTGAGATCATGTTTATCTAATCCCTCCCAAAGCTCAGAAAGTCAAGTGACCTACCTAAGGTCACACTATCACACTAAGTAGCTGGGATCAAACAGGGACCTGAACCCCTCAACTCAGCACAAAGTTCTTTCCCTCCTGCTCGGTGCCCCAGTTGTTTGTACATATGTTGTCAATTATGAACTGAAAAATCTGAATCCTTCAACAACAAAAAAAAAAAACTCTACTTAATTAAAGTTTCATTTTTTTTTGGTAAGTTCTCATTGCTCAGAAATGCAATTAGCCATAATGACAAAGTCCAATTTATTGACTACTTGGCCAAATATAAAATGCCAACCAACCTGCAGACTGGATAACTTTCCCCTTATCCTAAGCTCTCTGTTCACTGACATCCTCACGCTTGTTCACAGACAGAGTCTTATTATAAGCCATCTGATTTGATCAGATTGCTAAGAAACAATTACTCAATTATTTAGCTCAATTGGTTAGAACACTGTGGTAATGGGGTCAAGGTCATGGGTTGGCTCCCCTGTGTGGGCCAGTTAACTTGGATCTTTTCCATTACCACAGGCTCTCCTCCCAACCCCAGAGAGTCTTAAAAATACATGCCAGTGGTCAAAAGGGCACTTGCCAAGAATATGTGGATGGAGCAGCATGAATCCATCACTTCTCCCGGAAAAACAGCTCAATGCCAGTTTTGTTGACCATATGTGGATTAACAGTAACATTTTCACAGGTGAAAGACAAAACACGATTCCAGACTTTGTAATATCGCAGAATTGCAGATCTAGAGCTCTAAAAGAAATTTGTAGAATATATAAAAGCCTATCATGAAACTTAAATTTATAGAGAAAGTTTTAAACATGAGCCAGTGATTTCTATTAAAAATATTTTTGAAATTAAAAATTTGTTTAGTGAAATACCTTGATTTTTAAATATTGGCTCATGTTTTTTAAAAATTAATACTCTGTGGCTTCCAAATAAGGTCTACATGGGTCAAATTCAGGCTGTGGGATCCCAATTTGCAAAGTATTGGTATACTGAAATACCTATATATTTATATGTACGTATATATGCATTTTAATTAATGTAGCTACCTTAAGTATATCTCATTGAGCTTTTCACTGACTGGTAGCTACTAGCCTAGGCCTCAACTAATGTTGAGTCAGGGGGGTCAGAAATGACACAGACAGCATGGGGCTGTGCTACCTACCTTTCAATGGTACCATTATCTGATGTAAAAGAGATTAGCGTGGCGAGATGTAAAAGAGATTGGGTAGCACTTGGTAGATGAAGTAGAATCACACTAGGCTTCCAAAACTCAGGCTAAGTATATTTTTTAGAATACTGAACATACGGATTATCAGTGTTTTTCCAGAAAGCCCTCTATAGGAATTTATAAATTAACGAAGCTGGAACATGTCCATTCTAAATAATGACACAGTTTTTGCAATTTAGACTGTGTACCAAAGTTTAAAACACTAACATAAAACGTTTTTGTTAAGATTTCACACTGCATATTGTTCTTTTCCAAATCAGTCAAACTCTCCCTGTATCAGGTAGCAAGAGAAGGGGCAATATATTTCTAGGTTTTACAGGGATTTAGGAAAGAAAGGCATGTGGTGTGAGTATAAGAAGTACTTGAAAAAAAGTACTGCATAAACTCACTTGAATTTGGTAATTTATTAGCTAATTAACTGATATATGACAAAGCTTTGTGGATTCCTGCAAACTAAATTATGTATCTCACAAACAACATAAGCTAATCAGATTTCTTATTGTATCAGTAGACTAAGAAATCCTATCAGCCTAAAAATATCAAATTAATTCGGGAAGTATTTTTCAAATACCTATTATACAGGCTCTAATGTGAGGTGCTGGAGATTAAAAAAAAAGGTTCAATATTTTCTCTTAAGGAATTTATAGTCTAGTGAATGTTTCTAGAGTTCAAAGGAAGATCTCCCAGAAACAGAGTATGAGGGCTCTCAGGGTTAGTATGTCAGCATTACAGGAGTTCTATAGATGATCTTGCTGGTCAAAGGCCTTAATTTTGTTTGCTTTACACTTTTGAACTGTGATGGAAACTATGGTTCTCTCTCCCAGGAAATGTGTATACATTTCTATTTATAATTTCTAAGAGTTCACAGATTCCCAAAAGACTATGTATACCTATCCATGTATGTTAAGTTACAAATGCCTGCGTTAATGCAATTAAGATTCTCCCCATACCACAAATTAACCTCAGGCTTTGCCGTGGAGAGCACATAGACACAGCTAGGAAGGAAAATAGAGCTAGGAGGTTGGCAGTTTCTGAGTAGGAGTATATTATTTTAGGTGGACTTTTAGGACTGACCATAAGTCCATCATTGAATCAACAAGTACCAAGCATTATATAGGAATCAAAAATAGTCAAAGACACAAAATCCCTACTCAGATCTATTTTACTAGAGTGTCATCAATTCTCAGTGACTCAGAGGCTTTTTATCTCCTATGTAGATTACCCACAGCCTGTGCTTCCCCTTTTTCTCTGTCTTTCCATTTTTATGGTCACCTGAGGACTCATTAGTGCTCCTACCAGAGGATAAGTAAAGGAAGGGAAAGGATATAAAACTTAAAGTGAGTCAATTTTGCTACCTTTAAGTAGTTGAGGGAAGAAGAAGTAGCTATTATAAGGCTTGCAGATTATGTGAAGATTTCAATTATCCATTCTCTCTCTGTCAAACTTACCAAAAATAATTAAGGGTTGGCTGTAACCCTCCTTGGAATGTTAAAATGACTGATGGTTGTGGCAAGTAACCACAGTAAATAAGATGAAGTGAGGTAAACTGTGCTAAGGGGAGATAAAAAACATAGTTTCAAGTCAGTTTCAGAGTCCCAAAGGAGCAATCCAATAAGCATCAAGCCAGTGGGCAATTTTATAAATATAAACATTAGATGCATGGGCAAGAATCACAAATTAGGTTAGAAGAAGGAAGTAAACACCCATGCAACAGTATACTACTCACACGGCAACCTATGAACACCAAGTACATTTTGCTAATGAAAGAAGCCAGATCCAAAAGGCTACATATTGTCTGGTTCCATTCATTACATACCAGGAAGATGAAACCACAGAGATGGAAACCAGATCAGTGATTTGAGGGGTGAGGGGGAAATCTGGGGTTATGGAACTATTCTGTATCATGACTGTGGATGCATGACTCTTTGCACTTGTAAAACCCATAGAACTGTATACAACAGAGTGAATTTCACCGTATGTACATTAAAACAATCAACCAAGGTATGGAGGGAACCCAAACAGATATACAAACTATAACAAGTGAAGCTAATGTTATTACAAATAACTAACATAACCACACTGAAGGGCTTGAGAAAGAAAATAACTAAGTATCATTAGAAAACCGTATTTTGAGAAAATACCACAAAGCTAAAGGCAAAAAGAAATGTACACAAGTACTGCACTCTGCTTAGTACTAGGGTATGGATTAGCAATTCTGAAAAAAAATTTATGAATATATGAGGGTTGAACAAATAATTATATTGCAGATAGTCAGAGACAGCTTTCTTACTGCATGAGAAAGAAGTTACAAATAATGAAAGAGGAAGAGGCTAGAATGATTACTGTGGTATTGGATTAGAATTGGAGGTATCAGTATAAACTCATGGTTTTTTAATGTGCATACAGATAGATTTGGAAGTAAATATAGATATGTGTAGACATAGTTTAGATCGATCTATCTATCTATCTATCTATCTATCTATCTATCTATCTATCTATCTATCTATCTATGTAAACTTTCCAGGTTCTGTTTCCTGAGAGAGTCTAGAAACAATGATACTCAAGCAATGAGTATTCCTAGAGCTCAGATCTTGGTTTCTACAATAAAGGAGCCAGACTTCCTCGGAGAAGTGGTTCATTCCTGGGCTGTGGCGGGGAACCTATGAGGTAAACTTACAGCATTTCACGGTGCCAAAAAATAAGAAACTTCTTCAAAAGGTATGGACAAGTTAAAATGGAACATGAGCTATCCTGAAAATGCTCCCAGTGGCCAATACTGAATAATCTGAGCAACAAAATAAATGATAGGCCTAGATTATAACCCTTAGAATAAAATAAATATCCATGAATCTCATAATGACATAACTAAGCGAATAGAGACATTAGTGGTGGGAGAAAGTATAGTTCTTCCTTAGATAAGAATTCCAATTAATGAATGTAGAAGGAATTAGTGCAACAGGAAATCACCATTGAAACACCATGGTAACTATTGCTACTGACAAGAACCACTAATGGATGGTAAAAGTTGTGGGTGAAAACATGAAAAGAAACAGGATATTTGCATAGTTTCAAAATATCTTCCCCAAGATATGTATTAATTACAAAGGGAAAAATCGTAACTTCATAGTGAAGAAACCCAGCGGACATGGCTTAATGAAATGATCAAGATGAACATCACTAGTTATAAGATACATCAACATCATGTACTTCCTAAGAAGAGTATATCACTTCAGCAGTATTCAAGCCAAAAATGCATAACCTCAATCTAATCATGGTAAGAAAAACCCAAATTGAGTGACATTTTACAAAATAACTCACTACTACATTCCAAAGTAACAAGGTCATGAAAGATAAGGAAAAAGGGAAGAACTGTCACATAGCTAGCACAGGGGACCAAGGAGTTACAACAAATAATGCAATGTTGTATCCTGGATTAGATACTGAAACAGAAAAAGGACATTAATGGAAAAACTGGTGAAATTCAAATAAGTTTTGTAGGTTAGTTAATAGTTTTGTAACCATGTTAATTTCTTAGTTTTGGTCCTCTGTACCATCGTTACGCACTATTTTAACATTGGGGGTAATTATTGGGTAAAAAGTATATGAAAACTGTGCTACTTCTTTGCAAATTTCTGGTAGTCTAAAACTGAAAAAGTTTTAAACAACAAGAAGGAAAAGGAGAGAAATGATTAGGAAAGGTTAAAGAAGGAAATGCATAGTTATTTCTGTTCTGCTTGATGCATCCCTCTAGTTTCTTGTTAGACCTTGTACTAATTCCCCTTTCCTACTCATTAACTGCAGTCCTCCCCCAAACAGAAATATATACATTGTCTACATGTTTCTGAGCTTTTCAGATATAGGTTTATTAATTTAATTGTCTACCAATACATACCACTCTCCGTTCGCTTTTATTGGTTGGGAAATCACTAGATTCAAAGGAAACGGACATGAAGCTAGAGCATAAGCAATGGAGATGGGAAGACTGGCATTAACGCTAGCTGGAAGGATTACTCTAAAACAGTACAAACAAGTGGTAAAGATGACGAGCAGAAATGGGTAAAACTAGAGGAGACAAATTAGTAGATATGCAAACCATAAATATACAGTACCTTCCGACCTTCCAAAGCTTGGCATTATCTACTTTGAACACAGCCTTTTGAGGAAGTTACTACTTAACGACATATGTAATTAGCAGATCTATTATGGAACACTTGATTTTGATTAGCAAGCATTGAAGAAATGCAAATATGAGCAGCAGTTGTCATTGTGACAAAAAATTGTGAATTTTGTGTGTACTATATACCATGGGCAAATAAATGTCCACATATATATTATATATATAACATATATTCTTTTTATATATATTATATATAATATATATTCTTTATATATTATATATAATATATATTCTTTATATATATTATATATTCTTTATATATATTATATATATTATATATTCTTTATATATAATATATATAATATATATTCTTTATATATTATATATTCTTTATATATAATATATATAATATATATTCTTTATATATAATATATATTCTTTATATATAATATATCATATATATTCTTTATATTATATATATTCTTTAGATATTATATATAATATATTCTTTAGATATTATATACATTATATATTATATATATTCTTTATATATTATATATATTCTTTATATATTATATATATTCTTTATATATTATAATGTATTCTTTATATTATATATAATGTATTCTTTATATTATAATGTATTCTTTATATAATATATAATATATTCTTTATATATTATATATAATGTATATTCTTTATATATTATATATATTCTTTATATATAGTATATATAATGTATATTCTTTATATATAGTATATATAATGTATATTCTTTATATATAGTATATATGTTTATTCTTTATATATTATATATAATATATATTCTTTATATAATATATAATATTCTTTATATAATATATATAATATATATTCTTTATATATTATATATAATATATATTCTTTATATATTATATATAATATATATTC
Source organism: Homo sapiens (assembly GCF_000001405.40). NCBI lineage: Eukaryota > Metazoa > Chordata > Mammalia > Primates > Hominidae > Homo > Homo sapiens. Next base: position 205,380,547 of record NC_000002.12, on the reverse strand, counting down.
TTTATATATTATATATAATATATATTCTTTATATATTATATATAATATATATTCTTTATATATTATATATAATATATATTCTTTATATATTATATATATGTATTCTTTATATAATATATAATATATATTCTTTATATATTATATATAATATATATTCTTTATATATTATATATAATATATATTCTTTATATATTATATATTATATATTCTTTATATATTATATATAATATATATTCTTTATATAATATATAATATATATTCTTTATATATTATATAATATATATTCTTTATATATTATATATAATATATATTCTTTACATAATATATAATATATATTCTTTACATATTATATAATATATATTCTTTACATATTATATAATATATATTCTTTATATAATATATATTCTTTATATAATATATATAATATATTATGTATAATATATATTTTTAACATATATATACATATTTTTTTTTTTTTTTGAGGCAGAGTCTCATTCTGTCGCCCAGGCTGGAGTGCAGTGGCATGATCTCGGCTCACTGCAACCTCCATCTTCTGGGTTCAAGCAATTCTCTTGCCTCTGCCTCCTGAGTAGCTGGGACTACAGGTGCGTGCCACTGTGCCTGGATAATTTTTATATTTTTAGTAGACACGGGGTTTCACCATATTAGCCAAGATGGTCTCAGTCTCCTGAACTTGTGATCCACCCGCTTTGGCCTCACAAAGTGCTGGGATTATAAGTGTGAGCCACTGCACCTGGCCCCACACATATATTTTTAAGAACAAGTATTCAAGTAATAAGAGCTCTCACTGTAATACCTGCTAATTTGTATTAATGCAGAGATATAAGATGCTGCCACTTTTTTTGTTTGCCAATTACTAGGATGGTACATAGTAAGCAGAGAATTAGCCAATTTTGCTAATTAGTGAATTTTGCTAAAGAGTGTGGGTAATACAGAAGTCATTTATGAAATTATATTTTAAAATAACAATGTAAAATAATAGCTCATATCTTCTCTTTGCCAATATACTGGTCAAAATCAGAGTCTATGTTTGCTTTTTTTTTAAAAAAAACCCCAAATATAATAATATTAGACTTCATCATAATCATGGAACATGGGTACATTCTGGATTCGTCCCTAAAGATTCAGCATGCACATGTAGATTTCACCTAACAGTTGTCAAGTGTCCAGGTTCACTGGAGGCCAATCCCATGAAACTCAGAGAGGAGGGACCTGTCTGCCTGTCAATATTAATCTCCATGAATTATAACCCGGTATTTGATTGCCTCTAACATTTTTGGTGGTGGCAGGGATTTGAAGCAAAACCAGAGGCAGTTCAGTGAATTTGTAGTGAAGTAGCTGAATTATGGAGCCTTTGAGAACAACCATTGCTCATGTGTTTCAAATTCAGTACAATTTTTCAATCAAAGTCTGTGAGAATCAGTATTTAGCCCTCTCAAACTCCCCTCTATATTTTTTCTCAGAGTTTTTTTCGTGGCTTCCTGATTCAAGACTTTGAAGGAACCTACTGATAACTCTTAATCAGAGCCTATCAGCAGCTGCTTTAGAAGTAGCCACAGACGGTTCTTTTCTCCTTAAAAAAGAAAGAAAAAAAAAAGGCCAGGCATGGTGGCTCACACCTGTAATCCCAGCACTTTGCGAGGCCGAGGCGGGCAGATCACAAGGTCAAGAGATTGAGACCATCCTGGCCAACATAGTGAAACCCCGTCTCTACTAAAAATACAAAAATTAGCTGGGTGTGGTGGTGCACGCCTGTAGTCCCAAATACTCAGGAGGCTGAGGCAGGAGAATCACTTGAACCTGGGAGGCGGAGGTTGCAGTGAGCTGAGATCGTGCCATTGCACTCCAGCCTGACGACTGAGTGAAACTCTGTCTCAAAAAAAAAAAAAAAGAAAAAAAAATCATGTCTCTTTTCTGCTAACTTCCAGCCCTGGGAGCATGGTGAAGCTGCACTCCTGAGAAGCTGTGCCTGGGTAAGCTCTGGCAGAGTAAGAATACCTCAGTACGCAGCTCTCATGTTGGCTTTTCTATTCTGAATGTAAACAGGCCAGCCTTGGGCCTTCTGAGGTAAAACAAAGAAAAATGACACTTACTTGAAACTTTCTTCTTTTTTCCCTTCCACCTCTGTTTCCCTTAGGGAGGTGGCTGACAACAGGTATCCAGTACCCAGGCCTCCAATGGCCTCGAATCCCTTTGTTCAACCTGCCTGTTCAGGGCACTGAGATCAGTAGTTTACACTGGTTGATTGATGGATTCACTGTACTGTGAAGGAATTTCAATGCATCCTCTCTTCCTGGCTTTTGCATTTTAAGTCTGTTATAACTGTGAGAGGGTGGTGGACCCTTGGTCCCCCTGCAAAGGATTTTAGGTGTCTGGTAGCAGGCATAAGTTGCTTTTGTGGGGTGAGGTGGTGATTCAGAAAAGGACATATTTTAACCCTAAAAGTGGATTACACCAGCTGGGCATGGTGACTCACGCCTGTAATCCCAGCACTTTGGGAGGCCAAGGCAGATGGATCACCTGAGGTCAGGAGTTCAAGACTAGCCTGGCTAACATGGTGAAACCACGTCTCTACTAAAAATACAAACATAAGCTGGGCGTGGTGGCACGTGGCTGCAGTCCCAGCTACTTGGGAGGCTGAGGCAGGAGAATCACTTGAACCCAGAAGACGGAGGTTGCAGTGAGCCAAGACCTCACCATTGCACTCCAGCCTGGGGAACAAGAGCGAAACCCTGTCTCAAAAAAAAAAAAAAAAAAAAAAAATTGGATTACACCATGTGATACTTGGTCTCGATATCAAAACTGATTAGAGGGACCTGATGTTCTGTGTGCTCTCATGTCATTTGTTAAAGATGTGAGCCAGGAGACTCCACTTGGCTACTGGAGTTGGTAGGGTGTGAGGACTGGTCTCCAGTCCCTTGTGGGCTTCTACCAGATCAGAGACTTGGAGCCTCTTATCTTTGAGTATAGGGCTGGGGATCTCCCTCCCATCCTTTTAGGCTCATCTGGGTGCTGGTTCTTTCCCTCTTCCCTCCCTCTCATCCCTCATTTCTGGCATTCTCTTCTGCTGACCCAGTTTCTAACACTGGTGGTTAAACCCCTTACTGGTGTTTCCCAAACTTCTATGATCATGAGGAGCTTATTTCAAAAATGAGTTCAAGGCCCACTCAAACTTTGAATCAGAATTTCCAGAATCAGAACTCTGAGTCAGAATCTGTATTTTACCATGAACTCCAGGTGAAACCTTGTTCAGGTGAAGACGAGAAACACTGATGTTTTCCTGTTAGAGGGAAAACATCTACCCACTCTCTTCCTTCTAACTAAGGTTGCATTTCCTTTCACTAAATCCTTTCCTCCAACTTTTTATGGTAACTGAAACTTGGCTTTGCTGGTGGTCCTTACACACAGGAGCTGTGCATTCTCCCAGCTAACTCTAATAAGGTTCTGATTTCACAGACTTGTTATAAAGTGTGTAGAACAGTTCCAATACATACTTTGGTGCTCAGTTAACATTAGCTATTATATCATCTCTGGGCTTGGAGGCCGTAACAGCATTTCCTGCCTCCATTTTACTACTTAAAGAACGTGTTTTTCCAGTCTTTTTAAAAAACAAAACACGGCAACAAACTCCTCTCCATTCTCACTGAAGCCATCTACCCATGTACTTTCTTTCCTTCAGGACACCCATCAATTTACAGCTGTTCCCCCAGACCCTCCACCTCACCCATAATGCTGTAGCCACCTACATACAACCTCCAATTTATTTTCTCTTGCCTCAGGACTGCTCAGTAATGATTTTACTTATTCCTCCACAGCTTTCGTTTACATCTCCCATGGCAGTGATTCCGGATTTTATGCTGCTATCAAACTGCATGTCCTACAGCACCCCACTCTCAGTTGCATGCAGTACTTGAACACATCAGCCATGATTTTGCTTAAAGTCCCCACCATTACCCCTAGATTTCTTGACAGAAACCAGCAGACTAAAGCTTCATCCCTCCCCAACTTCTCCCAATACCTCACGTCATTAGATCACTTTACTGTTTGTTTGCTTGGGCTTCTCCCATCCTCAGACATCATCGCTGCTCAAGGATCTGCCATTCTTCCTAGGGGTGGGTAATGGGCCAGCTGCTCTCCCAGCCTCTGTCGTCCAACCCATGGAATCTTAGAAGGGATGTCGACACTTGTTTTCACTGTTTCCTCAACTCCTAAGTATCCTCCGACCCATTACTTAGTGTGGTGAGGCCCTGCTTGGCTTGTGGACTCTGCCTGCTTTGATCCCCAGCTGTTTCTTATTATCTATCTGGTGGCCTCGTGTTTCTCAGTCCTCCAAACCTGTTTTTTCATCTGTGAGGTGGAGATAATGATAGAAAACATATCACAGGATTATGGAAAGTTAAATGGGATAATCTACGGTAAAGTCCTTGGAACAGTGCCCGCCCATAGAAAACAGTCAGTAAACACTTGTTATTAATGTCTGGGTTTTAACTCAATGAACTTTCTTAAACTTTTCTTGCTAAGGTCACAGATGACCCCTGTGTCCATTTTTGGATCCTATTCTTGTCAATTTGTTGTAGCTGAGCACTGTCTAGCATTCTATACTTCTTGAAATGTACTGCTGGCAGGACAAGTGTGCTTTCATTTCTGCCTCTTCCTTCTTAACATTTAAAAGGGCTTGTTTCTCCCCTTCTCTGTTTCAGTCTACTACCTAAAAATAAGACCTCTCCTCTAGTCTGTCCAGAGGCTTCTCAAATTCAAGTAAAAGCATAACTTACCTTTTTCTTTAAGCCTCTTCCTCCTCCCTTCTAGCTTGTTCCAGTAGAGAGACAATCTCTTAAATTACAAACATGTGCGTTCTCTCTCTCTCTCAATTCCATCCTGCTGCCAGTGCCTTTGAGCAGGCCCTTGTGTTCTCTGGGATTTTCCAAAAGTCTCCTACTGACTCAATGTCTTGCCACAAATCTCTCCTACTCTAGTCCCTTTTCCACACTTCTCCCATGTTCATTTCTAAAAAAATGTATAAATGTGTGTGTGTTTAAACCTTGCTGAAAGGTCTCTGTCGGCTCCCTATTGCCTCTGAAATCAAGTTCAGATCATTTACACTGACCCAGAGGGCTCTTCCTGACCCTTCCCCTCACTCACTTCTTTAGCCTTAGTTCCTATTATTCTCTTAAGGAATGAATGAGCGAATGAATAAATGAAGTATTCATCTCTATGGCTACCTGAAATCAGGAATATATCCAAATTATCTCAGTGTTCTTTACATTGTATTTCACAGTACTTTATGCACGTTAAATAATTTTTATCCATAAATACAAAAAGTTTCATTTTGGGGGGATATCTTCCAGTATCATTGGATGAGACAAGTGTCAGGGTAATACTTGACATTGACAACGATTATAAGAACAGTACTGGAGAACAAAGAGGAACTTTGAGAATCCTGTTTGGTATGTAAAATCATCCCTAATTACATTATGGGGTTACCTATGTTAAAATTTATTATTTATGTCTAATTACCATAAAGTGCTATTAAAATTTTACATATCATTAAATGTATCATAATAATTTAAATTATTTGATTATGAAACTAACCTCTTAATCATATATGCTCAGTCTTCATTGTGCTTTGTGCTCATGCATGGTGGCATGTCTAACCTTTGAAAAACTGGAAGGAATTCTGCTCAAAAATTTTTCTCTCTTAATTTTCTTGGCTTGTTTCATTTTATGGTTACACTCTTAATCTATCTTTTTTATTTCCAAGCAGAGTTCTTTCAAACTCTGTCATACTAAAGACTACTAATTAAATTTTGTTGTCTCCACCTGATGGAGTATTATGCAGCAGTGAAAAATTATGGATTTGTGGAAGACTGTAACGGGGTAAAAAATTAGCTATAATATCATATTAAATAAAACCAGGAAACAAGATTTATATAAAGCCAGGCAAAATATATAGAATAAAAGACTGAAAGAAATATATAAAAATTAAAGTGGTTGGGCCGGACGCAGTGGCTCATGCCTGTAATCCCAGCACTTTGGGAGGCTGAGGCAGGCGGATCATGAGGTCAGGGGTTCAAGACCAGCCTGGCCAACATGGCGAAACCGTTTCTACTAAAAATACAAAGATTAGCTGGGCATGGTGGCCTGTGCCTGTAATCCCAGCTACTCAGGAGGCAGGAGAATTGCTTGAACCGGGACCCAAGAGACAGAGGTTGCAGTGAGCTGAGATTGCTCCACTGTATTCCAGCCTGGGCTACCGAGAAAGATTCCATCTCAAAAAAATAATAATAATAATAAAGTGGTTGTTTTGTATGGGATTATGAAGAAGAGAGCATCTTTTTTTTTTTTTCATTTTTCCTCAATTTCCTGTAATGTGGTTAATTTTAAATAGGAAAAAGAAAAGCTTAGACATTTCCCTCTTTCTCTTTTGCTTTCAAACCTCTATTTCAGCCTCCTGGCTTTCTCATTGCACTTTTCCCCAATCCTCAAGACTCTCATGATCGCTACTGACAGTTATTGTGTGCTCTCCACTGGGCAAGCTAAGTAAATATGGAAAGTTTATAGAAGACAGAATAAGAAAAGAGATTACCGAAAATAGACATCAGTGATGAATTTAATGCTAGGAGGATCTGAAATGGTTAAACACTACATCTTTCTAGCATGCAGAAATGATAATCTCATTACATAATTCTACATAAACAGAGCAAGGGGTAAGCCATCCCTGTGGTCACATGGAATGAAGGCAACCTTTACTGGATACTAAGTGGGTTTAAACAAGATCACAGTTGCGGATCAAGAAAAATCAACAACGTATTTAAGGACTAGATATTAACTTTTCTTGTAGCATGAAAGTATCAAGCATAACTGAGGATAAGAAATATTGTCATTGAATTAAGATTTTCCTCTCTATTCATTTTTGATATACCTTTACATTTTACTAATAAACTTCAACTATGGCTTTAATTGGTTGATTCATCTTGATTTTTTCCTTTTCACTTGGAATGGTTTGAACCATTATGCCAAATTTATTTGAAGTCTAATAGTTCTGCCTTTGCTTCTCATCTAATGCATGGAAGAGGCATGAATAGAAACACAGAAAAAAACCCATAATCCATTGCTGTGGTGAAAAATTCTAATAGACATATCTTCTCTATAAAATGGTTCGCAGTTTTAGGAGGCATCCTTCTGTTACTCAGTTAACAGGTATGGAGTGACTACACCTAGGATCAGAGCAGTGGAGAGAGCTGGTGTTCTCACTAGTCCTTTCCTTGCTTCTGAAATGTACAGGGCTAAGGTTTGATTTTCATCTTCTGATTCCCCCTGGAGAATCAAAGAATCTGAGAAAAACATCCAGGTCCTGCATCTTAGACTATATCTCAGCACTAGAACTGACCATCTTTCCCTGAATAGCACATGGCAACTGGGTCCCTCTGACAAAGGATTTCATTCAGAATGAAATAAAAGCAAGCCTCTACATTTTTAATACTAAAAGTTTAGTTTTTGAAGCAGAGGAAATAATGATTTAAAAAAATAATTCATCATTCATTTAGTTAGACAGGGTCTTGCTCTGTAGCCCAGGCTGGAGTGCAGTGGTGCAATGAAAGCTCACTGCAACCTTGACCTCCTAGATTCAAGTGATCCTCCCACCTCAGCCTCCCGAGTAGCTGGGCTTACAGGCTCATGGCACTATGCTGGCTGATTTTTGGACCTTTTGTAGAAATGAAGTCTCACTATGTTTCCCAGGCTGCTCTCGAACTACTGGAGTCAAGTAATTTTCTGCCTTGGCCTCCAAAAGTGCTAATATTACAAGTGTGAGCCACCAAACCTGGCCTTTTAAAAATGTTTTTAATTTTATGCAGTGTGGATAAGAAATAAATATTCAGAGTCATTTAGTAGATAAGAATATTAGAAAAGGAAGGAAACTTTATATAAACCAAATTTTTTCCTCATTTTTCTCTACATTTCTCATTTCCAATTATTTACCTTTTAGATTTATTCATATTTGAAAACAGGTCCTAAAGTTAAATGACTGGAAACTGATAGACATTTCTTCAAAGGAAATATACAAATTTTCAATGAGCACAAGAGAAAAAATTCAAAGTCATTAGTCACAGTCACCAGAGAAATGCAAATCAAAGCCACAATGAGACACCACTCAAAACCACTTCAAAACTACTAAGATTGCTATAATAACAAGGATAGATAAGAACACATGTTTGTGAGGATGTAGATAAATTAGAGCCTTCATACCCTGCTGGTGGGATGGTAAAAACATGCAGTCACTTTGGCAAATGGTCTTGCAGTTCTTCAGAAAGTTAAACATAGAGTCACCATATACCCAGAAATTCCACTCTTAAATATATATCTATGAAAATGAAAGCATATATTCATGCAAAATTTGTACACGAATATTCATAGCATTATTATTTACAATAGACAAAAGGTGGAAACCACCCAAATGTCCATCAACTGATGAATGGATAAATAAAATGTGGTATTTATGCACACAATAGAATATTATTAGGCAATAAAAAGGGATACACGTACTGATACATGTTACAACATGGATGAACCTTGACAACACTATGCTAAGTGAAAGAAGCCAGTCGCAAAGACCCCATGGTACATAATTCTATTTATATTAAATATATAGAATAGACAAATGTAGAGCGACAGAAAGTAGATTAGTGGTTGTTTAGGGTGATAAAATATCCTGAAGTTGATTATAATGATTGTACAACTCTGTGAATATATTAAAAACCACTGGATTCTACACTTCAAACGGTTGAATTTTATGGCATGTGAATTATATCTTAATAAAAACCCTCTCTTCCCCAAATCAAATGACTGGGTTACAGTGAAGTTTAAGCTTTTGAGATGATGATATCATCTCCAGGATCTTCTAAGGAAGAAACTCCAAATACTGATGCTCTAACTATAGGTTATTTTCTCTGGAGGATAATCCTGGAATATATAGATAGGTACACAAATCAGAAAACTCTACAGCCTCTGATGCCCACTTCCTAGTTCCATGTCAGCACAGTGGCCAGTCAATAAACACAAACATTCAGGACAATATCACAGTCACAAGCTGCTTTGTTCTACAGACCATAGTTCAAAACTTAGAAGAATGTGTCTACCTGCCACATTTAATAATTCCACCACCAGAGAAAGTAGGCCCCATACAGAACAAGTTTCATTGTGTGTGGTTATTTATACAACTTTCCTATACAGATGTGTTAAGATTCTCAATGTCAGGCTGAAGGCTGAGCAATCTGTAACTTCACTGGTATTTTTTAAATGACTCCATGTTAGAGACATTAAAAGTGAATATTCATTTCTCTCTCGAAACAACAAAACTTAGCTAATAGAGTGATGGGAAAGATCCCCACTTTTCCAAGATGATTTTCAATTATGAAAATAAAAATCACCCAAACATTGGTCCATGACTAAGGATGTCAAGCATTTGATATTGGTGGGAGATGGTACCAACAGAAGCCAAGCAATGTCACAGAAGGTGGAGGCTCGCACTTCAGCAATAGCAAGGTGCCCACAGCTGCCCCCCTGGAGTTACTTGTGAATGAAATGACATACACAAGAAATATGGACTGCAGACCACCCACAAGCCAAAAGCAACAAATGACAAACCACACACAGACAGTTGACAGCTGTCAAGCCAAGGCAAACATCACCCTACCACCCACTCTACCATGAACAGATTTCAGTAAGTAACCAAGATGACAGAATGCACTTAAAGTGCTCTTCTTCTCCAAGTTAAAAGTGCTACTGTCATCTGTCGATACTTTCAGAAATTCTTAAATAACAGCTCGGATTCAGCTTTCAAGATATAGGTTCCCCTCTACTGCATCCAAGAGCAATTCTTAGCAGTAGAAACATCAGGAAGAGGACAGAATGAACTGTGTCTTCCTCCTGGCAATTGGTAGATCCATAAGGTCAGTTATGAGCAGCCGGGAGATACTCCTGCCCTTTCCCGGGCCTGCTGTTGGCAGGCCATCCCTGCCTTCCTCGAGAGGTACACATTGCATATTATCCTGAACTGGTCCAGGATATGGGTGCCATGCTGTGGGAAAAACAGGTACAACTTCACTTCATAAAAATCTCACTGCATTTGTTTAATTGAAATGATTCTCCTACTTTCTGCAATTACAACCTTCCTATTCTGTTAATACTTAAATATGCTTTTGTTTATGAAACAATGGTTCTAGTAGATGAGGGGTTTCATTTATGTTTTTACTTGGTGAAATAAAAAACTTGGTTGCCTTATCATGACCTCCACTTAAAAAAATTGACTAGTTTGGGAGTTGTTCTTCTGGAAAACAACATATTACTATTTTCACTACATCATTAAGACAACTAGAAAGCAAAGTGGAAAATGACTAAGTGACTCCTGCCTTTTTCTCCCTCTGGACCCCTAACTTGTTTGCAAGGGTCTCTAGGTCACTCTGAAGGCACGTCCTTGGGGAAGTGAGGAAAAGATGTTCTTGGGAGCAGTCCAGCAGGGAGGGGCTCTGGGGACAAAGTCTCTAGGAGGAGCCATGAGCCAAGAGAAGTTAGGTCCATGGTCTGACTTGCTGCTAGCTAATGACTAGAGCTCAATTATTGCTTGTTTATTTTAAAAGCATATAATCTCTATTTTATTAATAAGTTAACATATCTAGTCAACAAAAACATTCTACTTCTCAGCTGATGCACTGCATGCTTTGTACAGGAAGTAAGAATGTAAAAGTTAAGCCCTTAAACAGCTCCTTGTCCCACTTGGAAAAAGTCATACAAACAAGTAATTACACTGTGATTATCTGTAATGTAGGGAGGTTAAAGCATTGAGGTGGTAAGCTGAAGAAGCCTCCACAGGATAGAGTTAGAGGACTTGACCTGGGTCTTGAAAAATGGGAAGAAATTTTTCTTTAACTCTATTTTTACAGGATAGTTCCAGACTGAAGAAGCAGAATTTACAAGTGGAGAACAAGTTGAAGATGTGGTGGGTCATGTAGACAGGAATCAGAACACGAAGGCGCCCGTAGGCTGTTTAAAGAATTTCCATCTCATTCTACGTGTGGAGGTGAGCTGTGTGCCAGCCTGTGAGACAGATCATGCTGGCTCTCACTGGAAAATGGGACACGGGAGAAAGATGCTGGGTGGAGGTAGACCAGTTAGGAGCCCATGACACTAGGGAGAGAAAATAAATGTCTGAATTAGGAGAATAAGGGTGGTGACTAGACGCTGGAGAGCAGGTTTGGTAATGGTAAAACTGAGTGTTGAGTAAAATCCTCACTCACAATTTGTCCATGATAAATTTCAACATAGGCTGTGCACACTATTACTAATGTATTTCACACAATCTTGAGAGTAGATAGTTGCACATTCTTTTAATACTGCCTTTAAGGCACCCAATTTCTCTTGCAGCCACAGAAAAGAGGGCAAGTGTTCAGTAGGTAAAGCTGTATCTATACTTGAAATATGCAACAGGGTCCCATCAAACTTAACAACACAGGAACTTACATTTTAGAGTGTTTTGCCAGGAAAAAGAACTGAAGTACAGGTTATGAAGCACACTAACTTTTGATTCATTCCCTGAGTCAGGAGGAAGACAAGTCATAGAGAAGAGTTACGAGAGCTCTTCAACGTTATGGGGTGTTTTTTTTTTTTTTGTTTTCCCAAGCTCCCCTGAATTGAGAACAGGTAGATAATTTGTGTTACAAGGTAGACACAGTGCCTGAGGACACGACATGCCTACCAGTCTCATGTTCCACAAATACTTTAGAAATATTAGAGAGGTAATTAAAAGTAAGATCACAATGATAACGTTAGTTTTGTACCTGCCAATAGGGGATTGTCTATTCTTTTATTTGAATTTTTTATTTTACAACTTTTATTTTTGAGACGGAATCTTGCTCTGTTGCCCAGGCTGGAGTGCAGTGGCCCGATCTCAGCTCACTGCAAACGCTGCCTCCTGGGTTCAAGCAATTCTCATGCCTCAGCCTCCCAAGTAGCTGGGATTACAGGTGTGCACCATCACGCACGGCTAATTTTGTATTTTTAGTAGAGATGAGGTTTCACCATCTTGGCCAGGCTGGTCTTAAACTCCTGGCCTCAAGTGATCCAC